>NC_000001.11:122829273-123155299 GCF_000001405.40 Homo sapiens | reverse complement strand
TTACTGAGAATTCTTCTGTCTAGCCTTACATGAAAAAAACCCGTTTCCAACGAAGGCCTCTAAGTGGTCAAGTTATCCACGTGCAGACTTTACAAACAGAGTGTTTCCAAACTGCTGAATGAAAAGAAAATTTAAACTCTGAGAGTTGAACGCACACATCGCAGAGCAGTTTCTGAGAATGATTCTGTCTAGTTTTGAAACGAAGATATTTCCTTTCCTGCCATTGACCTTAAAGCGCTTGAAATCTCCATTTGCCAATTGCACAAAAAGAGTGTTTCAAATCTGCTCTGTCTAAGGGAACGTTCAACTGTGTGAGTTGAATGTACACAACACAAGGAAGTTACTGGGAATTCTTCTGTCTAGCCTTACATGAAAAAAACCCTTTTCCAACGAAGGCCTCTAAGTGGTCAAAATATCCACGTGCAGACTTTACAAACAGAGTGTTTCCAAACCGCTGAATGAAAAGAAAAGTTAAACTCTGAGAGTTGAACCCACACATCACGCAGCAGTTTCTGAGAATGATTCTGTCTAGTTTTTATACGAAGATATTTCCTTTTCTGCCTTTGGCCTCAATGCGCTTGAAATCTCCACTGGCAAATTCCACAAAAAGAGTGTTTCCAATCTGCTCTGTGTAAATGAAAGTTCAACTCTGTGAGTTGAACACACACAACAAAAGGAAGTTACTGGGAATTCTTCTGTCTAGCATAGTATGAAGAAATCCCGTTTCCAACGAAGGCCTCAAAGAGGTCTGTATATCCACTTGCAGACTTTACAAACAAAGTGTTTCCTAACTGCTCTATGAAAAGAAAGGTTAAACTCTGTGAGTTGAACGCACACATCACAAAGAAGTTTCTGAGAATCATTCTGTCTAGTCTTTATAAGAAGATAGTTTCCTTTTCTACCATTGACCTCAAAGCGGCTGAAATCTCCACTTGCAAATTCCACAAAAGGAGTGTTTCAAGTCTGCTCTGTGTAAAGGATTGTTCAACTCTGTGAGTTGCATACACACAACACAAGGAAGTTACTGAGAATTCTTCTGTCTAGCAGAATACGAAGAAATCCCGTTTCCAACGAAGGCCTCTAGGAGGTCTGAATATCCACTTGCAGACTTTACAAACAGAGTGTTTCCTAACTGCTCTATGAACAGAAAGGTTAAACTCTGTGAGTTGAACGAACACATCACAACGCAGTTTGTGGGAATGATTCTGTCTAGTTTTGAAACGAAGATATTTCCTTTTCTGCCGTTGACCTTAAAGCGCTTGAAATCTACACTCGCAAATTGCACAAATAGAGTGTTTCAAATCTGCTCTGTCTAAGGGAACGTTCAACTCTGTGAGTTGAATGCACACAACACAAGGAAGTTACTGGGAATTCTTCTGTCTAGCCTTACAGGAAAAAAACCCGTTTCCAACGAAGGCCTCTAAGTGGACAAAATATCCACGTGCAGACTTCACAAACAGAGTGTTTCCAAACTGCTGAATGAAAAGAAAAGTTAAACTCTGAGAGTTGAACGCACACATCGCAGAGCAGTTTCTGAGAATGATTCTGTCTAGTTTCTATAGGAAGATATTTCCTATTCTACCATTGACCTCAAAGCGGCTGAAATCTCCACTTGCAAATTCCACAAAAAGAGTGTTTCAAGTCTGCTCTGTGTAAAGGATCGTTCAACTCTGTGAGTTGAATACCCACAACACAAGGAAGTTACTGAGAATTCTTCTTTCTAGCAGAATATGAAGAAATCCCGTTTCCAACGAAAGCCTCAAGGATGTCTGAATATCTACTTGCAGACTTTACAAACAGAGTGTTTCCCAACTGCTCTATGAAAAGAAAGGTTAAACTCTGTGAGTTGAACGCACACATCACAAAGGAGTTTCTGAGAATCATTCTGTCTAGTTTCTATAGGAAGATATTTCCTATTCTACCATTGACCTCAAAGCGGCTGAAATCTCCACTTGCAAATTCCACAAAAAGAGTGTTTCAAGTCTACTCTCTGTAAAGCATCGTTCAACTCTGTGAGTTGAAAACACACAACACAAGGAAGTTTCTGAGAATTCTTCTGTCTAGCAGAATATGAAGAAATCCCGTTTCCAACCAAGGCCACAAGATGTCAGAATATCCACTTACAGAATTTACAAACAGACTGTTTCCTAACTGCTCTATGAAAAGAAAGGTTAAACTCTGTAGGTTGAACGAACACATCACAACGCAGTTTGTGGGAATGATTCTGTCTAGTTTTGAAACGAAGATATTTCCTTTTCTGCCATTGACCTTAAAGCGCTTGAAATCTCCATTTGCCAATTGCACAAAAAGAGTGTTTCAAATCTGCTCTGTCTAAGGGAACGTTCAACTCTGTGAGTTGATTGTACACAACACAAGGAAGTTACTGGGAATTCTTCTGTCTAGCCTTACAGGAAAAAAACCCGTTTCCAACGAAGGCCTCTAAGTGGTCAAGTTATCCACGTGCAGACTTTACAAACAGAGTGTTTCCAAACTGCTGAATGAAAAGAAAAGTTAAACTCTGAGAGTTGAACGCACACATCGCAGAGCAGTTTCTGAGAATGATTCTGTCTAGTTTTTATACGAAGATATTTCCTTTTCTGCCTTTGGCCTGAAAGGGCTTGAAATCTCCATTTGCAAATTCCACAAAAAGAGTGTTTCAAATCTGCTCTGTGTAAATGAAAGTTCAACTCTGTGAGTTGAATACACACAACACAAGGAAGTTACTGGGAATTCTTCTGTCTAGCCTTATATGAAAAAAACCCGTTTCCAAAGAAGGCCTCAAAGAGGCCTGAATATCCACTTGCAGTCTTTACAAACAGAGTGTTTCCTAACTGCTCTATGAAAAGAAAGGTTAAACTCTGTGAGTTGAACACACACATCACAAAGGAGTTTCTGAGAATCATTCTGTCTAGTTTTTATACGAAGATATTTCCTTTTCTACCATTGACCTCAAAGCGGCTGAAATCTCCACCCTGCCAATTCCACAAAAAGAGTGTTTCAAGTCTACTCTCTGTAAAGGATCGTTGAACTCTGTGATTTGAAAACACACAACACAACGAAGTTTCTGAGAATTCTTCTGTCTAGCATAATATGAAGAAATCCCGTTTCCAACGAAGGCCTCAAAGAGGTCTGAATATCCACTTGCAGATTTTACAAACAGAGTGTTTCCTAACTACTCTATGAAAAGAAAGCTTAAACTCTGTGAGTTCAACGCACACATCACAAAGGAGTTTCTGAGAATCATTCTGTCTAGTTTTTATACGAAGATATTTCATTTTCTACCATTGACCTCAAAGCGGCTGAAATCTCCACTTGCAAATTCCACAAAAAGAGTGTTTCAAATCTGCTCTGTGTAAAGGATCGTTCAACTCTGTGAGTTGAATACACACAACACAAGGGAAGATTCTGAGAATTCTTCTGTGTAGCCTTAAATGAAGAAATACCATTTCCAAAGAACGCCTCATGGCGGTCCAAATATCCACAGGCAGACTTTTCAAACAGAGCGTTTCCCAACTGCTCTATGAAAAGAAATGTTAAACTCTGTGAGTTAAACATACACATCACTACACAGTTTCTGGGAATGATTCTGTCTAGTTTTTATACGAAGATATTTCCTTTTCTGCCTTTGGCCCCAAAGCGCATGAAATCTCCACTTGCAAATTCCACAAAAACAGTGTTACAAATCTGCTCTCTCTAAATGAAAGTTCAAATCCGTCAGTTGAATACACACAACACAAGGAAGTTACTGAGAATTCTTCTGTCTATCATAATATGAAGAAATCCCGTTTCCAACGTAGGCCTCAAAGAGGTCTGAATATCCACTTGCAGACTTTACAAACAGAGTGTTTCCTAGCTGCTCTACGAAAAGAAAGGTTAAACTCTTTGAGTTGAACGCACACATCAGAAAGGAGTTTCTGAGAATCATTCTGTCTAGTTTCTATAGGAAGATATTTCCTATTCTACCATTGACCTCAAAGCGGCTGAAATCTCCACTTGCAAATTCCACAAGAAGAGTGTTTCAAGTATGCTCTGTGTAACGGATCGTTCAACTCTGTGAGTTGAATACACACAACACAGGGAAGTTACTGAGAATTCTTCTGTCTAGCCTTACAGGAAAAAAACCCGTTTCCAACGAAGGCCTCTAAGTGGTCAAGTTATCCACGTGCAGACTTTACAAACAGAGTGTTTCCAAACTTCTGAATGAAAAGAAAAGTTAAACTCTGAGAGTTGAACGCACACATCGCAGAGCAGTTTCTGAGAATGATTTCTGTCTAGTTTTTATACGAAGATATTTCCTTTTCTGCCTTTGGCCTCAAACCGCTTGAAATCTCCATTTGCAAATTCCACAAAAACAGTGTTTCAAATCTGCTCTGTGTAAATGACAGTTCAACTCTGTGAGTTGAACACACACAACACATGGAAGTTACTGGGAATTCTTCTGTCTAGCATAATATGAAGAAATCCCGTTTCCAACGAAGGCCTCAAAGAGGTCTGAATATCCACTTGCAGACTTTACAAACAGAGTGTTTCCTAACTGCTCTATGAAAAGAAAAGTTAAACTCTGTGAGTTGAACGCACACATCACCAAGGAGTTTCTGAGAATCATTCTGTCTAGTTTTTCTACGAAGATATTTCCTTTTCTACTATTGACCTCAAAGCGGCTGAAATCTCCACTTGCAAATTCCACAAAAAGAGTGTTTCAAGTCTGCTCTGTGTAAAGGATCGTTCAACTCTGTGAGTTGAATACACACAGCACAAGGAAGTTACTGAGAATTCTTCTGTCTAGCACAGTATGAAGAAATCCCGTTTCCAACGAAGGCCTCAAAGAGGTCTGAATATCCACTTGCAGAGTTTACAAACAGAGTGTTTCCTAACTGCTCTATGAAAAGAAAGGTTAAACTCTGTGAGTTGAACGCACACGTCACAATGAAGTTTCTGAGAATCATTCTGTCTAGTTTTTATACGAAGATATTTCCTTTTATACCATTGACCACAAAGCGGCTGAAATCACCACTTGCCAATTGCACAAAAAGAGTGTTTCAAATCTGCTCTGTCTAAGGGAACGTTCAACTCTGTGAGTTGAATGTACACAACACAAGGAAGTTACTGGGAATTCTTCTGTCTAGCCTTACAGGAAAAAAACCCGTTTCCAACGAAGGCCTTTAAGTGGTCAAAATATCCACGTGCAGACTTTACAAACAGAGTGTTTCCAAACTGCTGAATGAAAAGAAAAGTTAAACTCTGAGAGTTGAACGCACACATCGCAGAGCAGTTTCTGAGAATGATTCTGTCTAGTTTTTATACGAAGATATTTCCTTTTCTGCCTTTGGCCTCAAAGCGCTTGAAATCTCCACTTGCAAATTCCACAAAAAGAGTGTTTCAAATCTGCTCTGTGTAAATGAAAGTTCAATTCTGTGAGTTGAACACACACAACACAAGGAAGTTACTGGGAATTCTTCTGTCTAGCAGAATATGAAGAAATCCCGTTTCCAACGAAGGCCTCAAAGAGGTCTGAATATCCACTTGCAGACTTTACAACCAGAGTGTTTCCTAACTGCTCTATGAAAAGAAAGGTTTAAACTCTGTGAGTTGAACGCACACATCACAAAGGAGTTTCTGAGAATCATTCTGTCTAGTTTCTATAGGAAGATATTTCCTTTTCTACCATTGACCTCAAAGCAGCTGAAATCTCCACTTGCAAATTCCACAAAAAGAGTGTTTCAAGTCTACTCTGTGTAAAGGATCGTTCAACTCTGTGAGTTGAAAACACACAACACAAGGAAGTTTCTGAGAATTCTTCTGTCTAGCAGAATATGAAGAAATCCCGTTTCCAACGAAGGCCACAAGATGTCAGAATATCCACTTACAGACTTTACAGAGTGTTTCCTAACTGCTCTATGAACAGAAAGGTTAAACTCTGTGAGTTGAACGAACCCATCACAACGCAGTTTGTGGGAATGATTCTGTCTAGTTTTGAAACGAAGATATTTCCTTTTCTGCCATTACCTTAAAGCGCTTGAAATCTACACTTGCAAATTGCACAAATAGAGTGTTTCAAATCTGCTCTGTCTAAGGGAACGTTCAACTCTGTGAGTTGAATGCACACAACACAAGGAAGTTACTGGGAATTCTTCTGTCTAGCCTTACATGAAAAAAACCCGTTTCCAACGAAGGCCTCTAAGTGGTCAAAATATCCACGTGCAGACTTTACAAACAGAGTGTTTCCAAATTGCTGAATGAAAAGAAAAGTTAAACTCTGAGAGTTGAACGCACACATCACAGAGCAGTTTCAGAGAATGATTCTGTCTAGTTTTTATAGGAAGATATTTCCTTTTCTGCCTTTGGCCCCAAAGCGCTTGAAATCTCCACTTGCAAATTCCACAAAAACAGTGTTTCAAATCTGCTCTCTCTAAATGAAAGTTCAACTCTGTCAGTTGAATACACACAACACAAGGAAGTTACTGAGAATTCTTCTGTCTAGCAGAATATGAAGAAATCCCGTTTCCAACGAGAGTCTCAAAGATGTCTGAATATCCACTTGCAGACTTTACAAACAGAGTGTTTCTTAACTGCTCTATGAAAAGAAAGGTTAAACTCTGTGAGTTGAACGCACACATCACAAAGAAGTTTCTGAGAATCATTCTGTCTACTTTCTATAGGAAGATATTTCCTATTCTACCATTGACCTCAAAGCGGATGAAATCTCCACTTGCAAATTCCACAAAAATAGTGTTTCAAGTCTGCTCTGTGTAAAGGATCGTTCAACTCTGTGAGTTGAATACACACAACACAAGGAAGTTACTGAGAATTGTTCTGTCTAGCCTTATATTAAAAAAACCCGTTTCCAACGAAGGCCTCAAAGAGGTCTGAATATCCACTTGCAGACTTTACAAACAGAGTGTTTCCTAACTGCTCTATGAAAAGAAATGTTAAACTCTGTGAGTTGAACACACACATCACAAAGGAGTTTCTGAGAATCATTCTGTCTAGTTTCTATAGGAAGATATTTCCTATTCTACCATTGACCTCAAAGCGGCTGAAATCTCCAGTTGCAAATTCCACAAAAAGAATGTTTCAAGTCTGCTCTGTGTAAAGCATCGTTCAACTCTGTGAGTTGAATACACACAACACAAGGAAGTTACTGAGAATTATTCTGTCTAGCATAATATGAAGAAATCCCGTTTCCAACGAAGGTCTCAAAGAGGTCTGAATATCCACTTGCAGACTTTACAAACAGAGTGTTTCCTAACTGCTCTATGAAAAGAAAAGTTAAACTTTGTGAGTTGAACGCACACATCACAAAGGAGTTTATGAGAATCATTCTGTCTAGTTTTGAAACGAAGATATTTCCTTTTCTGCCACTGACCTTAAAGCGCTTGAAATCTACACTTGCAAATTGCACAAATAGAGTGTTTGAAATCTGCTCTGTCTAAGGGAACGTTCAACTCTGTGAGTTGAATGCACACAACACAAGGAAGTTACTGGGAATTCTTTTCTCTAGCCTTACATGAAAAAAACCCGTTTCCAACGAAGGCCTCTAAGTGGTCAAAATATCCACGTGCAGACTTTACAAACAGAGTGTTTCCACACCGCTGAATGAAAAGAAAAGTTAAACTCTGAGAGTTGAACGCACACATCACGCAGCAGTTTCTGAGAATGATTCTGTCTAGTTTTTATACGAAGATATTTCCTTTTCTACCATTGACCTCAAAGCGGTTGAAATCTCCACTTGCAAATTCCACAAAAAGAGTGTTTCAAGTCTACTCTGTGTAAAGGATCGTTCAACTCTGTGAGTTGAATACACACAACACAAGGAAGTTACTGAGAATTCTTCTGTCTAGCATAATATGAAGAAATCCCGTTTCCAACGAAGGCCTCAAAGAGGTCTGAATATCCACTTGCAGACTTTACAAACAGAGTGTTTCCTAACTGCTCTATGAAAAGAAAGGTTAAACTCTGTGAGTTGAATGCACACATCACAAAGGAGTTTCTGAGAATCATTCTGTCTAGTTTCTATAGGAAGATATTTCCTATTCTACCATTGACCTCAAAGCGGCTGAAATCTCCACTTGCAAATTCCACCAAAAGAGTGTTTCAAGTCTGCTCTGTGTAAAGGATCGTTCAACTCTGTGAGTTGAATACACACAACACAAGGCAGTTACTGAGAATTCTTCGGTCTAGCATAATATGAAGAAATCCCGTTTCCAACGAAGGCCTCAAAGAGGTCTGAATATCCACTTGCAGACTTTACAAACAGAGTGTTTCCTAACTGCTCTATGAAAAGAAAAGTTAAACTCTGTGAGTTGAACGCACACATCACAAAGGATTTTCTGAGAATCATTCTGTCTAGTCTTTATACGAAGATAGTTTCCTTTTCTACCATTGACCTCAAAGCTGCTGAAATCTCCTCTTGCAAATTCCACAAAAAGAGTGTTTCAAGTCTGCTCTGTGTAAAGGATCGTTCAACTCTGTGAGTTGAATACACACAACACAAGGAAGTTACTGAGAATTCTTCTGTCTATCAGAATATGAAGAAATCCCGTTTCCAAAGAAGGCCTCAAGGAGGTCTGAATATCCACTTGCAGACTTTACAAACAGAGTGTTTCCTAACTGCTCTATGAACAGAAAGGTTAAACTCTGTGAGTTGAACGCACACATCACAAAGGAGTTTATGAGAATCATTCTGTCTAGTTTTTATAGGAAGATATTTCCTTTTCTACATTTGACTTCAAAGCGGCTGAAATCTCCAATTGCAAATTCCACAAAAAGAGTGTTACAAGTCTGCTCTGTGTAAAGGATCGTTCAACTGTGTGAGTTGAATACACACAACACAAGGAAGTTACTGAGAATTCTTCTGTCTAGCCTTACGTGAAAAAAACCCGTTTCCAACGAAGGCCTCTAAGTGGTCAATTTATCCACGTGCAGACTTTACAAACAGAGTGTTTCCAAACTGCTGAATGAAAAGAAAAGTTAAACTCTGAGAGTTGAACGCACACATCGCAGAGCAGTTTCTGAGAATGATTCTGTCTAGTTTTTATACGAAGATATTTCCTTTTCTACCATTGACCTCAATGCGGCTGAAATCTCCCCTTGCAAATTCCACAAAAAGTGTGTTTCAAGTCCGCTCTGTGTAAAGGATCGTTCAACTCTGTGAGTTGAATACACACAACACAAGGAAGTTACTGAGAATTCTTCTGTCTAGCACAGTATGAAGAAATCCCGTTTCCAACGAAGGCCTCAAAGAGGTCTGAATATCCACTTGCAGACTTTACAAACAGAGTGTTTCCTAACTGCTCTATGAAAAGAAAGGTTAAACTCTGTGAGTTGAACGCACACATCACAAAGAAGTTTCTGAGAATCATTCTGTCTAGTTTCTATAGGAAGATATTTCCTATTCTACCATTGGCCTCAAAGCGGCTGAAATCTCCACTTGCAAATTCCACAAAAGGAGTGTTTCAAGTCTGCTCTGTGTAAAGGATCGTTCAACTCTGTGAGTTGAAAACACACAACACAAGGAAGTTTCTGAGAATTCTTCTGTCTAGCAGAATATGAAGAAATCCCGCTTCCAACGAAGGCCTCAAAGAAGTCTGAATATCCACTTGCAGACTTTACAAACAGAGTGTTTCCCAACTGCTCTATGAAAAGAAAGGTTGAACTCTGTGAGTAGAACGCACACATCACAAAGGAGTTTCTGAGAATCATTCTGTCTAGTTTTGAAATGAAGATATTTCCTTTTCTGCCATTGACCTTAAAGCGCTTGAAATCTACACTTGCAAATTGCACAAATAGAGTGCTTCAAATCTGCTCTGTCTAAGGGAACGTTCAACTCTGTGAGTTGAATGCACACAACACAAGGAAGTTACTGGGAATTCTTCTGTCTAGCCTTACATGCAAAAAACCCGTTTCCAACGAAGGCCTCTAAGTGGTCAAAATATCCACGTGCAGACTTTACAAACAGAGGGTTTCCAAACCGCTGAATGAAATGAAAAGTTAAACTCTGAGAGTTGAACGCACACATCACGCAGCAGTTTCTGAGAATGATTCTGTCTAGTTTTTATACGAAGATATTTCCTTTTCTGCCTTTGGCCTCAAAGCGCTTGAAATCTCCACTTGCAAATTCCACAAAAAGAGTGTTTCAAATCTGCTCTGTCTAAGGGAACGTTCAACTCTGTGAGTTGAACACACACAACACAAGGAAGTCACTGGGAATTCTTCTTTCTAGCAGAATATGAAGAAATCCCGTTTCCAACGAAAGCCTCAAGGATGTCTGAATATCCACTTGCAGACTTTACAAACAGAGTGTTTCCTAACTGCTCTATGAAAAGAAAGGGTAAACTCTGTGAGTTGAACGCACACATCACAAAGGAGTTTCTGAGAATCATTCTGTCTAGTTTCTATAGGAAGATATTTCCTATTCTACCATTGACCTCAAAGCGGCTGAAATCTCCACTTGCAAATTCCACAAAAAGAGTGTTTTAAGTCTGCTCTCTGTAAAGGATCGTTCAACTCTGTGAGTTGAATACACACAAAACAAGGAAGTTACTGAGAATTATTCTGTCTAGCATAGTATGAAGAAATCCCGTTTCCAACGAAGGCCTCAAAGAGGTCTGAATATCCACTTGCAGAGTTTACAAACAGAGTGTTTCCTAACTGCTCTATGAAAAGAAAGGTTAAACTCTGTGAGTTGAACGAACACATCACAACGCAGTTTGTGGGAATGATTCTGTCTAGTTTTGAAACCAAGATATTTCCTTTTCTGCCATTGACCTTAAAGCGCTTGAAATCTACACTTGCAAATTGCACAAATAGAGTGTTTCAAATCTGCTCTGTCTAAGGGAACGTTCAACTCTGTGAGTTGAATGCACACAACACAAGGAAGTTACTGGGAATTCTTCTGTCTAGCCTTATATGAAAAAAACCCGTTTCCAACGAAGGCCTCTAAGTGGTCAAGTTATCCACGTGCAGACTTTACAAACAGAGTGTTTCCAAACTGCTGAATGAAAAGAAAAGTTAAACTCTGAGAGTTGAACGCACACATCGCAGAGCAGTTTCTGAGAATGATTCTGTCTAGTTTTTATACGAAGATATTTCCTTTTCTGCCTTTGGCCTCAAAGCACTTGAAATCTCCACTTGGAAATTCCACAAAAAGAGTGTTTCAAATCTGCTCTGTGTAAATGAGAGTTCAACTCTGTGAGTTGAACACACACAACACAAGGAAGTTACTGGGAATTCTTCTGTCTAGCCTTATATGAAAAAAACCCGTTTCCATCGAAGGCCTCAAAGAGGTCTGAATATCCACTTGCAGACTTAACAAACAGAGTGTTTCCTAACTGCTCAATGAAAAGAAAGGTTAAACTCTGTGAGTTGAACACATACATCACAAAGGAGTTTCTGAGAATCATTCTGTCTAGTTTCTATAGGAAGATATTTCCTATTCTACCATTGACCTCAAAGCGGCTGAAATCTCCACTTGCAATTTCCACAAAAAGAGTGTTTCAAGTCTGCTCTGTGTAAAGGATCGTTCAACTCTGTGAGTTGAATACACACAACACAAGGAAGTTACTGATAATTCTTCTGTCCAGCATAATATGAAGAAATCCCGTTTCCAACGAAGGCCTCAAAGGGGTCTGAATATTCACTTGCAGACTTTATAAACAGAGTGTTTACTAACTGCTCTATGAAAGCAAAGGTTAAACTCTGTGAGTTGAACACACACATCACAAAGGAGTTTCTCAGAATCATTCTGTCTAGTTTCTATAGGAAGATATTTCCTATTCTACCATTGAACAAAAAGCGGCTGAAATCTCCACCTGCAAATTCCACAAAAAGAGTGTTTCAAGTCTGCTCTGTGTAAAGGATCGTTCAACTCTGTGAGTTGAATTCACACAACACAAGGAAGTTACTGAGAATTCTTCTGTCTAGCAGAATATGAAGAAATCCCGTTTCCAACGAAGGCCACAAGATGTCAGAATATCCACTTACAGACTTTACAACAGAGTGTTTCCTAACTGCTCTATGAACAGAAAGGTTAAACTCTGTGAGTTGAACGAACACATCACAACGCAGTTTGTGGGAATGATTCTGTCTAGTTTTGAAACGAAGATATTTCCTTTTCTGCCATTGACCTTAAAGCGCTTGAAATCTATACTTGCAAATTGCACAAATAGAGTGTTTCAAATCTGCTCTGTCTAAGGGAACGTTCAACTCTGTGAGTTGAATGCACACAACACAAGGAAGTTACTGGGAATTCTTCTGTCTAGCCTTACATGAAAAAACCCGTTTCCAACGAAGGCCTCTAAGTGGTCAAAATATCCACGTGCAGACTTTACAAACAGAGTGTTTCCAAACCGCTGAATGAAAAGAAAAGTTGAACTCTGAGAGTTGAACGCACACATCACGCAGCAGTTTCTGAGAATGATTCTGTCTAGTTTTTATACGAAGATATTTCCTTTTCTGCCTTTGGCCCCAAAGCGCTTGAAATCTCCACTTGCAAATTCCACAAAAACAGTGTTTCAAATCTGCTCTCTCTAAATGAAAGTTCAACTCTGTCAGTTGAATACACACAACACAAGGAAGTTACTGAGAATTTTTCTGTCTAGCATAATATGAAGAAATCCCGTTTCCAACGAAGGCCTCAAAGGGGTCTGAATATCCACTTGCAGACTTTACAAACAGAGTGTTTCCTAATTGCTCTATGAACAGAAAGGTTAAACTCTGTGAGTTGAACGCACACATCACTAAGGAGTTTATGAAAATCATTCTGTCTAGTTTCTATAGGAAGATATTTCCTATTCTACCATTGACCTCAAAGAGGCTGAAATCGCCACTTGCAAATTCCACAAAAAGAGTGTTTCAAGTCTGCTCTGTGTAAAGGATCGTTCAACCCTGTGAGTTGAATACACACAACACAAGGTAAGTTACTGAGAATTCTTCTGTCTAGCAGAATATGAAGAAATCCCGTTTCCAACGAAGGCCTCAAGGAGGTCTGAATATCCACTTGCAGACTTTACAAACAGAGTGTTTCCTAACTGCTCTATGAAAAGAAAGGTTAAACTCTGTGAGTTGAACGCACACATCACAAAAGATTTTCTGAGAATCATTCTGTCTAGTTTTGAAACGAAGACATTTCCTTTTCTGCCTTTGGCCTCAAAGCGCTTGAAATCTCCATTTGCAAATTCCACAAAAAGAGTGTTTCAAATCTGCTCTGTGTAAATGAAAGTTCAACTCTGTGAGTTGAACGCACACAACACAAGGAAGTTACTGGGAATTCTTCTGTCTAGCCTTACATGAAAAAAACCCGTTTCCAACGAAGGCCTCTAAGTAGTCAAATTATCCACGTGCAGACTTTACAAACAGAGTGTTTCCAAACTGCTGAATGAAAAGAAAAGTTGAACTCTGAGAGTTGAACGCACACATCGCAGAGCAGTTTCTGAGAATGATTCTGTCTAGTTTTTATACGAAGATATTTCCTTTTCTGCCTTTGGCCTCAAAGCGCTTGAAATCTCCATTTGTAAATTCCACAAAAAGAGAGTTTCAAATCTGCTCTGTGTAAATGAAAGTTCAACTCTGTGAGTTGAACACACACAACACAAGGAAGTTACTGGGAATTCTTCTGTCTAGCATAATATGAAGAAAACCCGTTTCCAACGAAGGCCTCAAGGAGGTCTGAATATCCACTTGCAGACTTTACAAACAGAGTGTTTCCTAACTGCTCTATGAAAAGAAAGGTTAAACTCTGTGAGTTGAACGCACACATCACAAAGGAGTTTCTCAGAATCATTCTGTCTAGTTTTTATAGGAAGATATTTCCTTTTCTACCATTGACCTCAAAGCGGCTGAAATCTCCACTTGCAAATTCCACAAAAAGAGTGTTTCAAGTCTGCTCTGTGTAAAGGATCGGTTCAACTCTGTGAGTTGAATACACACAACACAAGGAAGTTACTGAGAATTCTTCTGTCTAGCATAGTATGAAGAAATCCCGTTTCCAACGAAGGCCTCAAAGAGGTCTGAACATCCATTTGCAGAGTTTACAAACAGAGTGTTTCCTAACTGCTCTATGAAAAGAAAGGTTAAACTCTGTGAGTTGAACGCACACATCACAAAGAAGTTTCTGAGAATCATTCTGTCTATTTTTTATAGGAAGATATTTCCTTTTCTACCTTTGACTTCAAAGCGGCTGAAATCTCCACTTGCAAATTCCACAAAAAGAGTGTTACAAGTCTGCTCTGTGTAAAGGATCGTTCAACTCTGTGAGTTGAATACACACAACAGAAGGAAGTTACTGAGAATTCTTCTGTCTAGCCTTACATGAAAAAAACCCGTTTCCAACGAAGGCCTCTAAGTGATCAAATTATCCACGTGCAGACTTTACAAACAGAGTGTTTCCAAACTGCTGAATGAAAAGAAAAGTTAAACTCTGAGAGATGAACGCACACATCACAGAGCAGTTTCTGAGAATGATTCTGTCTAGTTTTTATACGAAGATATTTCCTTTTCTGCCTTTGGCCTCAAAGCGCTTGAAATCTCCACTTGCAAATTCCACAAAAAGAGTGTTTCATATCTGCTCTGGGTAAATGAAAGTTCAACTCTGTGAGTTGAACACACACAACACAAGGAAGTTACTGGGAATTCTTCTGTCTAGCATAATATGCAGAAATCCCGTTTCCTACGAAGGCCTCAAAGAGGTCTGAATATCCACTTGCTGACTTTACAAACAGAGTGTTTCCTAACTGCTCTATGAAAAGAAAGGTTAAACTCTGTGAGTTGAGCGCACACATCACAAAGAAGTTTCTGAGAATCATTCTGTCTAGTTTCTATAGGAAGATATTTCCTATTCTACCATTGACCTCAAAGCGTCAGAAATCTCCACTTGCAAATTCCACAAAAAGAGTGTTTCAAGACTGCTCTGTGTAAAGGATCGTTCAACTCTGTGAGTTGAATACACACAACACAAGGAAGTTACTGAGAATTCTTCTGTCTAGCAGAACATGAAGAAATCCTGCTTCCAACGAAGGCCTCAAAGAAGTCTGAATATCCACTTGCAGACTTTACAAACAGAGTGTTTCCCAACTGCTCTATGAAAAGAAAGGTTGAACTCTGTGAGTTGAACGCACACATCACAAAGGAGTTTCTGAGAATCATTCTGTCTAATTTTTATATGAAGATATTTCCTTTTCAACCATTGACCTCAAAGTGGCTGAAATCTCCATTTGCAAATTCCACAAAAAGAGTGTTTCAAGTCTGCTCTGTGTAAAGGTTCGTTCAACTCTGTGAGTTGAATACACACAACACGAGGAAGTTACTGAGAATTCTTCTGTCTAGCAGAATATGAAGAAATCCCGCTTCCAACGAAGGCCTCAAAGAAGTCTGAATATCCACTTGCAGACTTTACAAACAGAGTGTATCCCAACTGCTCTATGAAAAGAAAGGTTGAACTCTGTGAGTTGAACGCACACATCACAAAGGAGTTTCTGAGAATCATTCTGTCTAGTTTTGAAACGAAGATATTTCCTTTTCTGCCATTGACCTTAAAGCGCTTGAAATCTCCATTTGCCAATTGCAGAAAAAGAGTGTTTCAAATCTGCTCTGTCTAAGGGAACGTTCAACTCTGTGAGTTGAATGTACACAACACAAGGAAGTTACTGGGAATTCTTCTGTCTAGCCTTACATGAAAAAAACCCGTTTCCAACGAAGGCCTCTAAGTGGTCAAGTTATCCACGTGCAGACTTTACAAACAGAGTGTTTCCAAACTGCTGAATGAAAAGAAAAGTTAAACTCTGAGAGTTGAACGCACACATCGCAGAGCAGTTTCTGAGAATGATTCTGTCTAGTGTTTATACGAAGATATTTCCTTTTCTGCCTTTGGCCCCAAAGCGCTTGAAATCTCCACTTGCAAATTCCACAAAAACAGTGTTTCAAATCTGCTCTCTCCAAATGAAAGTTCAACTCTGTCAGTTGAATACACACAACACAAGGAAGTTACTGAGAATTCTTCTGTCTAGGAGAATATGAAGAAATCCCGTTTCCAACGAAGGCCTCAAAGGGGTCTGAATATCCACTTGCAGACTTTATAAACAGAGTGTTTACTAACTGCTCTATGAAAAGAAAGGTTAAACTCTGTGAGTTGAACACACACATCACAAAGGAGTTTCTGAGAATCATTCTGTCTAGTTTTTATACGAAGATATTTCCTTTTCTACCATTGACCTCAACGCGGCTGAAATCTCCACTTGCAAATTCCACAAAACGAGTGTTTCAAGTCCGCTCTGTGTAAAGGATCGTTCAACTGTGTGAGTTGAATACACACAACACAAGGAAGTTACTGAGAATTCTTCTGTCTAGCAGAATATGAAGAAATCCCGTTTCCAACGGAGGCCACAAGATGTCAGAATATCCACTTACAGAATTTACCAACAGAGTGTTTCCTAACTGCTCTATGAAAAGAAAGGTTAAACTCTGTGAGTTGAACGAACACATCACAACGCAGTTTGTGGGAATGATTCTGTCTAGTTTTGAAACGAAGATATTTCCTTTTTCTGCCGTTGACCTTAAAGCGCTTGAAATCTACACTTGCAAATTGCACAAATAGAGTGTTTCAAATCTGCTCTGTCTAAGGGAACGTTCAACTCTGTGAGTTGAATGCACACAACACAAGGAAGTTACTGGGAATTCTTCTGTCTAGCCTTACATGAAAAAAACCCGTTTCCAACGAAGGCCTCTAAGTGGTCAAATTATCCACGTGCAGACTTTACAAACAGAGTGTTTCCAAACTGCTGAATGAAAAGAAAAGTTAAACTCTGAGAGTTCAACGCACACATCGCAGAGCAGTTTCTGAGAATGATTCTGTCTAGTTTTTATACGAAGATATTTCCTTTTCTGCCTTTGGCCTCAAAGCGCTTGATATCTCCACTTGCAAATTCCACAAAAAGAGTGTTTCAAATCTGCTCTGTGTAAATGAAAGTTCAACTCTGTGAGTTGAACACACACAACACAAGGAAGTTACTGGGAATTCTTCTGTCTAGCCTTATATGAAAAAAACCCGTTTCCAACGAAGGCCTCAAAGAGGGCTAAATATCCACTTGCATACTTTAGAAGCAGAGTGTTTCCTAACTGCTCTATGAAAAGAAAGGTTAAACTCTGTGAGTTGAACGCACACATCACAAAGGAGTTTCTGAGAATCATTCTGTCTAGTTTTTATAGGAAGATATTTCCTATTCTACCATTGACCTCAAAGCGGCTGAAATCTCCACTTGCAAATTCCACAACAAGAGTGTTTCAAGTCTGCTCTGTGTAAAGGATCGTTCAACTCTGTGAGTTGAATACACACAACACAAGGAAGTTATTGAGAATTCTTCTGTCTAGCAGAATATGAAGAAATCCCGTTTCCAACGAAGGCCACAAGATGTCAGAATATCCACTTACAGACTTTAGAAACAGAGTGTTTCCTAACTGCTCTATGAACAGAAAGGTTAAACTCTGTGAGTTGAACGAACACATCACAACGCAGTTTGTGGGAATGATTCTGTCTAGTTTTGAAACGAAGATATTTCCTTTTCTGCCTTTGGCCTCAAAGCGCTTGAAATCTCCATTTGCAAATTCCACAAAAAGAGTGTTTCAAATCTGCTCTGTGTAAATGAAAGTTCAACTCTGTGAGTTGAACACACACAACACAAGGAAGTTACTGGGAATTCTTCTGTCTAGCCTTACATGAAAAAAACCCGTTTCCCAACGAAGGCCTCTAAGTGGTCAAAATATCCACGTGCAGACTTTACAAACAGAGTGTTTCCAAACCGCTGAATGAAAAGAAAAGTTAAACTCTGAGAGTTGAACGCACACATCACGCAGCAGTTTCTGAGAATGATTCTGTCTAGTTTTTATACGAAGATATTTCCTTTTCTGCTTTTGGCCTCAAAGCGCTTGAAATCTCCACTTGCAAATTCCACAAAAAGAGTGTTTCAAGTCTGCTCTGTGTAAAGGATAGTTCAACTCTGTGAGTTGAATACACACAACACAAGGAAGTTACTGAGAATTCTTCTGTCTAGCCTTATATGAAAAAACCCGTTTCCAACGAAGGCCTCAAAGAGGTCTGAATATCCACTTGCAGACTTTACAAACAGAGTGTTTCCTAACTGCTCTATGAAAAGAAAGGTTAAACTCTGTGAGTTGAACGCACACATCTCAAAGGAGTTTCTGAGAATCATTCTGTCTAGTTTTTATACGAAGATATTCCCTTTTCTACCATTGACCTCAAAGCGGCTGAAATCTCCACTTGCAAATTCCACAAAAAGAGTTTTTCTAATCTGCTCTGTGTAAAGGATCGTTCAACTCTGTGAGTTGAATACACACAACAAAAGGAAGTTTCTGAGAATTCTTCTGTCTAGCAGAATATGAAGAAATCCCGTTTCCAACGAAGGCCACAAGATGTCAGAATATCCACTTACGGAATTTACAAACAGACTGTTTCCTAACTGCTCTATGAAAAGAAAGGTTAAACTCTGTGAGATGAACGAACACATCACAACGCAGTTTGTGGGAATGATTCTGTCTAGTTTTAATACGAAGATATTTCCTTTTATACCATTGACCTCAAAGCGGCTGAAATCACCACTTGCCAATTGCACAAAAATAGTGTTTCAAATCTGCTCTGTCTAAGGGAACGTTCAACTCTGTGAGTTGAATGTACACAACACAAGGAAGTTACTAGGAATTCTTCTGTCTAGCCTTACATGAAAAAAACCCGTTTCCAACGAAGGCCTCTAAGTGGTCAAATTATCCACGTGCAGACTTTACAAACAGAGTGTTTCCAAACTGCTGAATGAAAAGAAAAGTTAAACTCTGAGAGTTGAACGCACACGTCGCAGAGCAGTTTCTGAGAATGATTCTGTCTAGTTTTTATACGAGGATATTTCCTTTTCTGCCTTTGGCCTCAAAGCGCTTGAAATCTCCATTTGCAAATTCCACAAAAAGAGTGTTTCAAATCTGCTCTGTGTAAATGAAAGTTCAACTCTGTGAGTTGAACACACACAACACAAGGAAGTTACTGGGAATTCTTTTGTCTAGCCTTATATGAAAAAAACCCGTTTCCAACGAAGGCCTCAAAGAGGTCTGAATATCCACTTGCAGACTTTACAAACAGAGTGTTTCCTAACTGCTCTATGAAAAGAAAGGTTAAACTCTGTGAGTTGAACACACACATCACAAAGGAGTTTCTGAGAATCATTCTGTCTAGTCTTTATACGATGATAGTTTCCTTTTCTACCATTGACCACAAAGCGGCTGAAATCTCCACTTGCAAATACCACAAAAAGAGTGTTTCAAGTCTGCTCTCTCTAAAGGATCGTTCAACTCTGTGAGTTGAATACACACAACACAAGGAAGTTACTGAGAATTATTCTGTCTAGCATAATATGAAGAAATCCCGTTTCCAACGAAGGCATCAAAGAGGTCTGAATATCCACTTGCAGACTTTACAAACAGAGTGTTTCCTAACTGATCTATGAAAAGAAAAGTTAAACTCTGTGAGTTGAACGCACAAATCACAAAGGAGTTTCTGAGAATCATTCTGTCTAGTTTTGAAACGAAGATATTTGCTTTTCTGCCGTTGACCTTAAAGAGCTTGAAAACTACACTTGCAAATTGCACAAATAGAGTGTTTCAAATCTGCTCTGTCTAAGGGAACGTTCAACTCTGTGAGTTGAATGCACACAACACAAGGAAGTTACTGGGAATTCTTCTGTCTAGCCTTACAGGAAAAAAACCCGTTTCCAACGAAGGCCTCTAAGTGGTCAAAATATCCACGTACAGACTTTACAAACAGAGTGTTTCCAAACTGCTGAATGAAAAGAAAAGTTAAACTCTGAGAGTTCAACGCACACATCGCAGAGCAGTTTCTGAGAATGATTCTGTCTAGTTTTTATACGAAGATATTTCCTTTTCTGCCTTTGGCCTCAAAGCGCTTGAAATCTCCACTTCCAAATTCCACAAAAAGAGTGTTTCAAATCTGCTCTGTGTAAATCAAAGTTCAACTCTGTGAGTAGAACACACACAACACAAGGAAGTTACTGGGAATTCTTCTGTCTAGCAGAATATGAAGAAATCCCGTTTCCAACGAAGGCCTCAAGGAGGTCTGAATATCCACTTGCAGACTTTACAAACAGAGTGTTTCCTAACTGCTCTATGAAAGGAAAGGTTAAACTCTGTGAGTTGAACGCACACATCACAAAGGAGTTTATGAGAATCATTCTGTCTAGTTTCTATAGGAAGATATTTCCTATTCTACCATTGACCTCAAAGCGGCTGAAATCTCCACTTGCAAATTCCACAAAAAGAGTGTTTCAAGTCTGCTCTGTGTAAAGGATCGTTGAAATCTGTGAGTTGAATACACACAACACAATGAAGTTACTGAGAATTCTTCTGTCTAGCATAATATGAAGAAATCCCGTTTCCAACGAAGGCCTCAAAGAGGACTGAATATCCACTTGCAGACTTAACAAACAGAGTGTTTCCTAACTGCTCTATGAAAAGAAAGGTTAAACTCTGTGAGTTGAACGCACACATCACAAAGGAGTTTCTGAGAATCATTCTGTCTAGTTTTTATAGGAAGATATTACCTTTTCTACCATTGACTTAAAAGCGGCTGAAAACTCCACTTGCAAATTCCACAAAAAGAGTGTTACAAGTCTGCTCTGTCTAACGGAACGTTCAACTCTGTGAGTTGAATGTACACAACACAAGGAAGTTACTGGGAATTCTTCTGTCCAGCCTTACATGAAAAAAACCCGTTTCCAACGAAGGCCTCTAAGTGGTCAAATTATCCACGTGCAGACTTTACAAACAGAGTGTTTCCAAACTGCTGAATGAAAAGCAAAGTTAAACTCTGAGAGTTGAACGCACACATCGCAGAGCAGTTTCTGAGAATGATTCTGTCTAGTTTTTATACGAAGATATTTCCTTTTCTGCCTTTGGCCCCAAAGCGCTTGAAATCTCCACTTGCAAATTCCACAAAAACAGTGTTTCAAATCTGCTCTCTCCAAATGAAAGTTCAACTCTTGTCAGTTGAATACACACAACACAAGGAAGTTACTGAGAATTCTTCTGTCTAGCAGAATATGAAGAAATCCCGTTTCCAACGAAGGCCTCAAAGAGGTCTGAATATCCACTTGCAGACTTTACAAATAGAGTGTTTCCTAACTGCTCTATGAACAGAAAGGTTAAACTCTGTGAGTTGAACGCACACATCACAAAGGAGTTTCTGAGAATCATTCTGTCTAGTTTCTATAGGAAGATATTTCCTATTCTACTATTGACCACAAAGCGGCTGAAATCTCCACTTGCAAATTCCACAAAAAGAGTGTTTCAAGTCTGCTCTGTGTATAGGATCGTTCAACTCTGTGAGTTGAATTCACAAAACACAAGGAAGTTACTGAGAATTCTTCTGTGTAGCATAATATGAAGAAATCCCGTTTCCAACGAAGGCCTCAAAGAGGTCTGAATATCCACTTGCAGACATTACAAACAGAGTGTCTCCTAACTGCTCTATGAAAAGAAAGGTTAAACTCTGTGAGTTGAACGAACACATCACAACGCAGTTTGTGGGAATGATTCTGTCTAGTTTTGAAACGAAGATATTTCCTTTTCTGCCATTGACCTTAAAGCGCTTGAAATCTCCACTTGCCAATTACACAAAAAGAGTGTTTCAAATCTGCTCTGTCTAAGGGAACGTTCAACTCTGTGAGTTGAATGTACACAACACAAGGAAGTTACTGGGAATTCTTCTGTCTATCCTTACATGAAAAAAACCCTTTTCCAACGAAGGCCTCTAAGTGGTCAAATTATCCACGTACAGACTTTACAAACAGAGTGTTTCCAAACTGCTGAATGAAAAGAAAAGTTAAACTCTTAGAGTTGAACGCACACATCGCAGAGCAGTTTCTGAGAATGATTCTGTCTAGTTTTTATACGAAGATATTTCCTTTTCTGCCTTTGGCCTCAAAGCGCTTGAAATCTCCACTTGCAAATTCCACAAAAAGAGTGTTTCAAATCTGCTCTGTGTACATGAAAGTTCAACTCTGTGAGTTGAACACACACAACACAAGGAAGTTACTGGGAATTCTTCTGTCTAGCATAATATGAAGAATTCCCGTTTCCAACGAAGGCCTCAAAGAGGTCTGAATATCCACTTGCAGACTTTACAAACAGAGTGTTTCCTAACTGCTCTATGAAAAGAAAGGTTAAACTCTGTGAGTTGAACGCACACATCACAAAGGAGTTTCTGAGAATCATTCTCTCTTGTTTCTACAGGAAGATATTTACTATTCTACCATTGACCTCAAAGCGGCTGAAATCTCCACTTGCAAATCCACAAAAAGAGTGTTTCAAGTCTGCTCTGTGTAAAGGATCGTTCAACTCTGTGAGTTGAATACACACAACACAAGGAAGTTACTGAGAATTCTTCTGTCTAGCAGAATATGAAGAAATCCCGTTTCCAACGAAGGCCACAAGATGTCAGAATATCCACTTACAGAATTGACAAACAGACTGTTTCCTAACTGCTCTATGAAAAGAAAGGTTAAACTCTGTGAGTTGAACTAACACATCACAACGCAGTTTGTGGGAATGATTCTGTCTAGTTTTGAAACGAAGATATTTCCTTTTCTGCCGTTGACCTTAAAGCGCTTGAAATCTACACTTGCAAATTGCACAAATAGAGTGTTTCAAATCTGCTCTGTCTAAGGGAACGTTGAACTCTGTGAGTTGAATGCACACAACACAAGGAAGTTACTGGGAATTCTTCTGTCTAGCCTTACATGAAAAAAACCCGTTTCCAACGAAGGCCTCTAAGTGGTCAAATTATCCACGTGCAGACTTTACAAACAGAGTGTTTCCAAACTGCTGAATGAAAAGAAAAGTTAAACTGTGAGAGTTGAACGCACACATCGCAGAGCAGTTTCTGAGAATGATTCTGTCTAGTTTTTATACGAAGATATTTCCTTTTCTGCCTTTGGCCTCAAAGCGCATGAAATCTCCACTTGCAAATTCCACAAAAAGAGTGTTTCAAATCTGCTCTGTGTAAATGAAAGTTCAACTCTGTGAGTTGAACACACACAACACAAGGAAGTTACTGGGAATTCTTCTGTCTAGCAGAATATGAAGAAATCCCGTTTCCAACGAAGGCCTCAAAGAGGTCTGAATATCCACTTGCAGACTTTACAAACAGAGTGTTTCCTAACTGCTCTATGAAAGGAAATGTTAAATTCTGTGAGTTGAACGCACACATCACAAAGGAGTTTCTGAGAATCATTCTGTCTAGTTTCTATAGGAAGATATTTCCTATTCTACCATTGACCCCATAGCGGCTGAAATCTCCACTTGCAAATTCCACAAAAAGAGTGTTTCAAGTCTGCTATGTGTAAAGGATCGTTCAACTCTGTGAGTTGAATACACACAACACAAGGAAGTTACTGAGAATTCTTCTGTCTAGCCTTATATGAAAAAAACCCGTTTCCAACGAAGGCCTCAAAGAGGGCTGAATATCCACTTGCAGACTTTACAAGCAGAGTGTTTCCTAACTGCTCTATGAAAAGAAAGGTTAAACTCTGTGAGTTGAACGCACAGATCACAAAGGAGTTTCTGAGAATCATTCTGTCTAGTTTTTCTATGAAGATATTTCCTTTTCTACTATAGACCTCAAAGCGGCTGAAATCTCCACTTGCAAATTCCACAAAAAGAGTGTTTCAAGTCTGCTCTGTGTAAAGGATCGTTCAACTCCGTGAGTTGAATACACACAACACAAGGAAGTTACTGAGAATTCTTCTGTCTAGCAGAATATGAAGAAATCCCGTTTCCAACGAAGGCCACAAGATGTCAGAATATCCACTTACAGAATTTACAAACAGACTGTTTCCTAACTGCTCTATGAAAAGAAAGGTTAAACTCTGTGAGTTGAACGAACACATCACAATGCAGTTTGTGGGAATGATTCTGTCTAGTTTTGAAACGAAGATATTTCCTTTTCTGCCATTGACCTCAAAGCGCTTGAAATCTCCACTTGCCAATTGCACAAAAAGAGTGTTTCAAATCTGCTCTGTCTAAGGGAACGTTCAACTCTGTGAGTTGAATGTACACAACACAAGGAAGTTACTGGGAATTCTTCTGTCTAGCCTTACATGAAAAAAAACCCGTTTCCAACGAAGGCCTCTAAGTGGTCAAAATATCCACGTGCAGACTTTACAAACAGAGTGTTTCCAAACCGCTGAATGAAAAGAAAAGTTAAACTCTGAGAGTTGAACGCACACATCACGCAGCAGTTTCTGAGAATGATTCTGTCTAGTTTTTATACGAAGATATTTCCTTTTCTGCCCTTGGCCCCAAAGCGCTTGAAATCTCCACTTGCATATTCCACAAAAACAGTGTTTCAAATCTGCTCTCTCTAAATGAAATTTCAACTCTGTCAGTTGAATACACACAACACAAGGAAGTTACCGAGAATTCTTCTGTCTCGCACAGTATGGAGAAATCCCGTTTCCAACGAAGGCCTCAAAGAGGTCTGAATATCCACTTGCAGAGTTTACAAACAGAGTGTTTCCTAACTGCTCTATGAAAAGAAAGGTTAAACTCTGTGAGTTGAACGCACACATCACAAAGAAGTTTCTTAGAATCATTCTGCCTAGTTTTTATACGAAGATATTTCCTTTTCTACCATTGACTCTCAAAGCGGCTGAAATCTCCACTTGCAAATTACACAAAAAGAGTGTTTCAAGTCTACTCTGTGTAAAGCATCGTTCAACTCTGTGAGTTGAAAACACACAACACAAGGAAGTTTCTGAGAATTCTTCTGTCTAGCAGAACATGAAGAAATCCCGTTTCCAAAGAAGGCCTCAAAGATGTCTGAATATCCACTTGCAGACTTTACAAACAGAGTGTTTCCTAACTGCTCTATGAAAAGAAAGGTTAAACTCTGTGAGTTGAACGCACACATCACAAAGGAGTTTCTGAGAATCATTCTGTCTAGTTTTGAAACGAAGATATTTCCTTTTCTGCCATCGACCTTAAAGCCCTTGAAATCTACACTTGCAAATTGCACAAATAGAGTGTTTCAAATCTGCTCTGTCTAAGGGAACGTTCATCTCTGTGAGTTGAATGCACACAACACAAGGAAGTTACTGGGAATTCTTCTGTCTATCCTTACATGAAAAAAACCCGTTTCCAAAGAAGGCCTCTAAGTGGTCAAAATATCCACGTGCAGACTTTACAAACAGAGTGTTTCCAAACTGCTGAATGAAAAGAAAAGTTAAACTCTGAGAGTTGAACGCACACATCACAGAGCAGTTTCTGAGAGTGATTCTGTCTAGTTTTTATACGAAGATATTTCCTTTTCTGCCTCTGGCCTCAAAGCGCTTGAAATCTCCATTTGCAAATTCCACAAAAAGAGTGTTTCAAATCTGCTCTGTGTAAATGAAAGTTCAACTCTGTGAGTTGAACACACACAACACATGGAAGTTACTGGGAATTCTTCTGTCTAGCAGAATATGAAGAAATCCCGTTTCCAACGAAGGCCTCAAAGAGGTCTGAATATCCACTTGCAGACTTTACAAACAGAGTGTTTCCTAACTGCTCTATGAAAAGAAAGGTTAAACTCTGTGAGTTGAACGCACACATCCCAAAGGAGTTTATGAGAATCATTCTGTCTAGTTGTTATACGAAGATATTTCCTTTTCTACCATTGACCTCAAAGCGGCTGAAATCTCCACTTGCAAATTCCACAAAAAGAGTGTTTCAAATCTGCTCTGTGTAAACCATCGTTCAACTGTGTGAGTTGAATACACACAACACAAGGAAGATTCTGAGAATTCTTCTGTCTAGCAGAATATGAAGAAATCCCGTTTCCAACGAAGGCCTCAAGGAGGTCTGAATATCCACTGGCAGACTTTACAAACAGAGTGTTTCCTAACTGCTCTATGAACAGAAAGGTTAAACTCTGTGAGTTGAACGAACACATCACAACGCAGTTTGTGGGAATGATTCTGTCTAGTTTTTATACGAAGATATTTCCTTTTCTACCATTGACCTCAAAGCGGCTGAAATCACCACTTGCCAATTGCACAAAAAGAGTGTTTCAAATCTGCTCTGTCTAAGGGAACGTTCAACTGCTGTGAGTTGAATGTACACAACACAAGGAAGTTCCTGGGAATTGCTTCTGTCTAGCCTTACATGAAAAAAACCCGTTTCCAACGAAGGCCTCTAAGTGGTCAAAATTTCCACGTGCAGACTTTACAAACAGAGTGTTTCCAAACCGCTGAATGAAAAGAAAAGTTAAACTCTGAGAGGTGAACGCACACATCACGCAGCAGTTTCTGAGAATGATTCTGTCTAGTTTTTATACGAAGATATTTCCTTTTCTGCCTTTGGCCCCAAAGCGCTTGAAATCTCCACTTGCAAATTCCACAAAAACAGTGTTTCAAATCTGGTCTCTCTAAATGAAAGTTCAACTCTGTCAGTTGAATACACACAACACAAGAAAGTTACTGAGAATTCTTCTGTCCAGCATAATATGGAGAAATCCCGTTTCCAACGAAGGCCTCAAGGAGGTCTGAATATCCACTTGCAGACTTTACAAACAGAGTGTTTCCTAACTGCTCTATGAAAAGAAAGGTTAAACTCTGTGAGTTAAACGCAGACATCACAAAGGAGTTTCTGAGAATCACTCTGTCTAGTTTTTCTACGAAGACATTTCCTTTTCTACTATTGACCTCAAAGCGGCTGAAATCTCCACTTGCAAATTCCACAGAAAGAGTGTTTCAAGTCTGCTCTGTGTAAAGGATCGTTCAACTCTGTGAGTTGAATACACACAACACAAGGAAGTTACTGAGAATTCTTCTGTCTAGCAGAATATGAAGAAATCCCGTTTCCAACGAAGGCCACAAGATGTCAGAATATCCACTTACAGACTTTACAAACAGTGTGTTTCCTAACTGCTCTATGAACGGAAACGTTAAACTCTGTGAGTTGAACGAACACATCACAACGCAGTTTGTGGGAATGATTCTGTCTAGTTTTGAAACGAATATATTTCCTTTTCTGCCATTGACCTTAAAGCGCTTGAAATCTCCATTTGCCAATTGCACAAAAAGAGTGTTTCAAATCTGCTCTGTCTAAGGGAACGTTCAACTCTGTGAGTTGAATGTACACAACACAAGGAAGTTACTGGGAATTCTTCTGTCTAGCCTTACATGAAAAAAACCCGTTTCCAACGAAGGCCTCTAAGTGGTCAAATTATCCACGTGCAGACTTTACAAACAGAGTGTTTCCAAACTGCTGAATGAAAAGCAAAGTTAAACTCTGAGAGTTGAACGCACACATCGCAGAGCACTTTCTGAGAATGATTCTGTCTAGTTTTTATACGAAGATATTTCCTTTTCTGCCTTTGGCCCCAAAGCGCATGAAATCTCCACTTGCAAATTCCACAAAAACAGTGTTTCAAATCTGCTCTCTCTAAATGAAAGTTCAACTCTGTCAGTTGAATACACACAACACAAGGAAGTTACTGAGAATTCTTCTGTCTAGCATAATATGAGGAAATCCCGTTTCCAACGAAGGCCTCAAAGAGGTCTGAATATCCACTTGCAGACTTTACAAACAGAGTGTTTCCTAACTGCTCTATGAAAAGAAAAGTTAAACTCTGTGAGTTGAACGCACACATCACAAAGGAGTTTCTGAGAATCATTCTGTCTAGTTTCTATAGGAAAATATTTCCTATTCTACCATTGACCTCAAAGCGGCTGAAATCTCCACTTGCAAATTCCACAGAAAGAATGTTTCAAGTCTGCTCTGTGTAAAGGATCGTTCAACTCTGTGAGTTGAATACACACAACACAAGGAAGTTACTGAGAATTATTCTGTCTAGCAGAATATGAAGAAATCCCGCTTCCAACGAAGGTCTCAAAGAAGTCTGAATATCCACTTGCAGACTTTACAAACAGAGTGTTTCCCAACTGCTCTATGAAAAGAAAGGTTGAACTCTGTGAGTTGAACGCACACATCACAAAGGAGTTTCTGAGAATCATTCTGTCTAGTTTCTATAGGAAGATATTTCCTATTCTACCCTTGAACTCAAAGCGGCTGAAATCTCCAATTGCAAATTCCACAAAAAGAGTGTTTCAAGTCTGCTCTGTGTAAAGGATCGTTCAACTCTGTGAGTTGAATACACACAACACAAAGAAGTTACTGAGAATTCCTCTGTCTAGCAGAATATGAAGAAATCCCGTTTCTATCGAAGGCCTCAAAGAGGTCTGAATATCCACTTGCAGACTTTACAAACAGAGTGTTTCCTAACTGCTCTATGAAAAGAAAAGTTAAACTCTGTGAGTTGAACGCACACATCACAAAGGAGTTTCTGAGAATCATTCTGTCTAGTCTTTATACGAAGATATTTCCTTTTCTACCATTGACCTCAAAACGGCTGAAATCTCCACTTGCAAATTCCACAAAAAGAGTGTTTCAAGTCTGCCCTCTGTAAAGGATCGTTCAACTCTGTGAGTTGAATACACACAACACAAGGAAGTTACTGAGAATTCTTGTGTCTAGCAGAATATGAAGAAATCCCGTTTCCAACAAAGGCCACAAGATGTCAGAATATCCACTTACAGAATTTACAAACAGAGTGTTTCCTAACTGCTCTATGAAAAGAAAGGTTAATCTCTGTGAGTTGAACGAACACATCACAACGCAGTTTGTGGGAATGATTCTGTCTAGTTTTGAAACGAAGATATTTCCTTTTCTGCCGTTGACCTCAAAGAGCTTGAAAACTACACTTGGAAATTGCACAAATAGAGTGTTTCAAATCTGCTCTGTCTAAGGGAACGTTCAACTCTGTGAGTTGAATGCACACAACACAAGGAAGTTACTGGGAATTCTTCTGTCTAGCCTTACATGAAAAAAACCCGTTTCCAACGAAGGCCTCTAAGTGGTCAAATTATCCACGTGCAGACTTTACAAACAGAGTGTTTCCAAACTGCTGAATGAAAAGAAAAGTTAAACTCTGAGAGTTGAACGCACACATCACAGAGCAGTTTCTGAGAATGATTCTGTCTAGTTTTATACGAAGATATTTCCTTTTCTGCCTTTGGCCCCAAAGCGCTTGAAATCTCCACTTGCAAATTCCACAAAAACAGTGTTTCAAATCTGCTCTCTCTACATGAAAGTTCAACTCTGTCAGTTGAATACACACAACACAAGGAAGTTACTGAGAATTCTTCTGTCTAGCATAATATGAAGAAATCCCGTTTCCAACGAAGGCCTCAAAGGGGTCTGAATATCCACTTGCAGACTTTATAAACAGAGTGTTTCCTAACTGCTCTATGAAAAGAAAGGTTAAACTCTGTGAGTTGAACGCTCACAACACAAAGGAGTTTCTGAGAATCATTCTGTCTAGTTTCTATAGGAAGATATTTCCTATTCTATCATTGACCTCAAAGCGGCTGAAATCTCCACTTGCAAATTCCACAAAAAGAGTGTTTCAAGTCTGCTCTCTGTAAAGGATCGTTCAACTCTGTGAGTTGAATACACGCAACACAAGGAAGTTACTGAGAATTATTCTGTCTAGCAGAATATGAAGAAATCCCGTTTCCAACAAATGCCACAAGATGTCAGAATATCCACTTACAGACTTTACAAACAGAGTGTTTCCTAACTGCTCTATGAATAGAAAGGTTAAACTCTGTGAGTTGAACGAACACATCACAACGCAGTTTGTGGGAATGATTCTGTCTAGTTTTGAAACGAAGATATTTCCTTTTCTGCCATTGACCTTAAAGCGCTTGTAATCTCCACTTGCCAATTGCACAAAAAGAGTGTTTCAAATCTGCTCTGTCTAAGGGAACGTTCAACTCTGTGAGTTGAATGTACACAACACAAGGGAAGTTACTGGGAATTCTTCTGTCTAGCCTTACAGGAAAAAAACCCTTTTCCAACGAAGGCCTCTAAGTGGTCAAAATATCCACGTGCAGACTTTACAAACAGAGTGTTTCCACACTGCTGAATGAAAAGAAAAGTTAAACTCTGAGAGTTGAACGCACACATCGCAGAGCAGTTTCTGAGAATGATTCTGTCTAGTTTTTATACGAAGATATTTCCTTTTCTTCCATTGACCTCAAAGCGGCTGAAATCTCCACTTGCAAATTCCACAAAAAGAGTGTTTCAAGTCTGCTCTGTGTAAAGGATCGTTCAACTCTGTGAGTTGAATACACACAACACAAGGAAGTTACTGAGAATTCTTCTCTCCAGCATAGTATGAAGAAATCCCGTTTCCATCGAAGGCCTCAAAGAGGTCTGAATATCCACTTGCAGAGTTTACAAACAGAGTGTTGCCTAACTGCTCTATGAAAAGAAAGGTTAAACTCTGTGAGTTGAACGCACACATCACAAAGGAGTTTCTGAGAATCATTCTGTCTAGTTTTTATACGAAGATATTTCCTTTTATACCATTGACCTCAACGCGGCTGAAATCTCCACTTGCAAATTCCACAAAAAGAGTGTTTCAAGTCTGCTCTGTGTAAAGGATCGTTCAACTCTGTGAGTTGAATACACACAACACAAGGAAGTTACTGAGAATTCTTCTGTCTAGCAGAATATGAAGAAAGCCCGTTTCCAACGAAGGCCACAAGATTACAGAATATCCACTTACAGAATTTACAAACAGAATTTTTCCTAACTGCTCTATGAAAAGAAAGGTTAAACTCTGTGAGTTGAACGAACACATCACAACGCAGTTTGTGGGAATGATTCTGTCTAGTTTTGAAACGAAGATATTTCCTTTTCTGCCATTGACCTTAAAGCGCTTGAAATCTACACTTGCAAAATGCACAAATAGAGTGTTTCAAATCTGCTCTGTCTAAGGGAACGTTCAACTCTGTGAGTTGAATGCACACAACACAAGGAAGTTACTGGGAATTCTTCTGTCTCCCCTTACATGAAAGAAACCCGTTTTCAACGAAGGCCTCTAAGTGGTCAAAATATCCACGTGCAGACTTTACAAACAGATTGTTTCCAAACTGCTGAATGAAAAGAAAAGTTAAACTCTGAGAGTTGAACGCACACATCACAGAGCAGTTTCTGAGAATGATTCTGTCTAGTTTTTATACGAAGATATTTCTTTTTCTGCCTTTGGCCCCAAAGCGCTTGAAATCTCCACTTGCAAATTCCACAAAAACAGTGTTTCAAATCTGCTCTCTCTAAATGAAAGTTCAACTCTGTCAGTTGAATACACACAACACAAGGAAGTTACTGAGAATTCTTCTATCTAGCATAATATGAAGAAATCCCGTTTCCAACGAAGGCCTCAAGGAGGTCTGAATATCCACTTCCAGACTTTACAAACAGAGTGTTTCCTAACTGCTCTATGAAAAGAAAGGTTAAACTCTGTGAGTTGAACGCAGACATCACAAAGGAGTTTCTGAGAATCATTCTGTCTAGTTTCTATAGGAAGATATTTCCTATTCTACCATGGACCTCAAAGCGGCTGAAATCTCCATTTGCAAATTCCACAAGAAGAGTGTTTCAAGTATGCTCTGTGTAAAGGATCGTTCAACTCTGTGAGTTGAATACACACAACACAAGGAAGTTACTGAGAATTCTTCTGTCTAGCAGAATATGAAGAAATCCCGTTTCCAACGAAGGCCACAAGATGTCAGAATATCCACTTACAGACTTTACAAACAGAGTGTTTCCTAACTGCTCTATGAAAAGAAAGGTGAAACTCCGTGAGTTGAATGCACACATCACAAAGGAGTTTATGAGAATCATTCTGTCTAGTTTTGAAACGAAGATATTTCCTTTCCTGCCATTGACCTTAAAGCGCTTGAAATCTCCATTTGCCAATTGCACAAAAAGAGTGTTTCAAATCTGCTCTGTCTAAGGGAACGTTCAACTCTGTGAGTTGAATGTACACAACACAAGGAAGTTACTGGGAATTCTTCTGTCTAGCCTTACAGGAAAAAAACCCGTTTCCAACGAAGACCTCTGAGAGGTCAAAATATCCACGTGCAGACTTTACAAACAGAGTGTTTCCAAACTGCTGAATGAAAAGAAAAGTTAAACTCTGAGAGTTGAACGCACACATCGCAGAGCAGTTTCTGAGAGTGATTCTGTCTAGTTTTTATACGAAGAGATTTCCTTTTCTACCATTGACCTCAACGCGGCTGAAATCTCCACTTGCAAATTACACAAAAAGAGTGTTTCAATTCCGCTCTGTGTAAAGGATCGTTCAACTCTGTGAGTTGAATACACACAACACAAGGAAGTTACTGAGAATTCTTCTGTCTAGCACAGTATGAAGAAATCCCGTTTCCAACGAAGGCCTCAAAGAGGTCTGAATATCCACTTGCAGACTTTACCAACAGAGTGTTTCCTAACTGCTCTATGAAAAGAAAGGTTAAACTCTGTGAGTTGAACACACACATCACAAAGGCGTTTCTGAGAATCATTCTGTCTAGTTTCAATAGGAAGATATTTCCTATTCTACCATTGACCTCAAAGCGGCTGAAATCTCCACTTGCAAATTCCACAAAAAGAGTGTTTCAAGTCTGCTCTGTGTAAAGGATCGTTCAACTCTGTGAGTTGAATACACACAACACAAGGCAAGTTACTGAGAATTCTTGTGTCTAGCATAATATGAAGAAATCCCGTTTCCAATGAAGGCCTCAAAGAGGTCTGAATATCCACTTGCAGACATTACAAACAGAGTGTTTCCTAACTGCTCTATGAAAAGAAAGCTAAAACTCTGTGAGTTGAACGCACACATCACAAGGGAGTTTCTGAGAATCATTCTGTCTAGTTTCTATAGGAAGATATTTCCTATTCTACAATTGACCTCAAAGCGGCTGAAATCTCCACTTGCAAATTCCACAAGAAGAGTGTTTCAAGTTTGCTCTGTGTAAAGGATCGTTCAACTCTGTGAGTTGAATACACACAACACAAGGAAGTTACTGAGAATTCTTCTGTCTAGTAGAATATGAAGAAATCCCGTTTCCAACGAAGGCCTCAAAGAGGTCTGAATATCCACTTGCAGACTTTACAAACAGAGTGTTTCCTAACTGCTCTATGAAAAGAAAGGTTAAACTCTGTGAGTTGAACGCACACATCACAAAGGAGTTTCTGAGAATCATTCTGTCTAGTTTTTATACGAAGATATTCCCTTTTCTACCATTGACCCCAAAGCAGCTGAAATCACCACTTGCCAATTGCACAAAAAGAGTGTTTCAAATCTGCTCTGTCTAAGGGAACGTTCAACTCTGTGAGTTGAATGTACACAACACAAGGAAGTTACTGGGAATTCTTCTGTCTAGCCTTACAGGAAGAAAACCCGTTTCCAACGAAGGCCTCTAAGTGGTCAAAATATCCACGTGCAGACTTTACAAACAGAGTGTTTCCAAACTGCTGAATGAAAAGAAAAGTTAAACTCTGAGAGTTGAACGCACACATCGCAGAGCAGTTTCTGAGAATGATTCTGTCTAGTTTCTATAGGAAGATATTTCCTATTCTACCATTGACCTCAAAGCGGCTGAAATCTCCACTTGCAAATTCCACAAAAAGAATGTTTCAAGATTGCTCTGTGTAAAGGATCGTTCAACTCTGTGAGTTGAATACACACAACACAAGGAAGTTACTGAGAATTCTTCTGTCTAGCAGAATATGAAGAAATCCCGTTTCCAACGAAGGCCTCAAAGAGGTCTGAATATCCACTTGCAGACTTTACAAACAGAGTGTTTCCTAACTGCTCTATGAAAAGAAAAGTTAAACTCTGTGAGTTGAACGCACACATCACTAAGGAGTTTCTGAGAATCATTCTGTCTAGTTTTTCTACGAAGATATTTCCTTTTCTACTATTGACCTCAAAGCGGCTGAAATCTCCACTTGCAAATTCCACAAAAAGGGTGTTTCAAGTCTGCTCTGTGTAAAGGATCGTTCAACTCTGTGAGTTGAATACACACAACACAAGGAAGTTACTGAGAATTCTTCCGTCTAGCAGAATATGAAGAAATCCCGTTTCCAACGAAGGCCACAAGATGTCAGAATATCCACTTACAGACTTTACAAACAGAGTGTTTCCTAACTGCTCCATGAACAGAAAGGTTAAACTCTGTGAGTTGAACGAACACATCACAACGCAGTTTGTGGGAATGATTCTGTCTAGTTTTGAAACGAAGATATTTCCTTTTCTGCCATTGACCTTAAAGCGCTTGAAATCTCCACTTGCCAATTGCACAAAAAGAGTATTTCAAATCTGCTCTGTCTAAGGGAACGTTCAACTCTGTGAGTTGAATGTACACAACACAAGGAAGTTACTGGGAATTCTTCTGTATAGCCTTACATGAAAAAAACCCGTTTCCAACGAAGGCCTCTAAGTGGTCAAAATATCCACGTGCAGACTTTACAAACAGAGTGTTTCCAAACTGCTGAATGAAAAGAAAAGTTAAACTCTGAGAGTTGAACACACACATCGCAGAGCAGTTTCTGAGAATGATTCTGTCTAGTTTTTATACGAAGGTATTTCCTTTTCTGCCTTTGGCCCCAAAGCGCTTGAAATCTCCACTTGCAAATTCCACAAAAACAGTGTTTCAAATCAGCTCTCTCTAAATGAAAGTTCAACTCTGTCAGTTGAATACACACAACACAAGGAAGTTACTGAGAATTCTTCTGTCTAGCAGAATATGAAGAAATCCAGTTTCCAACGAAGGCCTCAAACGAGGTCTGAATATCCACTTGCAGACTTTACAAACAGAGTGTTTCCTAACTGCTCTATGAAAAGAAAGGTTAAACTCTGTGAGTTGAACACACACATCACAAAGGAGTTTCTGAGAATCATTCTGTCTAGTTTTTCTACGAAGATATTTCCTTTTCTACTATTGACCTCAAAGCGGCTGAAATCTCCACTTGCAAATTCCACAAAAAGAGTGTTTCAAGTCTGCTCTGTGTAAAGGATCGTTCAACTCTGTGAGTTGAATACACACAACACAAGGAAGTTAGTGAGAATTCTTCTGTCTAGCAGAATATGAAGAAATCCCGTTTCCAACGAAGGCCACAAGATGTCTGAATATCCACTTTCAGACTTTACAAACAGAGTGTTTCCTAACTGCTCTCTGAACAGAAAGGTTAAACTCTGTGAGTTGAACGAACACATCACAACGCTGTTTGTGGGAATGATTCTGTCTAGTTTTGAAACGAAGATATTTCCTTTTCTGCCATTGACCTTAAAGCGCTTGAAATCTACACTTGCAAATTGAACAAATAGAGTGTTTCAAATCTGCTCTGTCTAAGGGAACGTTCAACTCTGTGAGTTGAATGCACACAACACAAGGAAGTTACTGGGAATTCTTCTGTCTAGCCTTACAGGAAAAAAACCCGTTTCCAACGAAGGCCTCTAAGTGTTCAAAATATCCACGTGCAGACTTTACAAACAGAGTGTTTCCAAACTGCTGAATGAAAAGAAAAGTTAAACTCTGAGAGTTGAACGCACACATCGCAGAGCAGTTTCTGAGAATGATTCTGTCTAGTTTTTATACGAAGATATTTCCTTTTCTGCCTTTGGCCTCAAAGCGCTTGAAATCTCCACTTGCAAATTCCACAAAAAGAGTGTTTCAAATCTGCTCTGTGTAAATGAAAGTTCAACTCTGTGAGTTGAACACACACAACACAAAGAAGTTACTGGGAATTCTTCTGTCTAGCAGAATATGAAGAAATCCCGTTTCCAACGAAGGCCTCAAGGAGGTCTGAATATCCACTTGCAGACTTTACAAACAGAGTGTTTCCTAACTGCTCTATGAAAAGAAAGGTTAAACTCTGTGAGTTGAACGCACACGTCACAAAGGAGTTTCTGAGAATCATTCTGTCTAGTTTTTCTACGAAGATATTTCCTTTTCTACTATTGACCTCAAAGCGGCTGAAATCTCCACTTGCAAATTCCACAAAAAGAGTGTTTCAAGACTGCTCTGTGTAAAGGATCGTTCAACTCTGTGAGTAGAATACACACAACACAAGGAAGTTACTGAGAATTCTTCTGTCTAGCAGAATATGAAGAAATCCCGTTTCCAACGAAGACCTCAAAGAGTTCTGAATATCCACTTACAGACTTTACAAACAGAGTGTTTCCTAACTGCTCTATGAACAGAAAGGTTAAACTCTGTGAGTTGTACGAACACATCACAACGCAGTTTGTGGGAATCATTCTGTCTAGTTTTTATACGAAGATATTTCCTTTTCTACCATTGACCTCAAAGCGGTTGAAATCACCACTTGCCAATTGCACAAAAAGAGTGTTTCAAATCTGCTCTATCTAAGGGAACGTTCAACTCTGTGAGTTGAATGTACACAAAACAAGGAAGTTACTGGGAATTCTTCTGTCTAGCCTTACAGGAAAAACACCCGTTTCCAACGAAGGCCTCTAAGTGGTCAAAATATCCACGTGCAGACTTTACAAACAGAGTGTTTCCAAACTGCTGAATGAAAAGAAAAGTTAAACTCTGAGAGTTGAACGCACACATCGCAGAGCAGTTTCTGAGAATGATTCTGTCTAGTTTTTAAACGAAGATATTTCCTTTTCTGCCTTTGGCCTCAAAGCGCTTGAAATCTCCACTTGCAAATTCCACAAAAAGAGTGTTTCAAGTCTGCTCTGTGTAAAGGATCGTTCAACTCTGTGAGTTGAATACACACAACACAAGGAAGTTACTGAGAATTCTTCTGTCTAGCACAGTATGAAGAAATCCCGTTTCCAACGAAGGCCTCAAATAGGTCTGAATATCCACTTGCAGAGTTTAAAAACACAGTGTTTCCTAACTGCTCTATGAAAAGAAAGGTTAAACTCTGTGAGTTGAACACACACATCACAAAGAAGTTTCTGAGAATCATTCTGTCTAGTTTTTATACGAAGATATTTCCTTTTCTACCATTGACCTCAAAGCGGCTGAAATCTCCACTTGCAAATTCCACAAAAAGAGTGTTTCAAGTCTGCTCTGTGTAAAGGATCGTTGAACTCTGTGAGTTGAATACACACAACAGAAGGAAGTTACTGAGAATTCTTCTGTCTAGCAGAATATGAAGAAATCCCGTTTCCAACGAAGGCCACAAGATGTCAGAATATCCTCTTACAGACTTTACAAACAGAGTGTTTCCTAACTGCTCTATGAACGGAAAGGTTAAACTCTGTGAGTTGAACGAACACATCACAACGCAGTTTGTGGGAATGATTCTGTCTAATTTTGAAACGAAGATATTTCCTTTTCTGCCATTGACCTTAATGCGCTTGAAATCTACACTTGCAAATTGCACAAATAGAGTGTTTCAAATCTGCTCTGTCTAAGGGAACGTTCAACTCTGTGAGTTGAATGCACACAACACAAGGAAGTTACTGGGAATTCTTCTGTCTAGCCTTACATGAAAAAATCCCGTTTCCAACGAAGGCCTCTAAGTGGTCAAAATATCCACTTGCAGACTTTACAAACAGAGTGTTTCCAAACCGCTGAATGAAAAGAAAAGTTAAACTCTGAGAGTTGAACGCACACATCACGCAGCAGTTTCTGAGAATGATTCTGTCTAGTTTTTATACGAAGATATTTCCTTTTCTGCCTTTGGCCCAAAAGCGCTTGAAATCTCCACTTGCAAATTCCACAAAAACAGTGTTTCAAATCTGCTCTCTCAAAATGAAAGTTCAACTCTGTCAGTTGAATACACACAACACAAGGAAGTTACTGAGAATTCTTCTGTCTAGCATAATATGAAGAAATCCCGTTTCCAACGAAGGCTTCAAAGAGGTCTGAATATCCACTTGCAGACTTTACAAACAGAGTGTTTCCTAACTGCTCTATGAAAAGAAAAGTTAAACTCTGTGAGTTGAACGCACACATCACAAAGGAGTTTCTGAGAATCATTCTGTCTAGTCTTTATACGAAGATATTTACTTTTCTACCATTGACCTCAAAGCGGCTGAAATCTCCACTTGCAAATTCCAGAAAAAGAGAGTTTCAAGTCTGCTCTGTGTAAAGGATCATTCAACTCTGTGAGTTGAATACACACAACACAAGGAAGTTACTGAGAATTCTTCTGTCTAGCAGAATAAGAAGAAATCCCGTTTCCAACGAAGGCCTCAAAGAAGTCTGAATATCCACTTGCAGACTTTACAAACAGAGTGTTTCCGAACTGCTCTATGAAAAGAAAGGTTAAACTCTGTGTGTTGAACGCACACATCACAAAGGAGTTTCTGAGAATCATTCTGTCTAGTTTTTCTACGAAGATATTTCCTTTTCTACTATTGACCTCAAAGCGGCTGAAATCTCCACTTGCAAATTCCACAAAAAGAGCGTTTCAAGACTGCTCTATGTAAAGGATCGTTCAACTCTGTGAGTTGAATACACACAACACAAGGAAGTTACTGAGAATTCTTCTGTCTAGCAGAATATGAAGAAATCCCGTTTCCAACGAAAGCCTCAAAGATGTCTGAATATCCACTTGCAGACTTTACAAACAGAGTGTTTCCTAACTGCTCTATGAAAAGAAAGGTTAAACTCTGTGAGTTGAACGCACACAACACAAAGGAGTTTCTGAGAATCATTCTGTCTAGTCTTTATACGGAGATGTTTCCTTTTCTACCATTGACCTCAAAGCGCCTGAAATCTCCACTTGCAAATTCCACAAAAAGAGTGTTTCAAGTCTGCTCTGTGTAAAGGATTGTTCAACTCTGTGAGTTGAATACACACAACACAAGGAAGTTACTGAGAATTCTTCTGTCTAGCAGAATGTGAAGAAATCCCGTTTCCAACGAAGGCCTCAAAGAGGTCTGAATATCCACTTGCAGAGTTTACAAACAGAGTGATTCCTAACTGCTCTATGAGAAGAAAAGTTAAACTCTGTGAGTTGAACGCACACATCACAAAAGATTTTCTGAGAATCATTCTGTCTAGTTTTGAAACGAAGATTTTTCCTTTTCTGCCATTGACCTTAAAGCGCTTGAAATCTACACTTGCAAATTGCACAAATAGAATGTTTCAAATCTGCTCTGTCTAAGGGAACGTTCATCTCTGTGAGTTGAATGCACACAACACAAGGAAGTTACTGGGAATTCTTCTGTCTAGCCTTACAGGAAAAAAACCCGTTTCCAACGAAGGCCTCTAAGTGGTCAAGTTATCCACGTGCAGACTTTACAACCAGAGTGTTTCCAAACTGCTGAATGGAAAGAAAAGTTAAACTCTGAGAGTTGAACGCACACATCGCAGAGCAGTTTCTGAGAATGATTCTGTCTAGTTTTGAAACGAAGGCATTTCCTTTTCTGCCTTTGGCCTCAAAGCGCTTGAAATCTCCATTTGCAAATTCCACAAAAAGAGTGTTTCAAATCTGCTCTGTGTAAATGAAAGTTCAACTCTGTGAGTTGAACACACACAACACAAGGAAGTTACTGGGAAATCTTCTGTCTAGCATAGTATGAAGAAATCCCGTTTCCAACGAAGGCCTCAAAGAGGTCTGAATATCCACTTGCAGACTTTACAAACAGAGTGTTTCCTAACTGCTCTATGAAAAGAAAGGTAAAACTCTGTGAGTTGAACGCACACATCACAAAGAAGTTTCTGAGAATCATTCTGTCTAATTTTTATATGAAGATATTTCCTTTTCTATCATTGACATCAAAGCGGCTGAAATCTCCACTTGCAAATACCACAAAAAGAGTGTTTCAAATCTGCTCTGTGTAAATGAAAGTTCAACTCTGTCAGTTGAATACACACAACAAAAGGAAGTTACTGAGAATTCTTCTGTCTAGCAGAATATGAAGAAATCCCGTTTCCAACGAAAGCCTCAAGGAGGTCTGAATATCCACTTGCAGACTTTACAAACAGAGTGTTTCCTAACTGCTCTATGAAAAGAAAGGTTAAACTCTGTGACTTGAACGCACACATCACAAAGGAGTTTCTGAGAATCATTCTGTCTAGTTTCTATAGGAAGATATTTCCTATTCTACCATTGACCTCAAAGCGGCTGAAATCTCCACTTGCAAATTCCACAAAAAGAGTGTTTCAAGTCTGCTCTGTGTAAAGGATCGTTCAACTCTGTGAGTTGAATACAGACAACACAAGGAAGTTACTGAGAATTCTTCTGTCTAGCATAATATGAAGAAATCCCGTTTCCAACGAAGGCCTCAAAGAGGTGTGAATATCCACTTGCAGACTTTACAAACAGAGTGTTTCCTAACTGCTCTATGAAAAGAAAGGTTAAACTCTGTGAGTTGAACGCACACATCACAAAGGAGTTTCTGAGAATCATTCTGTCTAGTTTTGAAACGAAGATATTTCCTTTCCTGCCATTGACCTTAAAGCGCTTGAAATCTCCATTTGCCAATTGCACAAAAAGAGTGTTTCAAATCTGCTCTGTCTAAGGGAATGTTCAACTCTGTGAGTTGAATGTACACAACACAAGGAAGTTACTGGGAATTCTTCTGTCTAGCCTTACATGCAAAAAACCCGTTTCCAACGAAGGCCTCTAAGTGGTCAAAATATCCACGTGCAGACTTTACAAACAGACTGTTTCCAAACCGCTGAATGAAAAGAAAAGTTAAACTCTGAGAGTTGAACGCACACATCACGCAGCAGTTTCTGAGAATGATTCTGTCTAGTTTTGAAACGAAGATATTTCCTTTTCTGCCTTTGGCCTCAAAGCGCTTGAAATCTCCACTTGCAAATTCCACAAAAAGAGTGTTTCAAATCTGCTCTGTGTAAATGAAAGTTCAACTCTGTGTGTTGAACACACACAACACAAGGAAGTTACTGAGAATTCTTCTGTCTAGCATAATATGAAGAAATCCCTTTTCCAACGAAGGCCTCAAAGAGGTCTGAATATCCACTTGCAGACTTTACAAACAGAGTGTTTCCTAACTGCTCTATGAGAAGAAAAGTTAAACTCTTTGAGTTGAACGCACACATCACAAAAGATTTTCTGAGAATCATTCTGTCTAGTTTTTATAGGAAGATATTTCCTTTTCTACCTTTGACTTCAAAGCGGCTGAAATCTCCACTTGCAAATTCCACAAAAAGAGGGTTACAAGTCTGCTCTGTGTAAAGGATCGTTCAACTCTGTGAGTTGAATACACACAACACAAGGAAGTTACTGAGAATTCTTCTGTCTAGCAGAATATGAAGAAATCCCGTTTCCAACGAAGGCCACAAGATGTCAGAATATCCACTTACAGACTTTACAGAGTGTTTCCTAACTGCTCTATGAACAGAAAGGTTAAACTCTGTGAGTTGAACGAACACATCACAACGCAGTTTGTGGGAATGATTCTGTCTAGTTTTGAAACGAAGATATTTCCTTTTCTGCCATTGACCTTAAAGCGCTTGAAATCTACACTTGCAAATTGCACAAATAGAGTGTTTCAAATCTGCTCTGTCTAAGGGAACGTTGAACTCTGTGAGTTGAATGCACACAACACAAGGAAGTTACTGGGAATTCTTCTGTCTAGCATCATATGAAGAAATCCCTTTTCCAACGAAGGCCTCTAAGTGGTCAAAATATCCACGTGCAGACTTTACAAACAGAGTGTTTCCAAACTGCTGAATGAAAAGAAAAGTTAAACTCTGAGAGTTGAACGCACACATCACAGAGCAGTTTCTGAGAATGATTCTGTCTAGTTTTTATACGAAGATATTTCCTTTTCTACCATTGACCTCAAAGCGGCTGAAATCTCCACTTGCCAATTCCACAAAAAGAGTGTTTCAAGTATACTCTGTGTAATGGATCGTTGAACTCTGTGAGTTGAAAACACACAACACAAGGAAGTTTCTGAGAATTCTTCTGTATAGCAGAATATGAAGAAATCCCGTTTCCAACGAAGGCCTCAAGGAGGTCTGAATATCCACTTGCAGAATTTACAAACAGAGTGTTTCCTAACTGCTCTATGAAAAGGAAGGTTAAACTCTGTGAGTTGAACGCAGACATCACAAAGGAGTTTCTGAGAATCACTCTGTCTAGTTTCTATAGGAAGATATTTCCTATTCTACCATTGACCTCAAAGCGGCTGAAATCTCCACTTGCAAATTCCACAAAAAGATTGTTTCAAGTCTGCTCTGTGTAAAGGATCGTTCAACTCTGTGAGTTGAATACACACAATACAAGGAAGTTACTGAGAATTCTTCTGTCTAGCAGAACATGAAGAAATCCCGCTTCCAACGAAGGACTCAAAGAAGTCTGAATATCCACTTGCAGACTTTACAAACAGAGTGTTTCCTAACTGCTCTATGAAAAGAAAGGTTGAACTCTGTGAGTTGAACGCACACATCACAAAGGAGTTTCTGAGAATCATTCTGTCTAGTTTTTATACGAAGATATTTCCTTTTCTACCATTGACCTCAACGCGGCTGAAATCTCCACTTGCAAATTCCACAAAACGAGTGTTTCAAGTCCGCTCTGTGTAAAGGATCGTTCAACTCTGTGAGTTGAATACACACAACACAAGGTAGTTACTGAGAATTCTTCTGTCTAGCAGAATATGAAGAAATCTCGTTTCCAACGAAGGCCACAAGATGTCAGAATATCCACTTACAGAATTGACAAACAGACTGTTTCCTAACTGCTCTATGAAAAGAAAGGTTAAACTCTGTGTGTTGAACGAACACATCACAACGCAGTTTGTGGGAATGATTCTGTCTAGTTTTGAAACGAAGATATTTCCTTTTCTGCCATTGACCTTAAAGCGCTTGAAATCTCCACTTTCCAATTGCACAAAAAGAGTGTTTCAAATCTGCTCTGTCTAAGGGAACGTTCAACTCTGTGAGTTGAATGTACACAACACAAGGAAGTTACTGGGAATTCTTCTGTCTAGCCTTACATGAAAAAAACCCGTTTCCAACGAAGGCCTCTAAGTGGTCAAATTATCCACGTGCAGACTTTACAAACAGAGTGTTTCCAAACTGCTGAATGAAAAGCAAAGTTAAACTCTGAGAGTTGAACGCACACATCGCAGAGCACTTTCTGAGAATGATTCTGTCTAGTTTTTATACGAAGATATTTCCTTTTCTACCATTGACCTCAACGCGGCTGAAATCTCCACTTGCAAATTCCACAAAAAGAGTGTTTCAAGTCCTCTCTGTGTAAAGGATCGTTCAACTCTGTGAGTTGAATACACACAACACAAGGAAGTTACTGAGAATTCTTCTGTCTAGCACAGTATGAAGAAATCCCGTTTCCAACGAAGGCCTCAAAGAGGTGTGAATATCGACTTGCAGAGTTTACAAACAGAGTGTTTCCTAACTGCTGTATGAAAAGAAAGGTTAAACTCTGTGAGTTGAACGCACACATCACAATGAAGTTTCTGAGAATCATTCTGTCTACTTTCTATAGGAAGATATTTCCTATTCTACCATTGACCTCAAAGCGGCTGAAATCTCCACTTGCAAATTCCACAAAAGGAGTGTTTCAAGTCTGCTCTGTGTAAAGGATCGTTCAACTCTGTGAGTTGAAAACACACAACACAAGGGAAGTTTCTGAGAATTCTTCTGTCTAGCAGAATGTGAAGAAATCCCGTTTCCAACGAAGGCCACAAGATGTCAGAATATCCACTTACAGAGTTTACAAACAGAGTGTTTCCTAACTGCTCTATGAACAGAAAGGTTAAACTCTGTGAGTTGAACGAACACATCACAACGCAGTTTGTGGGAATGATTCTGTCTAGTTTTGAAACGAAAATATTTCCTTTTCTGCCATTGACCTTAAAGCGCTTGAAATCTACACTTGCAAATTGCACAAATAGAGTGTTTCAAATCTGCTCTGTCTAAGGGAACGTTCAACTGCTGTGAGTTGAATGCACACAACACAAGGAAGTTACTGGGAATTCTTCTGTCTAGCCTTACAGGAAAAAAACCCGTTTCCAACGAAGGCCTCTAAGTGGTCAAAATATCCACGTGCAGACTTTAAAAACAGAGTGTTTCCAAACTGCTGAATGAAAAGAAAAGTTAAACTCTGAGAGTTGAACGCACACATCGCAGAGCAGTTTCTGAGAATGATTCTGTCTAGTTTTTCTACGAAGATATTTCCTTTTCTACTATTGACCTCAAAGCGGCTGAAATCTCCATTTGCAAATTCCACAAAAAGAGTGATTCAAGTCTGCTCTGTGTAAAGGATCGTTCAACTCTGTGAGTTGAATACACACAACACAAGGAAGTTACTGAGAATTCTTCTGTCTAGCAGAATGTGAAGAAATCCCGTTTCCAACGAAGGCCTCAAAGAGGTCTGAATATCCACTTGCAGACTTTACAAACATAGTGTTTCCTAACTGCTCTATGAAAAGAAAAGTTAAACTCTGTGAGTTCAACGCACACATCACAAAGGAGTTTCTGAGAATCATTCTGTCTAGTTTTTCCACGAAGATATTTCCTTTTCTACTACTGACCTCAAAGCGGCTGAAATCTCCACTTGCAAATTCTACAAATAGAGTGTTTCAAGTCTGCTCTGTGTAAAGGATCGTTCAACTCTGTGAGTTGAATACACACAACACAAGGAAGTTACTGAGAATTCTTCTGTCTAGCAGAATATGAAGAAATCCCGTTTCCAACGAAGGCCACAAGATGTCAGAATATCCACTTACAGACTTTACAAACAGAGTTTTTCCTAACTGCTCTATGAACAGAAAGGTTAAACTCTGTGAGTTGAACGAACACATCACAACGCAGTTTGTGGGAATGATTCTGTCTAGTTTTGAAACGAAGATATTTCCTTTTCTGCCATTGACCTTAAAGCGCTTGAAATCTCCATTTGCCAATTGCACAAAAAGAGTGTTTCAAATCTGCTCTGTCTAAGGGAACGTTCAACTCTGTGAGTTGAATGTACACAACACCAGGAAGTTACTGGGAATTCTTCTGTCTAGCCTTACATGAAAAAAAACCGTTTCCAACGAAGGCCTCTAAGTGGTCAAATTATCCACGTGCAGACTTTACAAACAGAGTGTTTCCAAACTGCTGAATGAAAAGAAAAGTTAAACTCTGAGAGTTGAACGCACACATCACAGAGCAGTTTCTGAGAATGATTCTGTCTAGTTTTGAAACGAAGATATTTCCTTTTCTGCCTTTGGCCTCAAAGCGCTTGAAATCTCCATTTGCAAATTCCACAAAAAGAGTGTTTCAAATCTGCTCTGTTTAAATGAAAGTTCAACTCTGTGAGTTGAACACACACAACACAAGGAAGTTACTGGGAATTCTTCCGTCTAGCAGAATATGAAGAAATCCCGCTTCCAACGAAGGCCTCAAAGAAGTTTGAATATCCACTTGCAGACTTTACAAACAGAGTGTTTCCCAACTGCTCTATGAAAAGAAAGGTTGAACTCTGTGAGTTGAACGCACACATCACAAAGGAGTTTCTGAGAATCATTCTGTCTAGTTTCTATAGGAAGATATTTCCTATTCTACCATTGACCTCAAAGCGGCTGAAATCTCCAGTTGCAAATTCCACAAAAAGAGAGTTTCAAGTCTGCTCTGTGTAAATCATCGTTCAACTCTGTGAGTTGAATACACACAACACAAGGAAGTTACTGAGAATTCTTCTGTCTAGCAGAATATGAAGAAATCCCGTTTCCAACGAAGGCCACAAGGATGTCAGAATATCCACTTACAGACTTTACAAACAGAGTGTTTCCTAACTGCTCTATGAACAGAAAGGTTAAACTCTGTGAGTTGAGCGAACACATCACAACGCAGTTTGTGGGAATGATTCTGTCTAGTTTTGAAACGAAGATATTTCCTTTTCTGCCGTTGACCTTAAAGCGCTTGAAATCTACACTTGGAAATTGCACAAATAGAGTGTTTCAAATCTGCTCTGTCTAAGGGTACGTTCAACTCTGTGAGTTGAATGCACACAACACAAGGAAGTTACTGGGAATTCTTCTGTCTAGCCTTACATGAAAAAAACCCGTTTCCAACGAAGGCCTCTAAGGGGTCAAAATATCCACGTGCAGTCTTTACAAACAGAGTGTTTCCAAACCGCTGAATGAAAAGAAAAGTTAAACTCTGAGAGTTGAACGCACACATCACGCAGCAGTTTCTGAGAATGATTCTGTCTAGTTTTTATACGAAGATATTTCTTTTTCTGCCTTTGGCCCCAAAGCGCTTGAAATCTCCACTTGCAAATTCCACAAAAACAGTGTTTCAAATCTGCTGTCTCTAAATGAAAGTTCAACTCTGTCAGTTGAATACACACAACACAAGGAAGTTACTGAGAATTCTTCTGTCTAGCCTTATATGAGAAAAACCCGTTTCCAACGAAGGCCTCAAAGAGGTCTGAATATCCACTTGCAGACTTTACAAACAGAGTGTTTCCTAACTGCTCTATGAAAAGAAAGGTTAAACTCTGTGAGTTGAACGCACACATCACAAAGGAGTTTCTGAGAATCATTCTGTCTAGTTTTTATACGAAGATATTTCCTTTTCTACCAAGGACCTCAAAGCGGCTGAAATCTCCACTTGCAAATTCCACAAAAAGAGTGTTTCAAGTCTGCTCTGTGTAAAGGATCGTTCAACTCTGTGAGTTGAATACACACAACACAAGGAAGATTCTGAGAATTCTTCTGTCTAGCAGAATATGAAGAAATCCCGTTTCCAACGAAGGCCTCAAAGAGGTCTGAATATCCACTTGCAGACTTTACAAACAGAGGGTTTCCTAACTGCTCTATGAAAAGAAAGGTTAAACTCTGTGAGTTGAACGCACACATCACAAAGGAGTTTCTGAGAATCATTCTGTCTAGTTTTTATACGAAGATATTTCCTTTTCTACCATGGACTTCAAAGCGGCTGAAATCTCCACTTGCAAATTCCACAAAAAGAGTGTTTCAAGTCTGCTCTGTGTAAAGGATCGTTCAACTCTGTGAGTTGAATACACACAACACAAGGAAAGATTCTGAGAATTCTTCTGTCTAGCAGAATATGAAGAAATCCCGTTTCCAACGAAGGCCACAAGATGTCAGAATATCCACTTACAGAATTGACAAACAGACTGTTTCCTAACTGCTCTATGAAAAGAAAGGTTAAACTCTGTGAGTTGAACGAAAACATCACAACGCAGTTTGTGGGAATGATTCTGTCTAGTTTTGAAACGATGATATTTCCTTTTCTGCCGTTGACCTTAAAGAGCTTGAAAACTACACTTGCAAATTGCAGAAATAGAGTGTTTCAAATCTGCTCTGTCTAAGGGAACGTTCAACTCTGTGAGTTGAATGCACACAACACAAGGAAGTTACTGGGAATTCTTCTGTCTAGCCTTACATGAAAAAAACCCGTTTCCAACGAAGGCCTCTAAGTGGTCAAAATTTCCACGTGCAGACTTTACAAAGAGAGTGTTTCCAAACCGTTGAATGAAAAGAAAAGTTAAACTCTGAGAGTTGAACGCACACATCACGCAGCAGTTTCTGAGAATGATTCTGTCTAGTTTTTATAGGAAGATATTTCCTTTTCTGCCTTTGGCCCCAAAGCGCTTGAAATCTCCATTTGCAAATTCCACAAAAACAGTGTTTCAAATCTGCTCTCTCTAAATGAAAGTTCAACTCTGTCAGTTGAATACACACAACACAAGGAAGTTACTGAGAATTCTTCTCTCTAGCAGAATATGAAGAAATCCCGTTTCCAACGAAGGCCTCAAAGAGGTCTGAATATCCACTTGCAGACTTTACAAACAGAGTGTTTCCTAACTGCTCTATGAAAAGAAAGGTTAAACTCTGTGAGTTGAACGCACACATCACAAAGGAGTTTCTGAGAATCATTCTGTCTAGTCTTTATACGAAGATATTTCCTTTTCTACCATTGACCTCAAAGCGGCTGAAATCTCCACTTGCAAATTCCACAAAAAGAGTGTTTCAAGTCTGCTCTGCGTAAAGGATCGTTCGACTCTGTGAGTTGAATACACACAACACAAGGAAGTTACTGAGAATTCTTCTGTCTAGCATAATATGAAGAAATCCCGTTTCCAACGAAGGCCTCAAAGGGGTCTGAATATCCACTTGCAGACTTTATAAACAGAGTGTTTACTAACTGCTCTATGAAAAGAAAGGTTAAACTCTGTGAGTTGAACACACACATCACAAAGGAGTTTCTGAGAATCGTTCTGTCTAGTTTTTATACGAAGATATTTCCTTTTCTACCATTGACCTCAAAGCGGCTGAAATCTCCACTTGCAAATTCCACAAATCGAGTGTTTCAAGTCTGCTCTGTGTAAAGGATCGTTCAACTCTGTGAGTTGAATACACACAACACAAGGAAGTTACTGAGAATTCTTCTGTCTAGCAGAATATGAAGAAATCCCGTTTCCAACGAAGGCCTCAAGGAGGTCTGAATATCCACTTGCAGACTTTACAAACAGAGTGTTTCCTAACTGCTCTATGAACAGAAAGGTTAAACTATGTGAGTTGAACGAACGCATCACAACGCAGTTTGTGGGAATGATTCTGTCTAGTTTTTATAGGAAGATATTTCCTTTTCTACCTTTGACTTCAAAGCGGCTGAAGTCTCCACTTGCAAATTCCACAAAAAGAGTGTTACAAGTCTGCTCTGTGTAAAGGATCGTTCAACTCTGTGAGTTGAATACACACAACACAAGGAAGTTACTGAGAATTCTTCTGTCTACCCTTACATGAAAAAAACCCGTTTCCAACGAAGGCCTCTAAGTGGTCAAAATATCCACGTGCAGACTTTACAAACAGAGTGTTTCCAAACTGCTGAATGAAAACAAAAGTTAAACTCTGAGAGTTGAACGTACACATCACAGAGCATTTTCTGAGAATGATTCTGTCTAGTTTCGAAACGAAGATATTTCCTTTTCTGCTTTGGCCTCAAAGCGCTTGAAATCTCCACTTGCAAATTCCACAAAAAGAGTGTTTCAAATCTGCTCTGTGTAAATGAAAGTTCAACTCTGTGAGTTGAACACACACAACACAAGGAAGTTACTGGGAATTCTTCTGTCTAGCATAATATGAAGAAATCCCGTTTCCAACGAAGGCCTGAAAGGGGTCTGAATATCCACTTGCAGACTTTATAAACAGAGTGTTTACTAACTGCTCTAGGAAAAGAAAGGTTAAACTCTGTGAGTTGAACACACACATCACAAAGGAGTTTCTGAGAATCATTCTGTCTAGTCTTTATAGGAAGATATTTACTTTTCTACCATTGACCTCAAAGCGGCTGAAATCTCCACTTGCAAATTCCACAAAAAGAGTGTTTCAAGTCTGCTCTGTGTAAAGGATCATTCAACTCTGTGAGTTGAATAAACACAACACAAGGAAAGTTACTGAGAATTCTTCTGTCTAGCAGAATATGAAGAAATCCCTTTTCCAAAGAAGGCCACAAGATGTCAGAATATCTACTTACAGACTTTACAAACAGAGTTTTTCCTAACTGCTCTATGAACAGAAAGGTTAAACTCTGTGAGTTGAACGAACACATCACAACGCAGTTTGTGGGAATGATTTTGTCTAGTTTTGAAACGAAGATATTTCCTTTTCTGCCATTGACCTCAAAGCGCTTGAAATCTCCACTTGCCAATTGCACAAAAAGAGTGTTTCAAATCTGCTCTGTCTAAGGAAACGTTCAACTCTGTGAGTTGAATGTACACAACACAAGGAAGTTACTGGGAATTCTTCTGTCTAGCCTTACATGAAAAAAACCCGTTTCCAACGAAGGCCTCTAAGTGGTCAAATTATCCACGTGCAGACTTTACAAACAGAGTGTTTCCAAACTGCTGAATGAAAAGAAAAGTTAAATTCTGAGAGTTGAACGCACACATCGCAGAGCAGTTTCTGAGAATGATTCTGTCTAGTTTTTATACGAAGATATTTCCTTTTCTGCCTTTGGCCCCAAAGCGCTTGAAATCTCCACTTGCAAATTCCACAAAAACAGTGTTACAAATCTGCTCTCTCTAAATGAAAGTTCAACTCTGTCAGTTGAAAACACACAACACAATGAAGTTACTGAGAATTCTTGTGTCTAGCATAATATGAAGAAATCCCGTTTCCAACGAAGGCCTCAAGGAGGTCTGAATATCCACTTGCACACATTACAAACAGAGTGTTTCCTAACTGCTCTATGAAAAGAAAGGTTAAACTCTGTGAGTTGAACGCACACATCACAAAGGAGTTTCTCAGAATCATTCTGTCTAGTTTCTATAGGAAGATATTTCCTATTCTACCATTGACCTCAAAGCGGCTGAAATCTCCACTTGCAAATTCCACAAAAAGAGTGTTTCAAGTCTGCTCTGTGTAAAGGATCCTTCAACTCTGTGAGTTGAATACACACAACACAAGGAAGTTACTGAGAATTCTTTTGTCTAGCATAATATGAAGAAATCCCGTTTCCAACGAAGGCCTCAAAGAGGTCTGAATATCCACTTGCAGACTTTACAAACAGAGTGTTTCCTAACTGCTCTATGAACAGAAAGGTTAAACTCTGTGAGTTGAACGAATACATCACAACGCAGTTTGTGGGAATGATTCTGTCTAGTTTTGAAACGAAGATATTTCCTTTTCTGCCATTGACCTTAAATCACTTGAAATCTACACTTGCAATTTGCACAAATATAGTGTTTCAAATCTGCTCTGTCTAAGGGAACGTTCAACTCTGTGAGTTGAATGCACACTACACAAGGAAGTTACTGGGAATTCTTCTGTCTAGCCTTACATGAAAAAAACCCGTTTCCAACGAAGGCCTCTAAGCGGTCAAATTATGCACGTGCAGACTTTACAAACAGAGTGTTTCCAAACTGCTGAATGAAAAGAAAAGTTAAACTCTGAGAGTTGAACGCACACATCGCAGAGCAGTTTCTCAGCATGATTCTGTCTAGTTTTTATACGAAGATATTTCCTTTTCTGCCTTTGGCCTCAAAGCGCTTGAAATCTCCACTTGCAAATTCCACAAAAAGAGTGTTTCAAATCTGCTCTGTGTAAATGAAAGTTCAACTCTGTGAGTTGAACACACACAGCACAAGGAAGTTACTGGGAATTCTTCTGTCTAGCAGAATATGAAGAAATCCCGTTTCCAACGAAGGCCTCAAAGAGGTCTGAATATCCACTTGCAGACTTTACAAACAGAGTGTTTCCCAACTGCTCTATGAAAAGAAAGGTTAAACTCTGTGAGTTGAACGCACACATCACAAAGGAGTTTCTGAGAATCATTCTGTCTAGTTTCTATAGGAAGATATTTCCTATTCTACCATTGACCTCAAAGCGGCTGAAATCTCCACTTGCAAATTCCGCAAGAAGAGTGTTTCAAGTCTGCTCTGTGTAAAGGATCGTTCAACTCTGTGAGTTGAATACACACAACACAAGGAAATTACTGAGAATTCTTCTGTCTAGCACAGTATGAAGAAATCCCGTTTCCAACGAAGGCCTCAAAGAGGTCTGAATATCCACTTGCAGAGTTTACAAACAGTGTTTCCTAACTGCTCTATGAAAAGAAAGGTTAAACTCTGTGAGTTGAACGCACACATCACAATGAAGTTTCTGAGAATTATTCTGTCTAGTTTTTAAACGAAGATATTTCCTTTTCTACCATTGACCTCAATGCGGCTGAAATCTCCACTTGCAAATTACACAAAAAGAGTGTTTCAAGTCTACTCTGTGTAAAGCATCGTTCAACTCTGTGAGTTGAAAACACACAACACAAGGAAGTTTCTGAGAATTCTTCTTTCTAGCATAATATGAAGAAATCCCGTTTCCAACGAAGGCCACAAGATGTCAGAATATCCACTTACAGACTTTACAAACAGAGTGTTTCCTAACTGCTCTATGAACAGAAAGGTTAAACTCTGTGAGTTGAACCGAACACATCACAACGCAGTTTGTGGGAATGATTCTGTCTAGTTTTGAAACGAAGATATTTCCTTTTCTGCCATTGACCTTAAAGCGCTTGAAATCTACACTTGCAAATTGCACAAATAGAGTGTTTCAAATCTGCTCTGTCTAAGGGAACGTTCAACTCTGTGAGTGGAATGCACACAACACAAGGAAGTTACTGGGAATTCTTCTGTCTAGCCTTACATGAAAAAAACCCGTTTCCAACGAAGGCCTCTAAGTGGTCAAAATATCCACGTGCAGACTTTACAAACAGAGTGTTTCCAAACCGCTGAATGAAAAGAAAAGTTAAACTCTGAGAGTTGAACGCATACATCACGCAGCAGTTTCTGAGAATGATTCTGTGTAGTTTTCAAACGAAGATATTTCCTTTTCTGCCTTTGGCCTCAAAGCGCTTGAAATCTCCACTTGCAAATTCCACAAAAAGAGTGTTTCAAATCTGCTCTGTGTAAATGAAAGTTCAACTCTGTGAGTTGAACACACACAACACAAGGAAGTTACTGGGAATTCTTCTGTCTAGCATAATATGAAGAAATCCCGTTTCCAACGAAGGCCTCAAAGAGGTCTGAATATACACTTGCAGACTTTACAAACAGAGTGTTTCCTAACTGCTCTATGAAAAGAAAAGTTAAACTCTGTGAGGTGAACGCACACATCACAAAGGAGTTTCTGAGAATCATTCTGTCTAGTTTTTATAGGAAGTTATTTCCTTTTCTACCTTTGACTTCAAAGTGGCTGAAATCTCCACTTGCAAATTCCACAAAAAGAGTGTTACAAGTCTGTTCTGTGTAAAGGATCGTTCAACTCTGTGAGTTGAATACACACAACACAAGGAAGTTACTGAGAATTCTTCTGTCTAGCAGAATATGAAGAAATCCCGTTTCAAACGAAGGCCACAAGATGTCAGAATATCCACTTTCAGACTTTACAAACAGAGTGTTTCCTAACTGCTCTATGAACAGAAAAGTTAAACTCTGTGAGTTGAACGAACACATCACAACGCAGTTTGTGGGAATGATTCTGTCTAGTTTTGAAACGAAGATATTTCCTTTTCTGCCATTGACCTTAAAGCGCTTGAAATCTACACTTGCAAATTCACAAATAGAGTGTTTCAAATCTGCTCTGTCTAAGGGAACGTTCAACACTGTGAGTTGAATGCACACAACACAAGGAAGTTACTGGGAATTCTTCTGTCTAGCCTTACATGAAAAAAACGCGTTTCCAACGAAAGCCTCTAAGTGGTCAAAATATCCACGTGCAGACTTACAAACAGAGTGTTTCCAAACCGCTGAATGAAAAGAAAAGTTAAACTCTGAGAGTTGAACGCACACATCACGCAGCAGTTTCTGAGAATGATTCTGTCTAGTTTTTATACGAAGATATTTCCTTTTCTGCCTTTGGCCCCAAAGCGCTTGAAATCTCCACTTGCAAACTCCACAAAAACAGTGTTTCAAATCTGCTCTCTCTAAATGAAAGTTCAACTCTGTCAGTTGAATACACACAACACAAGGAAGTTACTGAGAATTCTTCTGTCTAGCAGAATATGAAGAAATCCCGTTTCCAACGAAGGCCTCAAGGAGGTCTGAATATCCACTTGCAGACTTTACAAACAGAGTGTTTCCTAACACCTCTATGAACAGAAAGGTTAAACTCTGTGAGTTGAACGCACACATCACAAAGGAGTTTCTGAGAATCATTCTGTCTAGTTTTTATACGAAGATATTTCCTTTTCTACCATGGACTTCAAAGCGGCTGAAATCTCCACTTGCAAATTCCACAAAAAGAGTGTTTCAAGTCTGCTCTGTGTAAAGGATCGTTCAACTCTGTGAGTTGAATACACACAACACAAGGAAGATTCTGAGAATTCTTCTGTCTAGCAGAATATGAAGAAATCCCGTTTCCAACGAAGGCCACAAGATGTCAGAATATCCACTTACAGAATTGACAAACAGACTGTTTCCTAACTGCTCTATGAAAAGAAAGGTTCAACTCTGTGAGTTGAACGAACACATCACAACGCAGTTTGTGGGAATGATTCTGTCTAGTTTTGAAACGAAGATATTTCCTTTTCTGCCATTGACCTTAAAGCGCTTGAAATCTCCATTAGCCAATTGCACAAAAAGAGTGTTTCAAATCTGCTCTGTCTAAGGGAACGTTCAACTCTGTGAGTTGAATGTACACAACACAAGGAAGTTACTGGGAATTCTTCTGTCTAGCCTTACAGGAAAAAAACCCGTTTCCAACGAAGGCCTCTAAGTGGTCAAAATATCCACGTGCAGACTTTACAAACAGAGTGTTTCCAAACTGCTGAATGAAAAGAAAAGTTAAACTCTGAGAGTTGAACGCACACATCGCAGAGCAGTTTTTGAGAATGATTCTGTCTAGTTTTTATACGAAGATATTTCCTTTTCTGCCTTTGGCCTCAAAGCGCTTGAAATCTCCATTTGCAAATTCCACAAAAAGAGTGTTTCAAATCTGCTCTGTGTAAACGAAAGTTCAACTGTGTGAGTTGAACACACACAACACAAGGAAGTTACTGGGAATTCTTCTGTCTAGCATAATATGAAGAAATCCCGTTTCCAACGAAGGCCTCAAAGGGGTCTGAATATCCACTTGCAGACTTTATAAACAGAGTGTTTACTAACTGCTCTATGAAAAGAAAGGTTAAACTCTGTGAGTTGAACACACACATGACAAAGGAGTTTCTGAGAATCATTCTGTCTAGTTTTTCTACGAAGTTATTTCCTTTTCTACTATTGACCTCAAAGCGGCTGAAATCTCCAGTTGCAAATTCCACAAAAAGAGTGTTTCAAGTCTGCTCTGTGTAAAGGATCGTTCATCTCTGTGAGTTGAATACACACAACACAAGGAAGTTACTGAGAATTCTTCTGTCTAGTTTTGAAACGAAGATATTTCCTTTTCTGCCGTTGACCTTAAAGCGCTTGAAATCTACACTTGCAAATTGCACAAATAGAGTGTTTCCTATCTGCTCTGCCTAAGGGAACGTTCAACTCTGTGAGTTGAATGCACACAACACAAGGAAGTTACTGGGAATTCTTCTGTCTAGCCTTACAGGAAAAAAACCCGTTTCCAACGAAGGCCTCTAAGTGGTCAAAATATCCACCTGCAGACTTTACAAAGAGAGTGTTTCCAAACTGCTGAATGAAAAGAAAAGTTAAACTCTGAGACTTGAACGCACACATCGCAGAGCAGTTTCTGAGAATGATTCTGTCTAGTTTTTATACGAAGCATATTTCCATTTCTGCCTTTGGCCTCAAAGCGCTTGAAATCTCCATTTGCAAAGTCCACAAAAAGAGTGTTTCAAATCTGCTCTGTGTAACTGAAAGTTCAACTCTGTGAGTTGAACACACACAACACAAGGAAAGTTACTGGGAATTCTTCTGTCTAGCCTTATATGAAAAAAACCCGTTTCCAACGAAGTCCTCAAAGAGGTCTGAATATCCACTTGCAGAGTTTACAAACAGAGTGTTTCCTAACTGCTCTATGAAAAGAAAGGTTAAACTCTGTGAGTTGAACACACACATCACAAAGAAGTTTCTGAGAATCATTCTGTCTAGTTTTTATAGGAAGATATTTCCTTTTCTACATTTGACTTCAAAGCGGCTGAAATCTCCACTTGCAAATTCCACAAAAAGAGTGTTACAAGTCTGCTCTGTGTAAAGGATCGTTCAACTCTGTGAGTTGAATACACACAACACAAGGAAGTTACTGAGAATTCTTCTGTCTAGGAGAATGTGAAGAAATCCCGTTTCCAACGAAGGCCACAAGATGTCAGAATATCCACTTACAGAATTGACAAACAGACTGTTTCCTAACTGCTCTATGAAAAGAAAGGTTAAACTCTGTGAGTTGAACGAACACATCACAACGCAGTTTGTGGGAATGATTCTGTCTAGTTTTGAAACGAAGATATTTCCTTTTTCTGCCGTTGACCTTAAAGCGCTTGAAATCTACACTTGCAAATTGCACAAATAGAGTGTTTCAAATCTGCTCTGTCTAAGGGAACGTTCAACTCTGTGAGTTGAATGCACACAACACAAGGAAGTTACTGGGAATTCTTCTGTCTAGCCTTACATGCAAAAAACCCGTTTCCAACGAAGGCCCCTAAGTGGTCAAAATATCCACGTGCAGACTTTACAAACAGAGTGTTTCCAAACGGCTGAATGAAAAGAAAAGTTAAACTCTGAGAGTTGAACGCACACATCACGCAGCAGTTTCTGAGAATGATTCTGTCTAGTTTTTATACGAAGATATTTCCTTTTCTGCCTTTGGCCCCAAAGCGCTTGAAATCTCCACTTGCAACTTCCACAAAAACAGTGTTTCAAATCTGCTCTCTCTAAATGAAAGTTCAACTCTTTCAGTTGAATACACACAACACAAGGAAGTTACTGAGAATTCTTCTGTCGAGCCTTATATGAAAAAAACCCGTTTCCAACGAAGGCCTCAAAGAGGTCTGAATATCCACTTGCAGACTTTACAAACAGAGTGTTTCCTAACTGCTCTATGAAAAGAAAGGTTAAACTCTGTGAGTTGAACGCACACATCACAAAGGAGTTTCTGAGAATCATTCTGTCTAGTCTTTATACGAAGATAGTTTCCTTTTCAACCATTGACCTCAAAGCGGCTGAAATCTCCACTTACAAATTCCACAAAAAGAGTGTTTCAAGTCTGCTCTCTGTAAAGGATCGTTCAACTCTGTGAGTTGAATACACACAACACAAGGAAGTTACTGAGAATTCTTCTGTCTAGCATAATATGAAGAAATCCCGTTTCCACCGAAGGAATCAAGGAGGTCTGAATATCCACTTGCAGACTTTACAAACAGAGTGTTTCCTAACTGCTCTATGAACAGAAAGGTTAAACTCTGTGAGTTGAACGCACACATCACAAAGGAGTTTCTGAGAATCATTCTGTCTAGTTTCTATAAGAAGGTATTTCCTATTCTACCATTGACCTCAAAGCGGCTGAAATCTCCACTTGCAAATTCCACAAAAAGAGTGTTTCAAGCCTGCTCTCTGTAAAGGATCCTTCAACTCTGTGAGTTGAATACACACAACACAAGGAAGTTACTGAGAATTATTCTGTCTAGCATAATATGAAGAAATCCCGTTTCCAACGAAGGCCTCAAAGAAGTCTGAATATCCACTTGCACACTTTACAAACAGAATGTTTCCTAACTGCTCTATGAGAAGAAAAGTTAAACTCTGTGAGTTGAACGCACACATCACAAAAGATTTTCTGAGAATCATTCTGTCTAGTTTTGAAACGAAGAAATTTCCTTTTCTGCCATTGACCTTAAAGCGCTTGAAATCTACACTTGCAAATTGCACAAATAGAGTGTTTCAAATCTGCTCTGTCTAAGGGAACGTTCAACTCTGTGAGTTGAATGCACACAACACAAGGAAGTTACTGGGAATTCTTCTGTCTAGCCTTACATGAAAAAAACCCGTTTCCAACAAAGGCCTCTAAGTGGTCAAAATATCCACGTGCAGACTTTACAAACAGAGTGTTTCCAAACCGCTGAATGAAAAGAAAAGTTAAACTCTGAGAGTTGAACGCACACATCACGCAGCAGTTTCTGAGAATGATTCTGTCTAGTTTTTATACGAAGATATTTCCTTTTCTGCCTTTGGCCCCAAAGCGCTTGAAATCTCCACTTGCAAATTCCACAAAAACAGTGTTTCAAATCTGCTCTCTCTAAATGAAAGTTCAACTCTGTCAGTTGAATACACACAACACAAGGAAGTTACTGAGAATTGCTCTGTCTAGCCTTATATGAAAAAAACCCGTTTCCAACGAAGAGCCTCAAAGAGGTCTGAATATCCACTTGCAGACTTTACAAACAGAGTGTTTCCTAACTGCTCTATGAAAAGAAAGGTTAAACTCTGTGAGTTGAACGCACACATCACAAAGGAGTTTCTGAGAATCATTCTGTCTAGTTTTTATACGAAGATATTTCCTTTTCTGCCATTGACCTCAAAGCGGCTGAAATCTCCACTTGCAAATTCCACAAAAAGAGTGTTTCTAATGTGCTCTGTGTAAAGGATCATTCAACTCTGTGAGTTGAATGCACACAACACAAGGAAGTTACTGAGAATTCTTCTGTCTAGCAGAATATGAAGAAATCCCGTTTCCAACGAAGGCCACAAGATGTCAGAATATCCACTTACAGACTTTACAATCAGAGTGTTTCCTAACTGCTCTATGAACAGAAAGGTTAAACTCTGTGAGTTGAACGAACACATCACAACGCAGTTTGTGGGAATGATTCTGTCTAGTTTTTATACGAAGATATTTCCTTTTCTACCATTGACCTCAAAGCGGCTGAAATCACCACTTGCCAATTGCACAAAAAGAGTGTTTCAAATCTGCTCTGTCTAAGGGAACGTTCAACTCTGTGAGTGGAATGTACACAACGCAAGGAAGTTACTGGGAATTCTTCTGTCTAGCCTTACATGAAAAAAACCCGTTTCCAACGAAGGCCTCTAAGTGGTCAAAATTTCCACGTGCAGACTTTACAAACAGAGTGTTTCCAAACCGCTGAATGTAAAGAAAAGTTAAACTCTGAGAGTTGAACGCACACATCACGCAGCAGTTTCTGAGAATGATTCTGTCTAGTTTTTATACGAAGATATTTCCTTTTCTGCCTTTGGCCTGAAAGCGCTTGAAATCTCCATTTGCAAATTCCACAAAAAGAGTGTTTCAAATCTGCTCTGTGTAAATGAAAGTTCAACTCTGTGAGTTGAACACACACAACACAAGGAAGTTACTGGGAATTCTTCTGTCTAGCATAATATGAAGAAATCCCGTTTCCAACGAAGGCCTCAAGGAGGTCTGAATATCCACTTGCACACTTTACAAACAGAGTGTTTCCTAACTGCTCTATGAAAAGAAAGGTTAAACTCTGTGAGTTGAACGCACACATCACAAAGGAGTTTCTCAGAATCATTCTGTCTAGTTTCTATAGGAAGATATTTCCTATTCTACCATTGACCTCAAAGCGGCTGAAATCTCCACTTGCAAATTCCACAAAAAGAATGTTTCAAGTCTGCTCTGTGTAAAGGATCGTTCAACTCTGGGAGTTGAATACACACAACACAAGGAAGTTACTGAGAATTATTCTGTCTAGCAGAATATGAAAAAATCCCGTTTCCACTGAAGGCCACAAGATGTCAGAATATCCACTTACAGAATTTACCAACAGAGTGTTTCCTAACTGCTCTATGAAAAGAAAGGTTAAACTCTGTGAGTTGAACGAACACATCACAACGCAGTTTGTGGGAATGATTCTGTCTAGTTTTGAAACGAAGATATTTCCTTTTCTGCCATTGACCTTAAAGCGCTTGAAATCTACACTTGCAAATTGCACAAATGGAGTGTTTCAAATCTGCTCTGTCTAAGGGAACGTTCAACTCTGTGAGTTGAATGCACACAACACAAGGAAGTTACTGGGAATTCTTCTGTCTAGCCTTACATGAAGAAAACCCGTTTCCAACGAAGGCCTCTAAGTGGTCATAATATCCACGTGCAGACTTTACAAACAGAGTGTTTCCAAACCGCTGAATGAAAAGAAAAGTTAAACTCTGAGAGTTGAACGCACACATCACGCAGCAGTTTCTGAGAATGATTCTGTCCAGTTTTTATACGAAGATATTTCCTTTTCTGCCTTTGGCCCCAAAGCGCTTGAAATCTCCACTTGCAAATTCCACAAAAACAGTGTTTCAAATCTGCTCTCTCTAAATGAAAGTTCAACTCTGTCAGTTGAATACACACAACACAAGAAAGTTACTGAGAATTCTTCTGTCTAACATAATATGAAGAAATCCCGTTTCCAACGAAGGCCTCAAAGATGTCTGAATATCCACTTGCAGACTTTACAAACAGAGTGTTTCCTAACTGCTCTATGAAAAGAAAGGTTAAACTCTGTGAGTTGAACGCACACATCACAAAGGAGTTTCTGAGAATCATTCTGTCAAATTTCTATTGGAAGATATTTCCTTTTCAACCATTGACCTCAAAGCGGCTGAAATCTCCACTTGCAAATTCCACAAAAACAGTGTTTCAAGTCTGCTCTGTGTAAAGGATCGTTCAACTCTGTGATTGGAATACACACAACACAAGGAAGTTATTGAGAATTCTTCTGTGTAGCATAATATGAAGAAATCCCGTTTCCAACGAAGGCCTCAAGGATGTCAGAATATCCACTTGCAAACTTTACAAACAGAGTGTTTCCTAACTGCTCTGTGAAAAGAAAGGTTAAACTCTGTGAGTTGAACGCACACATCACAAAGGAGTTTCTGAGAATCATTCTGTCTAGTTTCTATACGAAGATATTTCATTTTCTACCATTAACCTCAAAGAGGCTGAAATCTCCGCTTGCAAACTCCACAAAAAGAGTGTTTCAAGTCTGCCCTGTGTAAAGGATCGTTCAACTCTGTGAGTTCAATGCACACAACACAAGGAAGTTACTGAGAATTCTTCTGTCTAGCAGAATATGAAGAAATCCCGTTTCCAACGAAGGCCTCAAAGAGGTCTGAATATCCACTTGCAGACTTTACAAACAGAGTGTTTCCTAACTGCTCTATGAAAAGAAAGGATAAACTCTGTGAGTTGAACTCACACATCACAAAGGAGTTTCTGAGAATCATTCTGTCTAGTTTTGAAACGAAGATATTTCCTTTTCTGCCGTTGACCTTAAAGAGCTTGAAAACTACACTTGCAAATTGCACAAATAGAGTGTTTCAAATCTGCTCTGTCTAAGGGAACGTTCAACTCTGTGAGTTGAATGCACACAACACAAGGGAAGTTACTGGGAATTCTTCTGTCTAGCCTTACATGAAAAAAACCCGTTTCCAACGAAGGCCTCTAAGTGGTCAAATTATCCACGTGCAGACTTTACAAACAGAGTGTTTCCAAACTGCTGAATGAGAAGAAAAGTTAAACTCTGAGAGTTGAACGGCACACATCGCAGAGCAGTTTCTGAGAATGATTCTGTCTAGTTTTTATACGAAGATATTTCCTTTTCTGCCTTTGGCCCCAAAGCGCTTGAAATCTCCACTTGCAAATTCCACAAAAACAGAGTTTCAAATCTGCTCTCTCTAAATGAAAGTTCAACTATGTCAGTTGAATACACACAACACAAGGAAGTTACTGAGAATTCTTCTGTCTAGCCTTATATGAAAAAAACCCGTTTCCAACGAAGGCCTCAAAGAGGTCTGAATATCCACATGCAGACTTTACAAACAGAGTGTTTCCTAACTGCTCTATGAAAAGAAAGGTTAAACTCTGTGAGTTGAACGCACACATCACAAAGGAGTTTCTGAGAATCATTCTGTCTAGTCTTTATACGAAGATATTTCCTTTTCTACCATTGACCCCAAAGCGGCTGAAATCTCCGCTTGCAAATTCCACAAAAAGAGTGTTTCAAGTCTGCTCTGTGTAAAGGATCGTTCAATTCTGTGAGTTGAATACACACAACACAAGGAAGTTACTGAGAATTCTTCTGTCTAGCAGAATATGAAGAAATCCCGTTTCCAACGAAGGCCACAAGCATGTCAGAATATCCACTTACAGACTTTACAAACAGAGTGTTTCCTAACTGCTCTATGAACAGAAAGGTTAAACTCTGTGAGTTGAACGCACACATCACAAAGGGGTTTCTGAGAATCATTCTGTCTAGTTTTGAAACGAAGATATTTCCTTTTCTGCCATTGACATTAAAGCGCTTGAAATCTACACTTGCAAATTGCACAAATAGAGTGTTTCAAATCTGCTCTGTCTAAGGGAACGTTCAACTCTGTGAGTTGAATGCACACAACACAAGGAAGTTACTGGGAATTCTTCTGTCTAGCCTTACATGAAAAAATCCCGTTTCCAACGAAGGCCTCTAAGTGATCAAAATATCCACGTGCAGACTTTACAAACAGAGTGTTTCCAAACCGCTGAATGAAAAGAAAAGTTAAACTCTGAGAGTTGAACGCACACATCACACAGCAGTTTCTGAGAATGATTCTGTCTAGTTTTTATACGAAGATATTTCCTTTTCTGCCTTTGGCCCCAAAGCGTTTGAAATCTCCACTTGCAAATTCCACAAAAACAGTATTTCAAATCTGCTCTCTCAAAATGAAAGTTCAACTCTGTCAGTTGAATACACACAACACAAGGAAGTTACTGAGAATTCTTCTGTCTAGCATAATATGAAGAAATCCCGTTTCCAACGAAGGCCTCAAAGGGGTCTGAATATCCACTTGCAGACTTTATAAATAGAGTGTTTACTAACTGCTCTATGAAAAGAAAGGTTAAACTCTGTGAGTTGAACACACACATCACAAAGGAGTTTCTGAGAATCATTCTGTCTAGTTTTTATACGAAGATATTTCCTATTCTACCATTGACCTCAAAGCGGCTGAAATCTCCAGTTGCAAATTCCACAGGAAGAGTGTTTCAAGTATGCTCTGTGTAAAGGATCGTTCAACTCTGTGAGTTGAATACACACAGCACAAGGAAGTTACTGAGAATTCTTCTGTCTAGGAGAATATGAAGAAATCCCATTTCCAACGAAGGCCACAAAATGTCAGAATATCCACTTACAGACTTTACAAACAGAGTGTTTCCTAACTGCTCTATGAACAGAAAGGTTAAACTCTGTGAGTTGAACGAACACATCACAACGCAGTTTGTGGGAATGATTCTGTCTAGTTTTGAAACGAAGATATTTCCTTTTCTGCCATTGACCTTAAAGAGCTTGAAATCTACACTTGCAAATTGCACAAATAGAGTGTTTCAAATCTGCTCTGTCTAAGGGAACGTTCAACTCTGTGAGTGGAATGCACACAACACAAGGAAGTTACTGGGAATTCTTCTGTCTAGCCTTACATGAAAAAAACCCGTTTCCAACGAAGGCCTCTAAGTGGTCAAAATATCCACGTGCAGACTTTACAAACAGAGTGTTTCCAAACCGCTGAATGAAAAGGAAAGTTAAACTCTGAGGGTTGAACACACACATCACGCAGCAGTTTCTGAGAATGATTCTGTCTAGTTTTTATACGAAGATATTTCCTTTTCTGCCTTTGGCCTCAAAGTGCTTGAAATCTCCACATGCAAACTCCACAAAAAGAGTGTTTCAAATCTGCTCTGTGTAAATGAAAGTTCAACTCTGTGAGTTGAACACACACAACACAAGGAAGTTACTGGGAATTCTTCTGTCTAGCAGAATATGAAGAAATCCCGTTTCCAACGAAGGCCTCAAAGAGGTCTGAATATCCACTTGCAGACATTACAAACAGAGTGTTTCCTAACTGCTTTATGAAAAGAAAGGTTAAACTCTGTGAGTTGAACGCACACATTATAAAGGAGATTCTGAGAATCATTCTGTCTAGTTTTTATAAGAAGATATTTCCTTTTCTACCATTGACCTCAACGCGGCTGAAATCTCCACTTGCAAATTCCACAAAAAGAGTGTTTCAAGTCCGCTCTGTGTAAAGGATCGTTCAACTCTGTGAGTTGAATACACACAACACAAGGAAGTTACTGAGAAGTCTTCTGTCTAGCATAGTATGAAGAAATCCCGTTTCCAACGAAGGCCTCAAAGAGGTCTGAATATCCACTTGCAGAGTTTACAAACAGAGTGTTTCCTAACTGCTCCATGAAAAGAAAGGTTAAACTCTGTGAGTTGAACGCACACATCACAAAGAAGTTTCTGAGAATCATTCTGTCTAGTTTTTCTACGAAGATATTTCCTATTCTACCATTGACCCCAAAGCGGCTGAAATCTCCACTTGCAAATTCCACAAAAAGAATGTTTCAAGTCTGCTCAGTGTAAAGGATCGTTCAACTCTGTGAGTTGAATACACACAACACAAGGAAGTTACTGAGAATTCTTCTGTCTAGCAGAATATGAAGAAATCCCGTTTCCAACGAAGGCCACAAGATGTCAGAATATCCACTTACAGAATTTACAAACAGACTGTTTCCTAACTGCTCTATGAAAAGAAAGGTTAAACTCTGTGAGATGAACGAACACATCACAACGCAGTTTGTGAGAATGATTCTGTCTAGTTTTGAAACGAAGATATTTCCTTTTCTGCCGTTGACCTTAAAGAGCTTGAAAACTACACTTGCAAATTGCACAAATAGAGTGTTTCAAATCTGCTCTGTCTAAGGGAACGTTCAACTCTGTGAGTTGAATGCACACAACACAAGGGAAGTTACTGGGAATTCTTCTGTCTAGCCTTACAGGAAAAAAACCCGTTTCCAACGAAGGCCTCTAAGTGGTCAAAATATACACGTGCAGACTTTACAAACAGAGTGTTTTCAAACTGCTGAATGAAAAGAAAAGTTAAACTCTGAGAGTTGAACGCACACATCGCAGAGCAGTTTCTGAGAATGATTCTGTCTAGTTTTGAAACGAAGATATTTCCTTTTCTGCCTTTGGCCTCAAATCGCTTGAAATCTCCACTTGCAAATTCCACAAAAAGAGTGTTTCAAATCTGCTCTGTGTAAATGAAAGTTCAACTCTGTGAGTTGAACACACACAACACAAGGAAGTTACTGGGAATTCTTCTTTCTAGCAGAATATGAAGAAATCCCGTTTCCAACGAAAGCCTCAAGGAGGTCTGAATATCCACTTGCAGACTTTACAAACAGAGTGTTTCCTAACTGCTCTATGAAAAGAAAGGTTAAACTCTGTGAGTTGAACGCACACATCACAAAGGAGTTTCTGAGAATCATTCTGTCTAGTTTCTATAGGAAGATATTTCCTATTCTACCATTGACCTCAAAGCGGCTGATATCTCCATTTGCAAATTCCACAAAAAGAGTGTTTCAAGTCTGCTCTGTGTAAAGGATCGTTCAACTCTGTGAGTTGAATACACACAACACAAGGAAGTTACTGAGAATTCTTCTGTCTAGCAGAATATGAAGAAATCCCGTTTCCAACGAAGGCCACAAGATGTCAGAATATCCACTTACAGAATTTACAAACAGACTGTTTCCTAACTGCTCTATGAAAAGAAAGGTTAAACTCTGTGAGTTTACGGAACACCTCACAACGCAGTTTGTGGGAATGATTCTGTCTAGTTTTGAAACGAAGATATTTCCTTTTCTGCCATTGACCTTAAAGCGCTTGAAATCTACACTTGCAAATTGCACAAATAGAGTGTTTTAAATCTGCTCTGTCTAAGGGAACGCTCAAATCTGTGAGTTGAATGCACACAACACAAGGAAGTTACTGGGAATTCTTCTGTCTAACCTTACATGACAAAAACCCGCTTCCAACGAAGGCCTCTAAGTGGTCAAAATATCCACGTGCAGACTTTACAAACAGAGTGTTTCCAAACTGCTGAATGAAAAGAAAAGTTAAACTCTGAGCGCTGAAGGCACACATCGCAGAGCAGTTTCTGAGAATGATTCTGTCTAGTTTTTATACGAAGATATTTCCTTTTCTGCCTTCGGCCTCAAAGCGCTTGAAATCTCCACCTGCAAATTCCAGAAAAAGAGTGTTTCAAATCTGCTCTGTCTAAATGAAAGTTCAACTCTGTCAGTTGAATACACACAACAAAAGGAAGTTACTGAGAATTCTTCTCTCTAGCATAATATGAAGAAATCCCGTTTCCAACGAAGGCCTCAAAGAGGTCTGAATATCCACTTGCAGACTTTACAAACAGAGTGTTTCCTAACTGCTCTATGAAAAGAAAAGTTAAACTCTTTGAGTTGAACGCACACATCACAAAGGAGTTTCTGAGAATCATTCTGTCTAGTTTTCCTACGAAGATATTTCCTTTTCTACTATTGACCTCAAAGCGGCTGAAATCTCCACTTGCAAATTCCACAAAAAGAGTGTTTCAAGTCTGCTCTGTGTAAAGGATCGTTCAACTCTGTGAGTTGAATACACACAACACAAGGAAGTTACTGAGAATTCTTCTGTCTAGCAGAATATGAAGAAATCCCGTTTCCAACGAAGGCCACAAGATGTCAGAATATCCACTTACAGAATTTTCAAACAGACTGTTTCCTAACTGCTCTATGAAAAGAAAGGTTAAACTCTGTGAGATGAACGAACACATCACAACGCAGTTTTTGGGAATGATTCTGTCTAGTTTTGAAACGAAGATATTTCCTTTTCTGCCATTGACCTCAAAGCGCTTGAAATCTCCACTTGCCAATTGCACAAAAAGAGTGTTTCAAATCTGCTCTGTCTAAGGGAACGTTCAACTCTGTGAGTTGAATGTACACAACACAAGGAAGTTACTGGGAATTCTTCTGTCTAGCCTTACATAAAAAAACCCGTTTCCAACGAAGGCCTCTAAGTGGTCAAATTATCCACGTGCAGACTTTACAAACAGAGTGTTTCCAAACTGCTGAATGAAAAGAAAAGTTAAACTCTGAGAGTTGAACGCACACATCGCAGAGCAGTTTCTGAGAATGATTCTGTCTAGTTTTGAAACGAAGATATTTCCTTTTCTGCCTTTGGCCTCAAAGCGCTTGAAATCTCCACTTGCAAATTCCACAAAAAGAGTGTTTCAAATCTGCTCTGTGTAAATGGAAGTTCAACTCTGTGAGTTGAATACACACAACACAAGGAAGTTACTGAGAATTCTTCTGTCTAGCATAATATGAAGAAATCCCGTTTCCAACGAAGGCCTCAAAGAGGTCTGAATATCCACTTGCAGACTTTACAAACAGAGTGTTTCCTAACTGCTCTATGAAAAGAAAGGTTGAACTCTGTGAGTTGAACGCACACATCACAAAGGAGTTTCTGAGAATCATTCTGTCTAGTTTCTATAGGAAGATATTTCCTATTCTACCATTGACCTCAAAGCGGCTGAAATCTCCACTTGCAAATTCCACAAAAAGAGTGTTTCATGTCTGCTCTGTGTAAAGGATCGTTCAACTCTGTGAGTTGAATACACACAACACAAGGAAGTTACTGAGAATTCTTCAGTCTAGCAGAATATGAAGAAATCCCGTTTCCAACGAAGGCCTCAAGGAGGTCTGAATATCCACTTGCAGACTTTACAAACAGAGTGTTTCCTAACTGCTCTATGAAAAGAAAGGTTAAACTCTGTGAGTTGAACGCACACATCACAAAGGAGTTTATGAGAATCACTCTGTCTAGTTTCTATAGGAAGATATTTCCTATTCTACCATTGACCTCAAAGCGGCTGAAATCTCCACTTGCAAATTCCACAAAAAGAGTGTTTCAAGTCTGCTCTGTGTAAAGGATCGTTCAACTCTGTGACTTGAATACACACAACACAAGGAAGTTACTGAGAATTCTTCTTTCAAACAGAATATGAAGAAATCCCGTTTCCAACGAAAGCCTCAAGGATGTCTGAATATCCACTTGCAGACTTTACAAACAGAGTGTTTCCTAACTGCTCTATGAAAAGAAAGGTTAAACTCTGTGAGTTGAACGCACACATCACAAAGGAGATTCTGAGAATCATTCTGTCTAGTTTTGAAACGAAGATATTTCCTTTTCTGCCATTGACCTTAAAGCGCTTGAAATCTCCACTTGCCAATTGCACAAAAAGAGTGTTTCAAATCTGCTCTGTCTAAGGGGAACGTTCAACTCTGTGAGTTGAATGTACACAACACAAGGAAGTTACTGGGAATTCTTCTGTCTAGCCTTACATGCAAAAAACCCGTTTCCAACGAAGGCCTCTAAGTGGTCAAAATATCCACGTGCAGACTTTACAAACAGTGTGTTTCCAAACCGCTGAATGAAAAGAAAAGTTAAACTCTGAGAGTTGAACACACACATCACGCAGCAGTTTCTGAGAATGATTCTGTCTAGTTTTTATCCGAAGATATTTCCTTTTCTGCCTTTGGCCCCAAAGCGCTTGAAATCTCCACTTGCAAATTCCACAAAAACAGTGTTTCAAATCTGCTCTCTCTAAATGAAAGTTCAACTCTGTCAGTTGAATACACACAACACAAGGAAGTTACTGAGAATTCTTCTGTCTAGCCTTATATGAAAAAAACCCGTTTCCAACGAAGGCCTCAAAGAGGTCTGAATATCCACTTGCAGACTTTACAAACAGAGTGTTTCCTAACTGCTCTATGAAAAGAAAGGTTAAACTCTGTGAGTTGAAAGTACACATCACAAAGGAGTTTCTGAGAATCATTCTGTCTAGTTTCTATAGGAAGATATTTCCTATTCTACCATTGACCTCAAAGCGGCTGAAATCTCCACTTACAAATTCCACAAAAAGAGTGTTTCAAGTCTGCTCTGTGTAAAGGATCGTTCAACTCTGTGAGTTGAATACACACAACACAAGGAAGTTACTGAGAATTCTTCTGTCTAGCAGAATATGAAGAAATCCCGTTCCCAACGAAGGCCACCAGATGTCAGAATATCCACTTACAGACTTTACAAACAGAGTGTTTCCTAACTGCTCTATGAACAGAAAGGTTAAACTCTGTGAGTTGAACGAACACATCACAACGCAGTTTGTGGGAATGATTCTGTCTAGTTTTGAAACCAAGATATTTCCTTTTCTGCCGTTGACCTAAAAGAGCTTGAAAACTACACTTGCAAATTGCACAAATAGAGTGTTTCAAATCTGCTCTGTCTAAGGGAACGTTCAACTCTGTGAGTTGAATGCACACAACACAAGGAAGTTACTGGGAATTCTTCTGTCTAGCCTTACATGAAAAAAACCCGTTTCCAACGAAGGCCTCTAAGTGGTCAAAATATCCACGTGCAGACTTTACAAACAGAGTGTTTCCAAACTGCTGAATGAAAAGAAAATTTAAACTCTCAGAGTTGAACGCACACATGACAGAGCAGTTTCTGAGAATGATTCTGTCTAGTTTTTATACGAAGGTATTTCCTTTTCTGCCTTTGGCCTCAAAGCGCTTGAAATCTCCACTTGCAAATTCCACAAAAAGAGTGTTTCAAATCTGCTCTGTGTAAATCAAAGTTCAACTCTGTGAGTTGAACACACACAACACAAGGAAGTTACTGGGAATTCTTCTGTCTAGCATAATATGAAGAAATCCCGTTTCCAACGAAGGCCTCAAAGGGGTCTGAAAATCCACTTGCAGACTTTATAAACAGAGTGTTTACTAACTGCTCTATGAAAAGAAAGGTTAAACTCTGTGAGTTGAACACACACATCACAAAGGAGTTTCTGAGAATCATTCTGTCTAGTTTTTCTACGAAGTTATTTCCTTTTCTACTATTGACCTCAAAGCGGCTGAAATCTCCACTTGCAAATTCCACAAAAAGAGTGTTTCAAGTCTGCTCTCTGTAAAGGATCGTTCAACTCTGTGAGTTGAATACACACAACACAAGGAAGTTACTGAGAATTCTTCTGTCTAGCAGAATATGAAGAAATCCCGTTTCCAACGAAGGCCTCAAGGAGGTCTGAATATCCACTTGCAGACTTTACAAACAGAGTGTTTCCTAACTGCTCTATGAACAGAAAGTTTAAACTCTGTGAGTTGAACGAACACATCACAACGCAGTTTGTGGGAATGATTCTGTCTAGTTTTTATAGGAAGATATTTCCTTTTCTACTTTGACTTCAAAGCGGCTGAAATCTCCACTTGCAAATTCCACAAAAAGAGTGTTACAAGTCTGCTCTGTGTAAAGGATCGTTCAACTCTGTGAGTTGAATACACACAACACAAGGAAGTTACTGAGAACTCTTCTGTCTAGCCTTACATGAAAAAAACCCGTTTCCAACGAAGGCCTCTAAGTGGTAAAATTATCCACGTGCAGACTTTACAAACAGAGTGTTTCCAAACTGCTGAATGAAAAGAAAAGTTAAACTCTGAGAGTTGAACGCACACATCACAGAGCAGTTTCTGAGAATGATTCTGTCTAGTTTTTATACGAAGATATTTCCTTTTCTGCCTTTGGCCTCAAAGCGCTTGAAATCTCCATTTGCAAATTCCACAAAAAGAGTGTTTCAAATCTGCTCTGTGTAAATGAAAGCTCAACTCTGTGAGTTGAACACACACAACACAAGGAAGTTACTGGGAATTCTTCTGTCTAGCATAATAGGAAGAAATCCCGTTTCCAACGAAGGTCTCAAGGAGGTCTGAATATCCACTTGCAGACTTTACAAACAGAGTGTTTCCTAACTGCTCTATGAAAAGAAAGGTTAAACTCTGTGAGTTGAACGCACACATCACAAAGGAGTTTCTGAGAATCAATCTGTCTAGTTTCTACAGGAAGATATTTCCTATTCTACCATTGACCTCAAAGCGGCTGAAATCTCCACTTGCAAATTCCACAAAAGGAGTGTTTCAAGTCTGCTCTGTGTAAAGGATCGTTCAACTCTGTGAGTTGAATACACACAACACAAGGCAGTTACTGAGAATTCTTCTGTCTAGCAGAATATGAAGAGATCCCGTTTCCAACGAAGGCCACAATATGTCAGAATATCCACTTACAGACTTTACAAACAGAGTGTTTCCTAACTGCTCTATGAACAGAAAGGTTAAACTCTGTGAGTTGAACGAACACATCACAACGCAGTTTGTGGGAATGATTCTGTCTAGTTTTAAAACGAAGATATTTCCTTTTCTGCCGTTGACCTTAAAGCGCTTGAAATCTACACTTGCAAATTGCACAAATAGAGTGTTTCAAATCTGCTCTGTCTAAGGGAACGTTCAACTCTGTGAGTTGAATGCACACAACACAAGGAAGTTACTGGGAATTCTTCTGTCTAGCCTTACAAGAATAAAACCCGTTTCGAACGAAGGCCTCTAAGTGGTCAAAATATCCACGTGCAGACTTTACAAAGAGAGTGTTTCCAAACTGCTGAATGAAAAGAAAAATTAAACTCTGAGAGTTGAATGTACACATCGCAGAGCAGTTTCTGAGAATGATTCTGTCTAGTTTTGAAACGAAGATATTTTCCTTTTCTGCCTTTGGCCTCAAAGCGCTTGAAATCTCCACTTGCAAATTCCACAAAAAGAGTGTTTCAAATCTGCTCTGTGTAAATGAAAGTTCAACTCTGTGAGTTGAACACACACAACACAAGGAAGTTACTGGGAATTCTTCTGTCTAGCAGAATATGAAGAAATCCCGTTTCCAACGAAGGCCTCAAAGGGGTCTGAATATCCACTTGCAGATTTTACAAACAGAGTGTTTCCTAACTGCTCTATGAAAAGAAAGGTTAAACTCTGTGAGTTGAACGCACACATCACAAAGGAGTTTATGAGAATCATTCTGTCTAGTTTTTATACGAAGATATTTCCTTTTCTACCATTGACCTCAAAGCGGCTGAAATCTCCACATGCAAATTCCACAAAAAGAGTGTTTCAAGTCTGCTCTGTGTAAAGGATCGTTCAACTCTGTGAGTTGAATACACACAACACAAGGAAGTTACTGAGAATTCTTCGTGTCTAGCAGAATATGAAGAAATCCCGTTTCCAACGAAGGCCTCAAGGAGGTCTGAATATCCACTTGCATACTTTACAAAACAGAGTGTTTCCTAACTGCTCTATGAACAGAAAGGTTAAACTCTGTGAGTTGAACGAACACATCACAACGCAGTTTGTGGGAATGATTCTGTCTAGTTTTGAAACGAAGATATTTCCTTTTCTGCCATTGACCTTAAAGCGCTTGAAATCTCCATTTGCCAATTGCACAAAAAGAGTGTTTCAAATCTGCTCTGTCTAAGAGAACGTTCAACTCTGTGAGTTGAATGTACACAACACAAGGAAGTTACTGGGAATTCTTCTGTCTAGCCTTACATGAAAAAAACCCGTTTCCAACGAAGGCCTCTAAGTGGTCAAAATATCCACGTGCAGACTTTACAAACAGAGTGTTTCCAAACCGCTGAATGAAAAGAAAAGTTAAACTCTGAGAGTTGAACGCACCCATCACGCAGCAGTTTCTGAGAATGATTCTGTCTAGTTTTTATACGAAGATATTTCCTTTTCTGCCTTTGGCCCCAAAGCGCTTGAAATCTCCACTTGCAAATTCCACAAAAACAGTGTTTCAAATCTGCTCTCTCTAAATGAAAGTTCAACTCTGTCAGTTGAATAAACACAACACGAGGAAGTTACTGAGAATTCTTCTGTCTAGCATAATATGAAGAAATCCCGTTTCCAACGAAGGCCTCAAGGAGGTCTGAATATCCACTTGCAGACTTTATAAACAGAGTGTTTACTAACTGCTCTATGAAAAGAAAGGTTAAACTCTGTGAGTTGAACACACACATCACAAAGGAGTTTCTGAGAATCATTCTGTCTAGTCTTTATACGAAGATATTTCCTTTTCTACCACTGACCTCAAAGCGGCTGAAATCTCCACTTGCAAATTCCACAAAAAGAGTGTTTCAAGTCTGCTCTGTGTAAAGGATCGTTCAACTCTGCGAGTTGAATACACACAACACAAGGAAGTTACTGAGAATTCTTCTGTCTAGCAGAAAATGAAGAAATCCCGTTTCCAACGAAGGCCACAAGATGTCAGAATATCCACTTACAGACTTTACAAACAGAGTGTTTCCTAACTGCTCTATGAACAGAAAGGTTAAACTCTGTGAGTTGAACGAACACATCACAACGCAGTTTGTGGGAATGATTCTGTCTAGTTTTGAAACGAAGATATTTCCTTTTCTGCCATTGACCTCAAAGCGCTTGAAATCTCCACTTGCCAATTGCACAAAAAGAGTGTTTCAAATCTGCTCTGTCTAAGGGAACGTTCAACTCTGTGAGTTGAATGTACACAACACAAGGAAGTTACTGGGAATTCTTCTGTCTAGCAGAATATGAAGAAATCCCGTTTCCACTGAAGGCCACAAGATGTCAGAATATCCACTTACAGAATTTACCAACAGAGTGTTTCCTAACTGCTCTATGAAAAGAAAGGTTAAACTCTGTGAGTTGAACGAACACGTCACAACGCAGTTTGTGGGAATGATTCTGTCTAGTTTTTATACGAAGATATTTCCTTTTCTGCCTTTGGCCCCAAAGCGCTTGAAATCTCTACTTGCAAATTCCACAAAAACAGTGTTTCAAATCTGCTCTCTCTAAATGAAAGTTCAACTCTGTCAGTTGAATACACACAACACAAGGAAGTTACTGAGAATTATTCTGTCTAGCAGAATATTAAGAAATCCCGCTTCCAACGATGGCCTCAAAGAGGTCTAAATATCCCCTTGCAGACTTTACAAACAGAGTGTTTCCTAACTGCTCTATGAAAAGAAAGGTTAAACTCTGTGAGTGGAACGCACACATCACAAAGGGGTTTCTGAGAATCATTTTGTCTAGGTTCTATAAGAAGATATTTCCTATTCTACCATTGACCTCAAAGCGGCTGAAATCTCCACTTGCAAATTCGACAAAAAGAGTGTTTCAAGTCTGCTCTCTGTAAAGGATCCTTCAACTCTGTGAGTTGAATACACACAACACAAGGAAGTTACTGAGAATTATTCTGTCTAGCATAATATGAAGAAATCCCTTTTCCAAAGAAGGCCTCAAGGAGGTCTGAATATCCACTTGCACACTTTACAAACAGAGTGTTTCCTAACTGCTCTATGAAAAGAAAAGTTAAACTCTGTGAGTTGAACGCACACATCACAAAGGAGTTTCTGAGAATCATTCTGTCTAGTTTTGAAACGAAGATATTTCCTTTTCTGCCATTGACCTTAAAGCGCTGGAAATCTACACTTGCAAATAGCACAAATAGAGTGTTTCAAATCTGCTCTGTCTAAGGGAACGTTCATCTCTGTGAGTTGAATGCACACAACACAAGGAAGTTACTGGGAATGCTTCTGTCTAGCCTTACATGAAAAAAAACCCGTTTCCAACGAAGGCCTCTAAGTGGTCAAAATATCCACGTGCAGACTTTACAAACAGAGTGTTTCCAAACTGCTGAATGAAAAGAAAAGTTAAACTCTGAGAGTTGAACGCACATATCACAGAGCAGTTTCTGAGAATGATTCTGTCTAGTTTTTATACGAAGATATTTCCTTTTCTGCCTTTGGCCTCAAAGCGCTTGAAATCTCCACTTGCAAATTCCACAAAAAGAGTGTTTCAAATCTGCTCTGTGTAAATGAAAGTTCAACTCTGTGAGTTGAACACACACAACACAAGGAAGTTACGGGGAATTCTTCTGTCCAGCAGAATATGAAGAAATCCCTTTTCCAACGAAGGCCTCAAAGAGGTCTGAATATCCACTTGCAGACTTTACAAACAGAGTGTTTCCTAACTGCTCTATGAAAAGAAAGGTTAAACTCTGTGGGTTGAACGCACACATCACAAAGGAGTTTCTGAGAATCATTCTGTCTAGTTTTTATAGGAAGATATTTCCTTTTCTACCTTTGACTTCAAAGCGGCTGAAATCTCCACTTGCAAATTCCACAAAAAGAGTGTTACAAGTCTGCTCTGTGTAAAGGATCTTTCAACTCTGTGAGTTGAATACACACAACACAAGGAAGTTACTGGGAATTCTTCTGTCTAGCAGAATATGAAGAAATCCCGTTTCCAACTAAGGCCACAAGATGTCAGAATATCCACTTACAGAATTGACAAACAGACTGTTTCCTAACTGCTCTATGAAAAGAAAGGTTAAACTCTGTGAGTTGAACGAACACATCACTACGCAGTTTGTGGGAATGATTCTGTCTAGTTTTGAAACGAAGATATTTCCTTTTCTGCCGTTGACCATAAAGCGCTTGAAATCTACACTTGCAAATTGCACAAAGAGAGTGTTTCAAATCTGCTCTGTCTAAGGGAACGTTCAACTCTGTGAGTTGAATGCACACAACACAAGGAAGTTACTGGGAATTCTTCTGTTGAGCATAATAGGAAGAAATCCCGTTTCCAACGAAGGCCTCAAAGAGGTCTGAATATCCACTTGCAGACTTTACAAACAGAGTGTTTCCAAACCGCTGAATGAAAAGAAAAGTTAAACTCTGAGAGTTGAACGCACGCATCACGCAGCAGTTTCTGAGAATGATTCTGTCTAGTTTTTATACGAAGATATTTCCTTTTCTGCCTTTGGCACCAAAGCGCTTGAAATCTCCATTTGCAAATTCCACAAAAACAGTGTTTCAAATCTGCTCTCTCTAAATGAAAGTTCAACTCTGTCAGTTGAATACACACAACAGAAGGAAGTTACTGAGAATTCTTCTGTCTAGCATAATATGAAGAAATCCCGTTTCCAACGAAGGCCTCAAAGGGGTCTGAATATCCACTTGCAGACTTTACAAACAGAGTGTTTCCTAACTGCTCTATGAAAAGAAAGGTTAAACTCTGTGAGTTGAACACACACATCACAAAGGAGTTTCTGAGAATCATTCTGTCTAGTTTCTATAGGAAGATATTTCCTATTCTACCTTTGACCTCAAAGCGGCTGAAATCTCCACTTGCAAATTCCACAAAAGGAGTGTTTCAAGTCTGCTCTGTGTAAAGGATCGTTCAACTCTGTGAGTTGAATACACACAACACAAGGAAGTTACTGAGAATTCTTCTGTCTAGCAGAATATGAAGAAATCCCGTTTCCAACGAAGGCCACAAGATGTCAGAATATCCACTTGCAGACTTTACAAACAGAGTGTTTCCTAACTGCTCTATGAACAGAAAGGTTAAACTCTGTGAGTTGAACGAACACATCACAACGCAGTTTGTGGGAATGATTCTGTCTAGTTTTGAAACCAAGATATTTCCTTTTCTGCCGTTGACCTTAAAGAGCTTGAAAACTACACTTGCAAATTGCACAAATAGAGTGTTTCAAATCTGCTCTGTCTAAGGGAACGTTCAACTCTGTGAGTTGAATGCACACAACACAAGGAAGTTACTGGGAATTCTTCTGTCTAGCCTTACATGAAAAAATCCCGTTTCCAACGAAGGCCTCTAAGTGGTCAAAATATCCACGTGCAGACTTTACAAACAGAGTGTTTCCAAACCGCTGAATGAAAAGAAAAGTTAAACTCTGAGGGTTGAACGCACACATCACGCAGCAGTTTCTGAGAATGATTTCTGTCTAGTTTTTATACGAAGATATTTCCTTTTCAGCCTTTGGCCCCAAAGCGCTTGAAATCTCCACTTGCAAATTCCACAAAAACAGTGTTTCAAATCTGCTCTCTCTAAATGAAAGTTCAACGCTGTCAGTTGAATACACACAACACAAGGAAGTTACTGAGAATTCTTCTGTCTAGCATAATATGAAGAAATCCCGTTTCCAACGAAGGCCTCAAAGAGGTCTGAATATCCACTTGCAGACTTTACAAACAGAGTATTTCCTAACTGCTCTATGAGAAGAAAAGTTAAACTCTGTGAGTTGAACGCACACATCACAAAAGATTTTCTGAGAATCATTCTGTCTAGTCTTTATACGAAGATATTTCCTTTTCTACCATTGACCTCAAAGCGGCTGAAATCTCCACTTGCAAATTCCACAAAAAGCGTGTTTCAAGTCTGCTCTGTGTAAAGGATCGTTCAACTCTGTGAGTTGAATACACACAACACAACGAAGTTACTGAGAATTCTTCTGTCTAGCAGAATATGAAGAAATCCCGTTTCCAACGAAGGCCACAAGATGTCAGAATATCCACTTATAGAATTTACAAACAGACTGTTTCCCAACTGCTCTATGAAAAGAAAGGTTAAACTCTGTGAGTTGAACGCACACATCACAATGAAGTTTCTGAGAATCATTCTGTGTAGTTTTGAAACGAAGATATTTCCTTTTCTGCCATTGACCTTAAAGCGCTTGAAATCTCCACTTGCCAATTGCACAAAAAGAGTGTTTCAAATCTGCTCTGTCTAAGGGAACGTTCAACTCTGTGAGTTGAATGTACACAACACAAGGAAGTTACTGGGAATTCTTCTGTCTAGCCTTACATGAAAAAAACCCGTTTCCAACGAAGGCCTCTAAGTGGTCAAAATATCCACGTGCAGACTTTACAAACAGAGTGTTTCCAAACCGCTGAATGAAAAGAAAAGTTAAACTCTGAGAGTTGAACGCACACATCAAGCAGCAGTTTCTGAGAATGATTCTGTCTAGTTTTGAAACGTAGACATTTCCTTTTCTGCCTTTGGCCTCAAAGCGCTTGAAATCTCCATTTGCAAATTCCACAAAAAGAGTGTTTCAAATCTGCTCTGTGTAAATGAAAGTTCAACTCTGTGAGTTGAACACACACAACACAAGGAAGTTACTGGGAATTCTTCTGTCTAGCCTTATATGAAAAAAACCCGTTTCCATCGAAGGCCTCAAAGAGGTCTGAATATCCACTTGCAGACTTTACAAACAGAGTGTTTCCTAACTGCTCTATGAAAAGAAAGGTTAAACTCTGTGAGTTGAACGCACACATCACAAAGGAGTTTCTGAGAATCATTCTGTCTAGTTTTGAAACGAAGATATTTCCTTTTCTACCATTGACCTCAACGCGGCTGAAATCTCCATTTGCAAATTCCACAAAAAGAGTGTTTCAAATCTGCTCTGTGTAAATGAAAGTTCAACTCTGTGAGTTGAACACACACAACACAAGGAAGTTAATGGGAATTCTTCTGTCTAGCAGAATATGAAGAAATCCTGTTTCCAACGAAGGCCACAAGATGTCAGAATATCCACTTACAGAATTTACAAACAGACTGTTTCCTAAGTGCTCTATGAAAAGAAATGTTAAACTCTGTGAGTTGAACGAACACATCGCAACGCAGTTTGTGGGAATGATTCTGTCTAGTTTTGAAACGAAGATATTTCCTTTTCTGCCATTGAACTTAAAGCGCTTGAAATCTCCATTTGCCAATTGCACAAAAAGAGTGTTTCAAATCTGCTCTGTCTAAGGGAACGTTCAACTCTGTGAGTTGAATGTACACAACACAAGGAAGTTACTGGGAATTCTTCTGTCTAGCCTTACATGAAAAAAACCCGTTTCCAACGAAGGCCTCTAAGTGGTCAAGTTATCCACGTGCAGACTTTACAAACAGAGTGTTTCCAAACTGCTGAATGAAAAGAAAAGTTAAACTCTGAGAGTTGAACGCACACATCGCAGAGCAGTTTCTCAGCATGGTTCTGTCTAGTTTTTATACGAAGATATTTCCTTTTCTGCCTTTGGCCTCAAAGCGCTTGAAACCTCCATTTGCAAATTCCACAAAAAGAGTGTTTCAAATCTGCTCTGTGTAAATGAAAGTTCAACTCTGTGAGTTGAACACACACAACACAAGGAAGTTACTGGGAATTCTTCTGTCTAGCACAATATGAAGAAATCCCGTTTCCAACAAAGGCCTCAAAGAGGTCTGAATATCCACTTGCAGACATTACAAACAGAGTGTTTCCTAACTGCTCTATGAAAAGAAAGGTTAAACTCTGTGAGTTGAACGCACACATCACAAAGGAGTTTCTGAGAATCATTCTGTCTAGTTTCTATAGGAAGATATTTCCTATTCTACCATTGACATCAAAGCGGCTGAAATCTCCACTTGCAAATTCCACAAAAAGATTGTTTCAAGTCTGCTCTGCGTAAAGGATCATTAAACTCTGTGAGTTGAATACACACAACACAAGGAAGTTACTGAGAATTCTTCTGTCTAGCAGAATATGAAGAAATCCTGTTTCCAACGAAGGCCACAAGATGTCAGAATATCCACTGTCAGACTTTACAAACAGAGTGTTTCCTAACTGCTCTATGAACAGAAAGGTTAAACTCTGTGAGTTGAACGAACACATCACAACGCAGTTTGTGGGAATGATTCTGTCTAGTTTTGAAACGAAGATATTTCCTTTTCTGCCATTGAACTTAAAGCGCTTGAAATCTCCATTTGCCAATTGCACAAAAAGAGTGTTTCAAATCTGCTCTGTCTAAGGGAACGTTCAACTCTGTGAGTTGAATGTACACAACACAAGGAAGTTACTGGGAATTCTTCTGTCTAGCCTTACAGGAAAAAAACCCGTTTCCAACGAAGGCCTCTAAGTGGTCAAAATATCCACGTGCAGACTTTACAAACGGAGTGTTTCCAAACTGCTGAATGAAAAGAAAAGTTAAACTCTGAGAGTTGAACGCACACATCGCAGAGCAGTTTCTGAGAATGATTCTGTCTAGTTTTTATACGAAGATATTTCCTTTTCTGCCTCTGGCCTCAAAGCGCTTGAAATCTCCACTTGCAAATTCCACAAAAAGAGTGTTTCAAATCTGCTCTGTGTAAATCAAAGTTCAACTCTGTGAGTTGAACACACACAACACAAGGAAGTTACTGGGAATTCTTCTGCCTAGCAGAATTTGAAGAAATCCCGATTCCAACGAAGGCCTCAAAGAGGTCTGAATATCCACTTGCAGAATTTACAAACAGAGTGTTTGCTAACTGCTCTATGAAAAGAAAAGTTAAACTCTGTGAGTTGAACGCACACATCACAAAGGAGTTTCTGAGAATCATTCTGTGTAGTTTTTATAGGAAGATATTTCCTTTTCTACCATTGACCTCAAAGCGGCAGAAATCTCCACTTGCAAATTCCACAAAAAGAGTGTTACAAGTCTGCTCTGTGTAAAGGATCGTTCAACTCTGTGAGTTGAATACACACAACACAAGGAAGTTACTGAGAATTCTTCTGTCTAGCAGAACATGAAGAAATCCCGTTTCCAACGAAGGCCTCAAAGATGTCTGAATATCCACTTGCAGACTTTACAAACAGAGTGTTTCCTAACTGCTCTATGAAAAGAAAGGTTAAACTCTGTGAGTTGAACGCACACATCACAAAGGAGTTTGTGAGAATCATTCTGTCTAGTTTTTATAGGAAGATATTTCCTTTTCTACCTTTGACTTCAAAGCGGCTGAAATCTCCACTTACAAATTCCACAAAAAGAGTGTTACAAGTCTGCTCTGTGTAAAGGATCGTTCAACTCTGTGAGTTGAATACACACAACACAAGGAAGTTACTGAGAATTCTTCTGTCTAGCATAGTATGAAGAAATCCCGTTTCCAACGAAGGCCTCAAAGAGGTCTGAATATCCAATTGCAGACTTTACAAACAGAGTGTTTCCTAACTGCTCTATGAAAAGAAATGTTAAACTCTGTGAGTTGAACGCAGACATCACAAAGAAGTTTCTGAGAATCATTCTGTCTAGTTTTGAAACCAAGATATTTCCTTTTCTGCCGTTGACCTTAAAGCGCTTGAAATCTACACTTGCAAATTGCACAAATAGAGTGTTTCAAATCTGCTCTGTCTAAGGGAACGTTCAACTCTGTGAGTTGAATGCACACAACACAAGGAAGTTACTGGGAATTCTTCTGTCTAGCCTTACATGAAAAAAACCCGTTTCCAACGAAGGCCTCTAAGTGGTCAAAATATCCACGTGGAGACTTTACAAACAGAGTGTTTACAAACTGCTGAATGAACAGAAAAGTTAAACTCTGAGAGTTGAACGCACACATCACAGAGCAGTTTCTGAGAATGATTCTGTCTAGTTTTTAAAGGAAGATATTTCCTTTTCTGCCTTTGGCCTCAAAGCGGTTGAAATCTCACCTTGCAAATTCCACAAAAAGAGTGTTTCAAATCTGATCTGTCTAAAGGAAAGTTCAACTCTGTCAGTTGAATACACCCAACACAAGGAAGTTACTGAGAATTCTTCTGTCTAGCATAATATGAAGAAATCCCGTTTCCAACGAAGGCGTCAAGGAGGTCTGAATATCCACTTGCAGACTTTACAAACAGAGTGTTTCCTAACTGCTCTATGAAAAGAAAGGTTAAACTCTGTGAGTTGAACGCACACATCACAAAGGAGTTTCTGAGAATCATTCTGTCTAGTTTTTATACGAAGATATTTCCTTTTCTACCATGGACCTCAAAGCGGTTGAAATCTCCACTTGCAAATTGCACAAAAAGAGTGTTTCAAGTCTGCTCTGTGTAAAGGATCGTTCAACTCTGTGAGTTGAATACACACAACACAAGGAAGATTCTGAGAATTCTTCTGTCTAGCAGAATATGAAGAAATCCCGTTTCCAACGAAGGCCACAAGATGTCAGAATATCCACTTAAAGAATTGACAAACAGACTGTTTCCTAACTGCTCTATGAAAAGAAAGGTTAAACTCTGTGAGTTGAACGAACACATCACAACGCAGTTTGTGGGAATGATTCTGTCTAGTTTTTATACGAAGATATTTCCTTTTCTACCATTGACCTCAAAGCGGCTGAAATCACCACTTGCCAATTGCACAAAAAGAGTGTTTCAAATCTGCTCTGTCTAAGGGAACGTTCAACTCTGTGAGTTGAATGTACACAACACAAGGAAAGTTACTGGGAATTCTTCTGTCTAGCCTTACATGAAAAATACCCGTTTCCAACGAAGGCCTCTAAGTGGTCAAAATATCCACGTGCAGACTTTACAAACAGAGTGTTTCCAAACCGCTGAATGAAAAGAAAAGTTAAACTCTGAGAGTTGAACGCACACATCACGCAGCAGTTTCTGAGAATCATTCTGTCTAGTTTTTATACAAAGATATTTCCTTTTCTGCCTTTGGCCCCATAGCGCTTGAAATCTCCACTTGCAAATTCCACAAAAACAGTGTTTCAAATCTGCTCTCTCTAAATAAAAGTTCAACTCTGTCAGTTGAATACACACAACACAAGGAAGTTACTGAGAATTCTTCTGTCTAGCATAATATGAAGAAATCCCGCTTCCAACGAAGGCCTCAAAGGGGTCTGAATATCCACTTGCAGACTTTATAAACAGAGTGTTTACTAACTGCTCTATGAAAAGAAAGGTTAAGCTCTGTGAGTTGAACACACACATCACAAAGGAGTTTCTGAGAATCATTCTGTCTAGTCTTTATACGAAGATATTTCCTTTTGTACCATTGACCTCAAAGCGGCTGAAATCTCCACTTGCAAATTCCACAAAAAGAGTGTTTCAGGTCTGCTCTGTGTAAAGAATCGTTCAACTCTGTGAGTTGAATACACACAACACAAGGAAGTTACTGAGAATTCTTCTGTCTAGCAGAATATGAAGAAATCCCGTTTCCAACGAAGGCCTCAAAGAGGTCTGAATATCCACTTGCAGACTTTACAAACAGAGTGTTTCCGAACTGCTCTATGAAAAGAAAGGTTAAACTCTGTTAGCTGAACGCACACATCACAAAGGAGTTTCTGAGAATCATTCTGTCTAGTTTTGAAACGAAGATATTTCCTTTTCTGCCATTGACCTTAAAGCGCTTGAAATCTACACTTGCAAATTGCACAAATAGAGTGTTTCAAATCTGCTCTGTCAAGGGAATGTTCAGCTCTGTGAGTTGAATGCACACAACACAAGGAAGTTACTGGGAATTCTTCTGTCTAGCCTTACATGAAAAAAACCCGTTTCCAACGAAGGCCTCTAAGTGGTCAAAATATCCACGTGCAGACTTTACAGACAGAGTGTTTCCAAACCGCTGAATGAAAAGAAAAGTTAAACTCTGAGAGTTGAACGCACACATCACGCAGCAGTTTCTGAGAATGATTCTGTCTAGTTTTTATACGAAGATATTTTCTTTTCTGCCTTTGACCTCAAAGCGCTTGAAATCTCCATTTGCAAATTCCACAAAAAGAGTGTTTCAAATCTGCTCTGTGTAAATGAAAGTTCAACTCTGTGAGTTGAACACACACAACACAAGGAAGTTACTGGGAATTCTTCTGTCTAGCATAGTATGAAGAAATCCCGTTTCCAACGAAGGCCTCAAAGAGGTCTGAATATCCACTTGCAGACTTTACAAACAAAGTGTTTCCTAACTGCTCTATGAAAAGAAAGGTTAAACTCTGTGAGTTGAACGCACACATCACAAAGAAGTTTCTGAGAATCATTCTGTCTAGTTTCTATAGGAAGATATTTCCTATTCTACCATTGACCTCAAAGCGGTTGAAATCTCCACTTGCAAATTCCACAAGAAGAGTGTTTCAAGTATGCTCTGTGTAAAGGATCGTTCAACTCTGTGAGTTGAATACACACAAAACAAGGAAGTTACTGAGAATTCTTCTGTCTAGCAGAATATGAAGAAATCCCGTTTCCAACGAAGGCCACAAGATGTCAGAGTATCCACTTACAGACTTTACAAACAGTGTGTTTCCTAACTGCTCTATGAACGGAAAGGTTAAACTCTGTGAGTTGAACGAACACATCACAACGCAGTTTGTGGGAATGATTCTGTCTAGTTTTGAAACGAAGATATTTCCTTTTCTGCCATTGACCTTAAAGCGCTTGAAATCTACACTTGCAAATTGCACAAATAGAGTGTTGCAAATCTGCTCTGTCTAAGGGAACGTTCAACTCTGTGAGTTGAATGCACACAACACAAGGAAGTTACTGGGAATTCTTCTGTCTAGCCTTACATGAAAAAAACCCGTTTCCAACGAAGGCCTCTAAGTGGTCAAGTTATCCACGTGCAGACTTTACAAACAGAGTGTTTCCAAACTGCTGAATGAAAAGAAAAGTTAAACTCTGAGAGTTGAACGCACACATCGCAGAGCAGTTTCTGAGAATGATTCTGTCTAGTTTTTATACGAAGATATTTCCTTTTCTGTCTTTGGCCTCAAAGCGCTTGAAATCTCCAATTGCAAATTCCACATAAAGAGCTTTTCAAATCTGCTCTGTCTAAATGAAAGTTCAACTCTGTCAGTTGAATACACACAACACAAGGAAGTTACTGAGAATTCTTCTGTGAAGCAGAATATGAAGAAATCCCGTTTCCAACGAAGGCCTCAGAGAGGTCTGAATATCCCCTTGCAGACTTTACAAACAGAGTGTTTCCTAACTGCTCTATGAAAAGAAACGTTAAACTCTGTGAGTTCAACGCACACATCACAAAGGAGTTTCTGAGAATCATTCTGTCTAGTCTTTATACGAAGATATTTCCTTTTCTACCATTGACCTCAAAGCGGCTGAAATCTCCACTTGAAAATACCAAAAAAAGTGTGTTTCAAGTCTGCTATGTGTAAAGGATCGTTCAACTCTGTGAGTTGAAGACACACAACACAAGGAAGTTTCTGAGAATTCTTCTGTCTAGCCTTATATGAAAAAAACCCGTTTCCAACGAAGGCCTCAAAGAGGTCTGAATATCCACTTGCAGACTTTACAAACAGAGTGTTTCCTAAATGCTCTATGAAAAGAAAGGTTAAACTCTGTGAGTTGAACGAACACATCACAACGCAGTTTGTGGGAATGATTCTGTCTAGTTTTTATAGGAAGATATTTCCTTTTCTACTTTGACTTCAAAGCGGCTGAAATCTCCACTTGCAAATTCCACAAAAAGAGTGTTACAAGTCTGCTCTCTGTAAAGGATCGTTCAACTGTGTGAGTTGAATACACACAACACAAGGGAAGTTACTGAGAACTCTTCTGTCTAGCCTTACATGAAAAAAACCCGTTTCCAACGAAGGCCTCTAAGTGGTCAAATTATCCACGTGCAGACTTTACAAACAGAGTGTTTCCAAACTGCTGAATGAAAAGAAAAGTTAAACTCTGAGAGTTGAACGCACACATCGCAGAGCAGCTTCTGAGAATGATTCTGTCTAGTTTCTATAGGAAGATATTTCCTATTCTACCATTGAACTCAAAGCGGCTGAAATCTCCACTTGCAAATTCCACAAAAAGAGTGTTTCAAGTCTGCTCTGTGTAAAGGATCATTCAACTCTGTGAGTTGAATACACACAACAAAAGGAAGTTACTGAGAATTCTTCTGTCTAGCAGAATATGATTAAATCCCGTTTCCAACGAAGGCCTCAAGGAGGTCTGAATATCCACTTGCAGACTTTACAAACAGAGTGTTTCCTAACTGCTCTATGAAAAGAAAGGTTAAACTCTGTGAGTTGAATGCACACATCACAAAGGAGTTTCTCAGAATCATTCTGTCTAGTTTTTATAGGAAGATATTTCCTTTTCTACCTTTGACTTCAAAGCGGCAGAAATCTCCACTTGCAAATTCCACAAAAAGAGTGTTACAAGTCTGCTCTGTGTAAAGGATCGTTCAACTCTGTGAGTTGAATACACACAACACAAGGAAAGTTACTGAGAATTCTTCTGTCTAGCCTTACATGAAAAAAACCCGTTTCCAAAGAAGGCCTCTAAGTGGTCAAATTATCCACGTGCAGACTTTACAAACAGAGTGTTTCCAAACTGCTGAATGAAAAGAAAAGTTAAACTCTGAGAGTTGAACGCACACATCGCAGAGCAGTTTCTGAGAATGATTCTGTCTCGTTTTGAAACGAAGATATTTCCTTTTCTGCCATTGACCTTAAAGCGCTTGAAATCTCCACTTGCCAATTGCACAAAAAGAGTGTTTCAAATCTGCTCTGTCTAAGGGAACGTTCAACTCTGTGAGTTGAATGTACACAACAGAAGGAAGTTACTGAGAATTCTTCTGTCTAGCCTTACATGAAGAAAACCCGTTTCCAACGGAGGCCTCAAAGAGGTCAAAATATCCACTTGCAGACTTTACAAACAGAGTGTTTCCTAACTACTCTATGAATAGAAAAGTTAAACTCTGTGAGTTGAACATACACATCACAAAGGAGTTTATGAGAATCATTCTGTCTAGTTTTTATACGAAGATATTTCCTTTTCTACCATTGACCTCAAATCGGCTGAAATCTCCACTTGCAAATTCCACAAAACGAGTGTTTCAAGTCCGCTCTGTGTAAAGCATCGTTCAACTCTGTGAGTTGAATACACACAACACAAGGAAGTTACTGAGAATTCTTCTGTCTAGCACAGTATGGAGAAATCCCGTTTCCAACGAAGGCCTCAAAGTGGTCTGAATATCCACTTGCAGAGTTTACAAACAGAGTGTTTCCTAACTGCTCTATGAAAAGAAAGGTTAAACTCTGTGAGTTGAACGCACACATCACAATGAAGTTTCTGAGAATCATTCTGTCTAGTTTTTATACGAAGATATTTCCTTTTCTACCATTGACCTCAACGCGGCTGAAATCTCCACTTGCAAATTCCACAAAAAGAGTGTTTCAAGTCCGCTCTGTGTAAAGGGTCGTTCAACTCTGTGAGTTGAATACACACAACACAAGGAAGTTACTGAGAATTCTTCTGTATAGCACAGTATGAAGAAATCCCGTTTCCAACGAAGGCCTCAAAGAGGTCTGAATATCCACTTGCAGAGTTTACAAACAGAGTGTTTCCTAACTGCTCTATGAAAAGAAAGGTTAAACTCTGTGAGTTGAACGCACACATCACAAAGAAGATTCTGAGAATCATTCTGTCTAGTTTTGAAACCAAGATATTTCCTTTTCTGCCGTTGACCTTAAAGCGCTTGAAATCTACACTTGCAAATTGCACAAATAGAGTGTTTCAAATCTGCTCTGTCTAAGGGAACTTTCAACTCTGTGAGTTGAATGCACACAACACAAGGAAGTTACTGGGAATTCTTCTGTCTAGCCTTACAGGAAAAAAACCCGTTTCCAAAGAAGGCCTCCAAGTGGTCAAATTATCCACGTGCAGACTTTACAAACAGAGTGTTTCCAAACTGCTGAATGAAAAGAAAAGTTAAACTCTGAGAGTTGAACGCACACATCGCAGAGCAGTTTCTGAGAATGATTCTGTCCAGTTTTTATACGAAGATATTTCCTTTTCTGCCTTTGGCCTCAAAGCGCTTGAAATCTCCACTTGCAAATTCCACAAAAAGAGTGTTTCAAATCTGCTCTGTGTAAATGAAAGTTCAACTCTGTGAGTTGAACACACACAACACAAAGAAGTTACTGGGAATTCTTCTGTCTAGCAGAATATGAAGAAATCCCGTTTCCAACGAAGGCCTCAAAGAGGTCTGAATATCCACTTGCAGACATTACAAACAGAGTGTTTCCTAACTGCTTTATGAAAAGAAAGGTTAAACTCTGTGAGTTGAACGCACACATTACAAAGGAGATTCTGAGAATCATTCTGTCTAGTTTTTCTACGAAGATATTTCCTTTTCTACTATTGACCTCAAAGCGGCTGAAATCTCCACTTGCAAATTCCACAAAAAGAGTGTTTCAAGTCTGCTCTGTGTAAAGGATCGTTCAACTCTGCGAGTTCAATACACACAACACAAGGAAGTTACTGAGAATTCTTCTGTCTAGCAGAATATGAAGAAATCCCGTTTCCAACGAAGGCCTCAAAGAGGTCTGAATATCCACTTGCAGACTTTACAAACAGAGTGTTTCCTAACTGCTCTATGAAAAGAAAGGTTAAACTCTGTGAGTTGAATGCACACATCACAAAGGAGTTTCTGAGAATCATTCTGTCTAGTTTTGAAACGAAGATATTTCCTTTTCTGCCATTGACCTTAAAGCGCTTGAAATCTCCATTTGCCAATTGCACAAAAAGAGTGTTTCAAATCTGCTCTGTCTAAGGGAACGTTCAACTATGTGAGTTGAATGTACACAACACAAGGAAGTTACTGGGAATTCTTCTGTCTAGCCTTACAGGAAAAAAACCCGTTTCCAACGAAGGCCTCTAAGTGGTCAAAATATCCACGTGCAGACTTTACAAACAGAGTGTTTCCAAACTGCTGAATGAAAAGAAAAGTTAAACTCTGAGAGTTGAACGCACACATCGCAGAGCAGTTTCTCAGAATGATTCTGTCTAGTTTTTATACGAAGATATTTCCTTTTCTGCCTTTGGCCGCAAAGCGCTTGAAATCTCCACTTGCAAATTCCACAAAAACAGTGTATCAAATCTGCTCTCTCTAAATGAAAGTTCAACTCTGTCAGTTGAATACACACAACACAAGGAAGTTACTGAGAATTCTTCTGTCTAGCATAATATGAAGAAATCCCGTTTCCAACGAAGACCTCAAGGAGGTCTGAATATCCACTTGCAGACTTTACAAACAGAGTGTTTCCAAACTGCTCTATGAAGAGAAAGGTTAAACTCTGTGAGTTAAACGCACACATCACAAAGGAGTTTCTGAGAATCATTCTGTCTAGTTTTTATACGAAGATATTTCCTTTTCTGCCTTTGGCCTCAAAGCGCTTGAAATCTCCACTTGCAAATTCCACAAAAAGTGTGTTTCAAGTCCGCTCTGTGTAAAGGATCGTTCAACTCTGTGAGTTGAATACACACAACACAAGGAAGTTACTGAGAATTCTTCTGTCTAGCACAGTATGAAGAAATTCCGTTTCCAACGAAGGCCTCAAAGAGGTCTGAATATCCACTTGCAGACTTTACAAACAGAGTGTTTCCTAACTGCTCTATGAAAAGAAAGGTTAAACTCTGTGAGTTGAACGCACACATCACAAAGTAGTTTCTGAGAATCATTCTGTCTAGTTTTGAAACGAAGATATTCCCTTTTCTGCCATTGACCTTAAAGCCCTTGAAATCTACACTTGCAAATTGCACAAATAGAGTGTTTCAAATCTGCTCCGTCTAGGGAACGTTCAACTCTGTGAGTTGAATGCACACAACACAAGGAAGTTACTGGGAATTCTTCTGTCTAGCCTTACAGGAAAGAAACCCGTTTACAACGAAGGCCTCTAAGTGGTCAAAATATCCACGTGCAGACTTTACAAACAGAGTGTTTCCAAACTGCTAAATGAAAAGCAAAGTTAAACTCTGAGAGTTGAACGCACACATCGCAGAGCAGTTTCTGAGAATGATTCTGTCTAGTTTTGAAACGAAGATATTTCCTTTTCTCGCCTCTTGGCCTCAAAGCGCTTGAAATCTCCACTTGCAAATTCCACAAAAAGAGTGTTTCAAATCTGCTCTGTGTAAATGAAAGTTCAACTCTGTGAGTTGAACACACACAACACAAGGAAGTTACTGGGAATTCTTCTGTCTAGCATAATATGAAGAAATCCCTTTTCCAACGAAGGCTTCAAGGAGGTCTGAATATCCACTTGCAGACTTTACAAACAGAGTGTTTCCTAACTGCTCTGTGAAAAGAAAGGTTAAACTCTTTGAGTTGAACGCACACATCACAAAGGAGTTTCTGAGAATCATTCTGTCTAGTTTTGAAACGAAGACATTTCCTTTTCTGCCTTTGACTTCAAAGCGGCTGAAATCTCCACTTGCAAATTCCACAAAAAGAGTGTTACAAGTCTGCTCTGTGTAAAGGATCGTTCAACTCTGTGAGTTGAATACACACAACACAAGGGAAGTTACTGAGAATTCTTCTGTCTAGCAGAATATGAAGAAATCCCGTTTCCAACGAAGGCCACAAGATGTCAGAATATCCACTTACAGAATTTTCAAACAGACTGTTTCCTAACTGCTCTATGAAAAGAAAGGTTAAACTCTGTGAGATGAACGAACACATCACAACGCAGTTTGTGGGAATGATTCTGTCTAGTTTTTATAGGAAGATATTTCCTTTTCTACCTTTGACTTCAAAGCGGCTGAAATCTCCACTTGCAAATTCCACAAAAAGAGTGTTACAAGTCTGCTCTGTGTAAAGGATCCTTCAACTGTGTGAGTTGAATACACACAACACAAGGAAGTTACTGAGAATTCTTCTGTCTAGCCTTACATGAAAAAAACCCGTTTCCAACGAAGGCCTCTAAGTGGTCAAATTATCCACGTGCAGACTTTACAAACAGAGTGTTTCCAAACTGCTGAATGAAAAGCGAAGTTAAACTCTGAGAGTTGAACGCACACATCGCAGAGCAGTTTCTGAGAATGATTCTGTCTAGTTTTTATACGAAGATATTTCCTTTTCTTCCTTTGGCCCCAAAGCGCTTGAAATCTCCACTTGCAAATTCCACAAAAACAGTGTTTCAAATCTGCTCTCTCTAAATGAAAGTTCAACTCTGTCAGTTGAATACACACAACAGAAGGAAGTTACTGAGAATTCTTCTGTCTAGCATAATATGAAGAAATCCCGTTTCCAAAGAAGGCCACAAAGGGATCTGAATATCCACTTGCAGACTTTATAAACAGAGTGTTTACTAACTGCTCTATGAAAAGAAAGGTTAAATTCTGAGAGTTGAACACACACATCACAAAGGAGTTTCTGAGAATCATTCTGTCTAGTTTCTATAGGAAGATATTTCCTATTCTACCATTGACCTCAAAGCGGCTGAAATCTCCAATTGCAAATTCCACAAAAAGAGTGTTTCAAGACTGTTCTGTGTAAAGGATCATTCAACTCTGTGAGTTGAATACACACAACACAAGGAAGTTACTAAGAATTCTTCTGTCTAGCCTTATATGAAAAAAACCCGTTTCCAACGAAGGCCTCAAAGAGGTCTGAATGTCCACTTGCAGACTTTACAAACAGAGTGTTTCCTAACTGCTCTATGAAAAGAAAGGTTAAACTCTGTGAGTTGAACGCACACATCACAAAGGAGTTTCTGAGAATCATTCTGTCTAGTCTTTATACGAAGATATTTCCTTTTCTACCATTGACCTCAAAGCGGCTGAAATCTCCACTTGCAAATTCCACAAAAAGAGTGTTTCAAGTCTGCTCTGTGTAAAGGATCTTTCAACTCTGTGAGTTGAATACACACAACACAAGGAAGTTACTGAGAATTCTTCTGTCTAGCAGAATATGTAGAAATCCCGTTTCCAACGAAGGCCACAAGATGTCAGAATATCCACTTACAGAATTTACCAACAGAGTGTTTCCTAACTGCTCTATGAAAAGAAAGGTTAAACTCTGTGAGTTGAACGAACACATCACAACGCAGTTTGTGGGAATGATTCTGTCTAGTTTTGAAACGAAGATATTTCCTTTTCTGCCATTGACCTTAAAGCGCTTGAAATCTACACTTGCAAATTGCACAGAGTGTTTCAAATCTGCTCTGTCTAAGGGAACGTTCAACTCTGTGAGTTGAATGCACACAACACAAGGAAGTTACTGGGAATTCTCTGTCTAGCCTTACAGGAAAAAAACCCGTTTCCAACGAAGGCCTCTAAGTGGTCAAAATATCCACGTGCAGACTTTACAAACAGAGTGTTTCCAAACTGCTGAATGAAAAGAAAAGTTAAACTCTGAGAGTTGAACGCACACATCGCAGAGCAGTTTCTGAGAATGATTCTGTCTAGTTTTTATACGAAGATATTTCCTTTTCTGCCTTTGGCCTCAAAGCGCTTGAAATCTCCACTTGCAAATTCCACAAAAAGAGTGTTTCAAATCTGCTCATTGTAAATGAAAGTTCAACTCTGTGAGTTGAACACACACAACACAAGGAAGTTACTGGGAATACTTCTGTCTAGCATAATATGAAGAAATCCCTTTTCCAACGAAGGCCTCAAGGAGGTCTGAATATCCACTTGCAGACTTTACAAACAGAGTGTTTCCTAACTGCTCTATGAAAAGAAAGTTTAACTCTGTGAGTTGAACGCAGACATCACAAAGGAGTTTCTGAGAATCATTCTGTCTAGTTTCTATAGGAAGATATTTCCTATTCTACCATTGACCTCAAAGCGGCTGAAATCTCCACTTGCAAATTCCACAACAAGAGTGTTTCAACTATGCTCTGTGTAAAGGATCGTTCAACTCTGTGAGTTGAATACACACAACACAAGGAAGTTACTGAGAATTCTTCTGTCTAGCAGAATATGAAGAAATCCCGTTTCCAACGAAGGCCACAAGATGTCAGAATATCCACTTACAGACTTTACAAACAGAGTGTTTCCTCACTGCTCTATGAACAGAAAGGTTAATCTCTGTGAGTTGAACGAACACATCACAACGCAGTTTGTGGGAATGATTCTGTCTAGTTTTGAACGAAGATATTTCCTTTTCTGCCATTGACCTTAAAGCGCTTGAAATCTACACTTGCAAATTGCACAAATAGAGTGTTTCAAATCTGCTCTGTCTAAGGGAACGTTCAACTCTGTGAGTTGAATGCACACAACACAAGGAAGTTACTGGGAATTCTTCTGTCTAGCCTTACAGGAAAAAAACCCGTTTCCAACGAATGCCTCTAAGTGGTCAAAATATCCACGTGCAGACTTTACAAAGAGAGTGTTTCCAAACTGCTGAATGAAAAGAAAAGTTAAACTCTGAGAGTTGAACGCACACATCGCAGAGCAGTTTCTGAGAATGATTCTGTCTAGTTTTTATACGAAGATATTTCCTTTTCTGCCTTTGGCCCCAAAGCGCTTGAAATCTCCACTTGCAAATTCCACAAAAACAGTGTTTCAAAACTGCTCTCTCTAAATGAAAGTTCAACTCTGTCAGTTGAATACACACAACACAAGGGAAGTTACTGAGAATTCTTCTGTCTAGCATAATATGAAGAAATCCCGTTTCCAACGAAGGCCACAAAGGGGTCTGAATATCCACTTGCAGACTTTATAAACAGAGTGTTTACTAACTGCTCTATGAAAAGAAAAGTTAAACTCTGTGAGTTGAACACACACATCACAAAGGAGTTTCTGAGAATCATTCTGTCTAGTTGTTATACGAAGATATTTCCTTTTCTACCATTGACCTCAAAGCGGCTGAAATCTCCACTTGCAAATTCCACCAAATGAGTGTTTCAAATCTGCTCTGTGTAAACCGTCGTTCAACTCTGTGAGTTGAATACACACAACACAAGGAAGATTCTGAGAATTCTTCTGTCTAGCAGAATATGAAGAAATCCCGTTTCCAACGAAGGCCACAAGATGTCAGAATATCCACTTACAGAATTTACAAACAGACTGTTTCCTAACTGCTCTATGAAAAGAAAGGTTAAACTCTGTGAGTTGAACGAACACATCACAACGTAGTTTGTGGGAATGATTCTGTCTAGTTTTGAAACGAAGATATTTCCTTTTCTGCCATTGACCTTATAGCGCTTGAAATCTCCACTTGCCAATTGCACAAAAAGAGTATTTCAAATCTGCTCTGTCTAAGGGAACGTTCAACTCTGTGAGTTGAATGTACACAACACAAGGAAGTTACTGGGAATTCTTCCGTCTAGCCTTACATGAAAAAAACCCGTTTCCAACGAAGGCCTCTAAGTGGTCAAATTATCCACGTGCAGACTTTACAAACAGAGTGTTTCCAAACTGCTGAATGAAAAGAAAAGTTAAACTCTGAGAGTTGAACGCACACATCGCAGAGCAGTTTCTGAGAATGATTCTGTCTAGTTTTTATACGAAGATATTTCCTTTTCTGCCTTTGACCTCAAAGCGCTTGAAATCTCCATTTGCAAATTCCACAAAAAGAGAGTTTCAAATCTGCTCTGTGTAAATGAAAGTTCAACTCTGTGAGTTGAACACACACAACACAAGGAAGTTACTGGGAATTCTTCTGTCTAGCATAATATGAAGAAATCCCGTTTCCTACGAAGGCCTCAAAGAGGTCTGAATATCCACTTGCAGACTTTACAAACAGAGTGTTTCCTAACTACTCTATGAAAAGAAAGGTTAAACTCTGTGAGTTGAGCGCACACATCACAAAGGAGTTTCTGAGAATCATTCTGTCTAGTTTTTATACGAAGATATTACCTTTTCTACCATGGACCTCAAAGCGGCTGAAATCTCCACTTGCAAATTCCACAAAAAGAGTGTTTCAAGTCTGCTCTGTGTAAAGGATCGTTCAACTCTGTGAGTTGAATACACCCAACACAAGGAAGATTCTGAGAATTCTTCTGTCTAGCAGAATATGAAGAAATCCCGTTTCCAACGAAGGCCTCAAGGAGGTCTGAATATCCACTTGCAGACTGTACAAACAGAGTGTTTCCTAACTGCTCTATGAACAGAAAGGTTAAACTCTGTGAGTTGAACGAACACATCACAACGCAGTTTGTGGGAATGATTCTGTCTAGTTTTGAAACGAAGAAATTTCCTTTTCTGCCATTGACCTTAAAGCGCTTGAAATCTACACTTGCAAATTGCACAAATAGAGTGTTTCAAATCTGCTCTGTCTAAGGGAACGTTCAACTGTGTGAGTTGAATGCACACAACACAAGGAAGTTACTGGGAATTCTTCTGTCTAGCCTTACATGAAAAAAACCCGCTTCCAACGAAGGCCTCTAAGTGGTCAAATTATTCACGTGCAGACGTTACAAACAGAGTGTTTCCAAACTGCTGAATGAAAAGAAAAGTTAAACTCTGAGAGTTGAACGCACACATCGCAGAGCAGTTTCTGAGAATGATTCTGTCTAGTTTCTATAGGAAGATATTTCCTATTCTACCATTGACCTCAAAGAGGCTGAAATCTCCACTTGCAAATTCCACAAAAAGACTGTTTCAAGTCTGCTCTGTGTAAAGGATCGTTCAAATCTGTGAGTTGAATACTCACAACACAAGGAAGTTACTGAGAATTCTTCTGTCTAGCATAATATGTAGAAATCCCGTTTCCAACGAAGGCCTCAAGGAGGTCTGAATATCCACTTGCAGACTTTACAAACAGAGTGTTTCCTAACTGCACTATGAAAAGAAAGGTTAAACTCTGTGAGTTGAACGCACGCATCACAAAGGAGTTTCTGAGAATCATTCTGTCTAGTTTTTATAGGAAGATATTTCCTTTTCTACCTTTGACTTCAAAGCGGCTGAAATCTCCACTTGCAAATTCCACAAAAAGAGTGTTACAAGTCTGCTCTGTGTAAAGTATCGTTCAACTCTGTGAGTTGAATACACACAACACAAGGAAGTTACTGAGAATTCTTCTGTCTAGCAGAATATGAAGAAATCCCGTTTCCAACGAAGGCCACAAGATGTCAGAATATCCACTTATAGACTTTACAAACAGAGTGTTTCCTAACTGCTCTATGAACAGAAAGGTTAAACTCTGTGAGTTGAACGAACACAATCACAACGCAGTTTGTGGGAATGATTCTGTCTAGTTTTCAAACGAAGATATTTCCTATTCTACCATTGACCTTAAAGCGCTTGAAATCTCCATTTGCCAATTGCACAAAAAGAGTGTTTCAAATCTGCTCTGTCTAAGGGAACGTTCAACTCTGTGAGTTGAATGTACACAACACAAGGAAGTTACTGGGAATTCTTCTGTCTAGCCTTCCATGAAAAAAACCCGTTTCCAACGAAGGCCTCTAAGTGGTCAAATTATCCACGTGCAGACTTTACAAACAGAGTGTTTCCAAACTGCTGAATGAAAAGAAAAGTTAAACTCTGAGAGTTGAACGCACACATCGCAGAGCAGTTTCTGAGAATGATTCTGTCTAGTTTCTATTGGAAGATATTTCCTATTCTACCATTGACCTCAAAGCGGCTGAAATCTCCACTTGCAAATTCCACAAAAAGAGTGTTTCAAGTGTGCTCTCTGTAAAGGATCGTTCAACTCTGTGAGTTGAATACACACAACACAAGGAAGTTACTGAGAATTGTTCTGTCTAGCATAATATGAAGAAATCTCGTTTCCACCGAAGGCCTCAAAGAGGTCTGAATATCCACTTGCAGACTTTACAAACAGAGTGTTTCCTAACTGCTCTATGAAAAGAAAAGTTTAACTCTGTGTGTTGAACGCACACATCACAAAGGAGTTTCTGAGAATCATTCTGTCTAGTTTTTATACGAAGATATTTCCTTTTCTACCATTGACCTCAAAGCGGCTGAAATCTCCACTTGCAAATTCCACAAAAAGAGTGTTTCAAGTCTGCTCTGTGGTAAAGGATCGTTCAACTCTGTGAGTTGAAAACACACAACACAAGGAAGTTTCTGAGAATTCTTCTGTCTAGCAGAATATGAAGAAATCCCGTTTCCAACGAAAGCCTCAAAGATGTCTGAATATCCACTTGCAGACATTACAAACAGAGTGTTTCCTAACTGCTCTATGAAAAGAAAGGTTAAACTCTGTGAGTTGAACGCACATATCACAAAGGAGTTTCTGAGAATCATTCTGTCTAGTTTTGAAACGAAAATATTTCCTTTTCTGCCATTGACCTTAAAGCGCTTGAAATCTACACTTGCAAATTGCACAAATAGAGTGTTTCAAATCTGCTCTGTCTAAGGGAACATTCATCTCTGTGACTTGAGTGCACACAACACAAGGAAGTTATTGGGAATTCTTCTGTCTAGCCTTACATGAAAAAAACCCGTTTCCAACGAAGGCCTCTAAGTGGTCACAATGTCCACGTGCAAACTTTACAAACAGAGTGTTTCCAAACTGCTGAATGAAAAGAAAAGTTAAACTCTGAGAGTTGAACGCACACATCACAGAGCAGTTTCTGAGAAAGACTCTGTCTAGTTTTTATACGAAGATATTTCCTTTTCTGCCTTTGACCTCAAAGCGCTTGAAATCTCCACTTGCAAATTCCACAAAAAGAGTGTTTCAAATCTGCTCTGTGTAAATGAAAGTTCAACTCTGTGAGTTGAACACACACAACACAAGGGAAGTTACTGGGAATTCTTCTGTCTAGCATAATATGAAGAAATCCCGTTTCCAACGAAGGCCTTAAGGAGGTCTGAATATCCAGTTGCAGACTTTACAAACAGAGTGTTTCCTAACTGCTCTATGAAAAGAAAGGTTAAACTCTGTGAGTTGAATGCACACATCACAAAGGAGTTTCTGAGAATCATTCTGTCTACTTTTTATACGAAGATATTTCCTTTTCTACCATTGACTTCAAAGCGGCTGAAATCTCCACTTGCAAATTCCACAAAAAGAGTGTTTCAAGTCTGCTCTGTGTAAAGGATCGTTGAACTCTGTGAGTTGAATACACACAACACAAGGAAGTTACTGAGAATTCTTCTCTCTAGCAGAATATGAAGAAATCCCGTTTCCAACGAAGGCCTCAAAGAGGTCTGAATATCCACTTGCAGACTTTACAAACAGAGTGTTTCCTAACTGCTCTATGAAAAGAATGGTAAAACTCTGTGAGTTGAACGCACACATCACAAAGGAGTTTCTGAGAATCATTCTGTCTAGTTTCTATAGGAAGATATTTCCTATTCTACCATTGACCTGAAAGCGGCTGAAATCTCCACTTGCAAATTCCACAAAAAGAGTGTTTCAAGTCTGCTGTGTGTAAAGAATCGTTCAACTCTGTGAGTTGAATACACACAACACAAGGAAGTTACTGAGAATTCTTCTGTCTAACAGAATATGAAGAAATCCCGTTACCAACGAAGGCCACAAGATGTCAGAATATCCACTTACAGAATTTACAAACAGATTGTTTCCTAACTGCTCTATGAAAAGAAAGGTTAAACTCAGTGAGTTGAAAGAACACATCACAACGCAGTTTGTGGGAATGATTCTGTCTAGTTTTGAAACGAAGATATTTCCTTTTCTTCCATTGACCTTAAAGCGCTTGAAATCTCCACTTGCCAATTGCACAAAAAGAGTGTTTCAAATCTGCTCTGTCTAAGGGAACGTTCAACTCTGTGAGTTGAATGTACACAACACAAGGAAGTTACTGGGAATTCTTCTGTCTAGCCTTACAGGAAAAAAATCCGTTTCCAACGAAAGCCTCTAAGTGGTCAAAATATCCACGTGCAGACTTTACAAACAGAGTGTTTCCAAACTGCTGAATGAAAAGAAAAGTTAAACTCTGAGAGTTGAACGCACACATCGCAGAGCAGTTTCTGAGAATGATTCTGTCTAGTTTTGAAACGAAGATATTTCCTTTTCTGCCTTTGGCCTCAAAGCGCTTGAAATCTCCACTTGCAAATTCCACAAAAAGAGTGTTTCAAATCTGCTCTGTGTAAATGAAAGTTCAACTCTGTGAGTTGAACACACACAACACAAGGAAGTTACTGGGAATTCTCTGTCTAGCAGAATATGAAGAAATCCCTTTTCCAACGAAAGCCTCAATGATGTCTGAATATCCACCTGCAGACTTTACAAACAGAGTGTTTCCTAACTGCTCTATGAAAAGAAAGTTTAAACTCTGTGAGTTGAACGCACACATCACAAAGGAGTTTCTGAGAATCATTCTGTCTAGTTTTTATACGAAGATATTTCCTTTTCTACCATGGACCTCAAAGCGGCTGAAATCTCCACTTGCAAATTCCACAAAAAGAGTGTTTCAAGTCTGCTCTGTGTAAAGCATCGTTCAACTCTGTGAGTTGAATACACACAACACCAAGAAGTTACTGAGAATTCTTCTGTCTAGCAGAATACGAAGAAATCCCGTTTCCAACGAAGGCCTCAAAGAGGTCTGAATATCCACTTGCAGACTTTACAAACAGAGTGTTTCCTAACTGCTCTAAGAAAAGAAAGGTTAAACTGTGTGAGTTGAACGCTCACATCACAAAGGAGTTTCTGAGAATCGTTCTGTCTAGTTTTTCTACGAAGATATTTCCTTTTCTACCATTGACCTCAAAGTGGCTGAAATCTCCACTTGCAAATTCCACAAAAAGAGTGTTTCAAGTCTGCTCTGTGTAAAGGATCGTTCAACTCTGTGAGTTGAATACACACAACACAAGGAAGTTACTGAGAATTCTTCTGTCTAGGAGAATATGAAGAAATCCCGTTTCCAACGAAGGCCACAAGATGTCAGAATATCCACTTACAGAATTGACAAACAGACTGTTTCCTAACTGCTCTATGAAAAGAAAGGTTAAACTCTGTGAGTTGAACGAACACATCACAACGCAGTTTGTGGGAATGATTCTGTCTAGTTTTGAAACGAAGATATTTCCTTTTCTGCCACTGACCTTAAAGCGCTTGAAATCTACACTTGCAAATTGCACAAATAGAGTGTTTCAAATCTGCTCTGTCTAAGGGAACGTTCAACTCTGTGAGTTGAATGCACACAACACAAGGAAGTTACTGGGAATTCTTCTGTCTAGCCTTACATGAAAAAAACCCGGTTCCAACGAAGGCCTCTAAGTGGTCAAGTTATCCACGTGCAGACTTTACAAACAGAGTGTTTCCAAACTGCTGAATGAAAAGAAAAGTTAAACTCTGAGAGTTGAACGCACACATCGCAGAGCAGTTTCTGAGAATGATTCTGTCTAGTTTTGAAACGAAGATATTTCCTTTTCTGCCTTTGGCCTCAAAGCGCTTGAAATCTCCACTTGCAAATTCCACAAAAAGAGTGTTTCAAATCTGCTCTGTGTAAATGAAAGTTCAACTCTGTGATTTGAACACACACAACACAAGGAAGTTACTGGGAATTCTTCTGTCTAGCAGAATATGAAGAAATCCCGTTTCCAACGAAGGCCCCAAGGAGGTCTGAATATCCACTTGCAGACTTTACAAACAGAGTGTTTCCTAACTGCTCTATGAACAGAAAGGTTAAACTCTGTGAGTTGAACGCACACATCACAAAGGAGTTTCTGAGAATCATTCTGTCTAGTTTCGATACGAAGATATTCCCTTTTCTACCATTGACCTCAAAGCGGCTGAAATCTCCACTTGCAAATTCCACAAAAAGAGTGTTTCAAGTCTGCTCTGTGTAAAGGATCGTTCAACTCTGTGAGTTGAATACACACAACACAAGGAAGTTATTGAGAATTCTTCTGTCTAGCAGAATATGAAGAAATCCCGTTTCCAACGAAGGCCACAAGATGTCAGAATATCCACTTACAGACTTTACAAACAGAGTGTTTCCTAACTGCTCTATGAACAGAAAGGTTAAACTCTGTGAGTTGAACGAGCACATCACAACGCAGTTTGTGGGAATGATTCTGTCTAGTTTTGAAACGGAGATATTTCCTTTTCTGCCATTGACCTTAAAGCGCTTGAAATCTACACTTGCAAATTGCACAAATAGAGTGTTTCAAATCTGCTCTGTCTAAGGGAACGTTCAACTCTGTGAGTTGAATGCACACAACACAAGGAAGTTACTGGGAATTCTTCTGTCTAGCCTTACAGGAAAAAAACCCGTTTCCAACGAAGGCCTCTAAGTGGTCAAGTTATCCACGTGCAGACTTTACAAACAGAGTGTTTCCAAACTGCTGAATGAAAAGAAAAGTTAAACTCTGAGAGTTGAACGCACACATCGCAGAGCAGTTTCTGAGAATGATTCTGTCTAGTTTTTATACGAAGATATTTCCTTTTCTGCCTTTGGCCTCAAAGCGCTTGAAATCTCCACCTGCAAATTCCACAAAAAGAGTGTTTCAAATCTGCTCTGTGTAAATGAAAGTTCAACTCTGTGAGTTGAACACACACAACACAAGGGAAGTTACTGGGAATTCTTCTTTCTAGCAGAATATGAAGAAATCCCGCTTCCAACGAAGGCCTCAAAGAAGTCTGAATATCCACTTGCAGACTTTACAAACAGAGTGTTTCCCAACTGCTCTATGAAAAGAAAGGTTGAACTCTGTGAGTTGAACGCACACATCACAAAGGAGTTTCTGAGAATCATTCTGTCTAGTTTCTATACGAAGATATTTCCTATTCTACCATTGACCTCAAAGCGGCTGAAATCTCCACTTGCAAATTCCACAAAAAGAGTGTTTCAAGTCTGCTCTGTGTAAAGGATCGTTCAACTCTGTGAGTTGAATACACACAACACAAGGAAGTTACTGAGAAATCTTCTGTCTAGCAGAATATCAAGAAATCCCGTTTCCAACGAAGGCCTCAAGGTGGTCTGAATATCCACTTGCAGACTTTACAAACAGAGTGTTTCCTAACTGCTCTATGAATAGAAAGGTTAAACTCTGTGAGTTGAACGAACACATCACAACGCAGTTTGTGGGAATGATTCTGTCTAGTTTTTATAGGAAGATATTTCCTTTTCTGCCTTTGACTTCAAAGCGGCTGAAATCTCCACTTGCAAATTCCACAAAAAGAGTGTTACAAGTCTGCTCTGTGTAAAGGATCGTTCAACTCTGTGAGGTGAATACACACAACACAAGGAAGTTACTGAGAATTCTTCTGTCTAGCCTTACATGAAAAAAACCCGTTTCCAACGAAGGCCTCTAAGTGGTCAAATTATCCACGTGCAGACTTTAAAAACAGAGTGTTTCCAAACTGCTGAATGAAAAGAAAAGTTAAACTGCTGAGAGTTGAACGCACACATCGCAGAGCAGTTTCTGAGAATGATTTCTGTCTAGTTTTGAAACGAAGATATTTCCTTTTCTGCCTTTGGCCTCAAAGCGCTTGAAATCTCCACTTGCAAATTCCACAAAAAGAGTGTTTCAAATCTGCTCTGTGTAAATGGAAGTTTAACTCTGTGAGTTGAACACACACAACACAAGGAAGTTACTGGGAATTCTTCTGTCTAGAATAATATGAAGAAATCCCGTTTCCAACGAAGGCCTCAAAGAGGTCTGAATATCCACTTGCAGACTTTACAAACAGAGTGTTTCCTAACTGCTCTATGAACAGAAAAGTTAAACTCTGTGAGTTGAACGCACACATCACAAAGGAGTTTCTGAGAATCATTCTGTCTAGTTTTTATACGAAGATATTTCCTTTTCTACCATGGACCTCAAAGCGGCTGAAATCTCCACTTGCAAATTCCACAAAAAGAGTGTGTCAAATCTGCTCTGTGTAAAGGATCGTTCATCTCTGTGAGTTGAATACACAGAACACAAGGAAGTTTCTGAGAATTCTTCTGTCTACCAGAATATGAAGAAATCCCGTTTCCAAAGAAAGCCTCAAGGAGGTCTGAATATCCACTTGCAGACTTTACAAACAGAGTGTTTCCTAACTGCTCTATGAACAGAAAGGTTAAACTCTGTGAGTTGAACGAACACATCACAACGCAGTTTGTGGGAATGATTCTGTCTAGTTTTGAAACGAAGATATTTCCTTTTGTGCCATTGACCTTAAAGCGCTTGAAATCTACACTTGCAAATTGCACAAATAGAGTGTTTCAAATCTGCTCTGTCTAAGGGAACGTTCAACTCTGTGAGTTGAATGCACACAACACAAGGAAGTTACTGGGAATTCTTCTGTCTAGCCTTACATGAAAAAAACCCCTTTCCAACGAAGGCCTCTAAGTGGTCAAAATATCCACGTGCAGACTTTACAACAGAGTGTTTCCAAACCGCTGAATGAAAAGAAAAGTTAAACTCTGAGAGTTGAACGCATACATCACGCAGCAGTTTCTGAGAATGATTCTGTCTAGTTTTTATACGAAGATATTTCCTTTTCTGCCTTTGGCCGCAAAGCGCTTGAAATCTCCACTTGCAAATTCCACAAAAACAGTGTTTCAAATCTGCTCTCTCTAAATGAAAGTTCAACTCTGTCAGTTGAATACACACAACACAAGGTAAGTTACTGAGAATTCTTCTGTCTAGCATAATATGAAGAAATCCCGTTTCCAACGAAGGCCTCAAGAGGTCTGAATATCCACTTGCAGACTTTACAAACAGAGTGTTTCCTAACTGCTCTATGAAAAGAAAAGTTAAACTCTGTGAGTTGAACGCACACATCACATAGGAGTTCCTGAGAATCATTCTGTCTAGTTTCTATAGGAAGATATTTCCTATTCTACCATTGACCACAAAGCGGCTGAAATCTCCACTTGCAAATTCCACAAAAAGAGTTTTTCAAGTCTGCTCTGTGTAAAGGATCATTTAACTCTGTGAGTTGAATACACACAACACAAGGAAGTTACTGAGAATTCTTCTGTATAGCAGAATATGAAGAAATCCCGTTTCCAAAGAAGGCAACAAGATGTCAGTATATCCACTTAGAGACTTTACAAACAGAGTGTTTCCTAACTGCTCTATGAAAAGAAAGGTTAAACCCTGTGAGTTGAACGAAAACATCACAACGCAGTTTGTGGGAATGATTCTGTCTAGTTTTTATATGAAGATATTTCCTTTTCTACCATTGACCACAAAGCGGCTGAAATCACCACTTGCCAATTGCACAAAAAGAGTGTTTCAAATCTGCTCTGTCTAAGGAAACGTTCAACTCTGTGAGTTGAATGTACACAACACAAGGAAGTTACTGGGAATTCTTCTGTCTAGCAGAATTTGAAGAAATCCCGTTTCCAACGAAGGCCTCAAGGAGGTCTGAATATCCACTTGCAGACTTTACAAACAGAGTGTTTCCTAACTGCTATATGAAAAGAAAGGTTAAACTGTGTGAGTTGAACGCACACATCACAAAGGAGTTTCTCAGAATCATTCTGTCTAGTTTTTCTACGAAGATATTTCCTATTCTACCATTGACCTCAAAGCGGCTGAAATCTCCACTTGCAAATTCCACAAAAAGAGTGTTTCAAGTCTGCTCTGTGAAAAGGATCGTTCAACTCTGTGAGTTGAATACACACAACACAAGGAAGTTACTGAGAATTCTTCTGTCTAGCAGAATATGAAGAAATCCCGTTTCCAACGAAGGCCTCAAAGAGGTCTGAATATCCACTTGCAGACTTTACAAACAGAGTGTTTCCTAACTGCTCTATGAAAAGAAAGGTTAAACTCTGTGAGTTGAATGCACACATCACAAAGGAGTTTCTGAGAATCCTTCTGTCCAGTTTTTATACGAAGATATTTCCTTTTCTACCATTGACCTCAACGCGGCTGAAATCTCCACTTGCAAATTCCACAAAAAGGGTGTTTCAAGTCTGCTCTGTGTAAAGGATCGTTCAACTCTGTGAGTTGAATACACACAACACAAGGAAGTTACTGAGAATTCTTCTGTCTAGCAGAATATGAAGAAATCCCGTTTCCAACGAAGGCCACAAGATGTCAGAATATCCACTTACAGAATTTTCAAACAGACTGTTTCCTAACTGCTCTATGAAAAGAAAGGTTAAACTCTGTGAGTTGAACGAACACATCACAACGCAGTTTGCGGGAATGATTCTGTCTAGTTTTTATACGAAGATATTTCCTTTTCTACCATTGACCTCAAAGCGGTTGAAATCAACACTTGCCAATTGCACAAAAAGAGTGTTTCAAATCTGCTCTGTCTAAGGGAACGTTCAACTCTGTGAGTAGAATGTACACAACACAAAGAAGTTACTGGGAATTCTTCTGTCTAGCATAATATGAAGAAATCCCGTTTCCAACGAAGTCCTAAAGGAGGTCTCAATATCCACTTGCAGACTTTACAAACAGAGTGTTTCCTAACTGCTCTATGAAAAGAAAGGTTAAACTCTGTGAGTTGAACGCACACATCACAAAGGAGTTTCTGAGAATCATTCTGTCTAGTTTGTATAAGAAGATATTTCCTATTCTACCATTGACCTCAAAGCGGCTGAAATCTCCACTTGCAAATTCGACAAAAAGAGTGTTTCAAGCCTGCTCTCTGTAAAGGATCCTTCAACTCTGTGAGTTGAATACACACAACACAAGGAAGTTACTGAGAATTCTTCTGTCTAGCATAATATGAAGAAATCCCGTTTCCAACGAAGACCTCAAAGGGGTCTGAATATCCACTTGCAGACTTTATAAACAGAGTGTTTCCTAACTGCTCTATGAAAAGAAAGGTTAAACTCTGTGAGTTGAACACACACATCACAAAGGAGTTTCTGAGAATCATTCTGTCTAGTCTTTATATGAAGATAGTTTCCTTTTCAACCATTGACCTCAAAGCGGCTGAAATCTCCACTTGCAAATTCCACAAAAAGAGTGTTTCAAGTCTGCTCTGTGTAAAGGATCGTTCAACTGTGTGAGTTGAATACACACAACACAAGGAAGTTACTGAGAATTCTTCTGTCTAGCAGAATATGAAGAAATCCCGTTTCCAACGAAGGCCTCAAGGAGGTCTGAATATCCACTTGCAGACTTTACAAACAGAGTGTTTCCTAACTGCTCTATGAACAGAAAGGTTAAACTCTGTGAGTTGAACGAACACATCACAACGCCGTTTGTGGGAATGATTCTGTCTAGTTTTGAAACGAAGATATTTCCTTTTCTGCCATTGACCTTAAAGCGCTTGAAATCTCCACTTGCCGATTGCACAAAAAGAGTGTTTCAAATCTGCTCTGTCTAAGGGAACGTTCAACTCTGTGAGTTGAATCTACACAACACAAGGAAGTTACTGGGAATTCTTCTGTCTAGCCTTACAAGAAAAAAACCCGTTTCCAACGAAGGCCTCTAAATGGTCAAAATATCCACGTGCAGACTTTACAAACAGAGTGTTTCCAAACTTCTGAATGAAAAGAAAAGTTAAACTCTGAGAGTTGAACGCACACATCGCAGAGCAGTTTCTGAGAATGATTCTGTCTAGTTTTTATACGAAGATATTTCCTTTTCTGCCTTTGGCCTCAAAGCGCTTAAAATCTCCATTTGCAAATTCCACAAAAAGAGTGTTTCAAATCTGCTCTGTGTAAATGAAAGTTCAACTCTGTGAGTTGAACACACACAACACAAGGAAGTTACTGGGAATTCTTCTGTCTAGCAGAATAGGAAGAAATCCCGTTTCCAACGAAGGCCTCAAGGAGGTCTGAATATCCACTTGCAGACTTTACAAACAGAGTGTTTCCTAACTGCTCTATGAAAAGAAAGGTTAAACTCTGTGAGTTGAACGCACACATCACAAAGGAGTTTCTGAGAATCATTCTGTCTAGTTTCTATAGGAAGATATTTCCTATTCTACCATTGACCTCAAAGCGGCTGAAATCTCCACTTGCAAATTCCACAAAAAGAGTGTTTCAAGTCTGTTCTGTGTAAAGGATCATTCAACTCTGTGATTTGAATACACACAACACAAGGAAGTTACTGAGAATTCTTCTGTATAGCAGAATATGAAGAAATCCCGTTTCCAACGAAAGCCTCGAAGATGTCTGAATATCCACTTGCAGACTTTACAAACAGAGTGTTTCCTAACTGCTCTATGAGAAGAAAGGTTAAACTCTGTGAGTTGAACGCACACATCACAAAGGAGTTTCTGAGAATCGTTCTGTCTAGTTTTGAAACGAAGATATTTCCTTTTCTGCCATTGACCTTAAAGCGCTTGAAATCTCCACTTGCCAATTGCACAAAAAGAGTGTTTCAAATCTGCTCTGTCTAAGGGAACGTTCAATTCTGTGAGTTGAATGTACACAACACAAGGAAGTTACTGGGAATTCTTCTGTCTAGCCTTACATGAAAAAAACCCGTTTCCAACGAAGGCCTCTAAGTGGTCAAAATTTCCACGTGCAGACTTTACAAACGGAGTGTTTCCAAACGGCTGAATGAAAAGAAAAGTTAAACTCTGAGAGTTGAACGCACACATCACGCAGCAGTTTCTGAGAATGATTCTGTCTAGTTTTTATACGAAGATATTTCCTTTTCTGCCTTTGGCCCCAAAGCGCTTGAAATCTCCACTTGCAAATTCCACAAAAACAGTGTTTCAAATCTGCTCTCTCCAAATGAAAGTTCAACTCTGTCAGTTGAATACACACAACACAAGGAAGTTACTGAGAATTCTTCTGTCTAGCATAATATGAAGAAATCCCGTTTCCAACGAAGGCCTCAAAGGGGTCTGAATATCCACTTGCAGACTTTATAAACAGAGTGTTTACTAACTGCTCTATGAAAAGAAAGGTTAAACTCTGTGAGTTGAACACACACATCACAAACGAGTTTCTGAGAATCATTCTGTCTAGTTTCTATAGGAAGATATTTCCTATTCTACCATTGACCTCAAAGCGGCTGAAATCTCCACTTGCAAATTCCACAAAAAGAGTGTTTCAAGACTGTTCTGTGTAAAGGATCATTCAACTCTGTGAGTTAAATACACACAACACAAGGAAGTTACTGAGAATTCTTCTGTCTAGCCTTATATGAAAAAAACCCGTTTCCAACGAAGGCCTCAAAGAGGTCTGAATATCCACTTGCAGACTTTACAAACAGAGTGTTTCCTAACTGCTCTATGAAAAGAAAGGTTAAACTCTGTCAGTTGAACGCACACATCACAAAGGAGTTTCTGAGAATTATTCTGTCTAGTTTCTATAGGAAGATGTTTCCTATTCTACCATTGACCTCAAAGCGGCTGAAATCTCCCCTTGCAAATTCCACAACAAGAGTGTTTCAAGTATGCTCTGTGTAAAGGATCGTTCAACTCTGTGAGTTGAATACACACAACACAAGGAAGTTACTGAGAATTCTTCTGTCAAGCAGAATATGAAGAAATCCCGCTTCCAACGAAGGCCTCAAAGAAGTCTGAATATCCACTTGCAGACTTTACAAACAGAGTGTTTCCCAACTGCTCTATGAAAAGAAAGGTTGAACTCTGTGAGTTGAACGCACACATCACAAAGGAGTTTCTGAGAATCATTCTGTCTAGTTTTGAAACGAAGATATTTCCTTTTCTGCCATTGACCTTAAAGCGCTTGAAATCTCCACTTGCCAATTGCACAAAAAGAGTGTTTCAAATCTGCTCTGTCAAAGGGAACGTTCAACTCTGTGAGTTGAATGTACACAACACAAGGAAGTTACTGGGAATTCTTCTGTCTAGCCTTACATGAACAAAACCCGTTTCCAACGAAGGCCTCTAAGTGGTCAAATTATCCACGTGCAGACTTTACAAACAGAGTGTTTCCAAACTGCTGAATGAAAAGAAAAGTTAAACTCTGAGACTTGAACGCACACATCGCAGAGCAGTTTCTGAGAATGATTCTGTCTAGTTTTGAAACAAAGATATTTCCTTTTCTGCCTTTGGCCTCAAAGCGCTTGAAATCTCCACTTGCAAATTCCACAAAAAGAGTGTTTCAAATCTGCTCTGTGTAAATGAAAGTTCAACTCTGTGAGTTGAACACACACAACACAAGGAAGTTACTGGGAATTCTTCTGTCTAGCATAGTATGAAGAAATCCCGTTACCAACGAAGGCCTCAAAGAGGTCTGAATATCCACTTGCAGAGTTTACAAACAGAGTGTTTCCTAACTGCTCTATGAAAAGAAAGGTTAAACTCTGTGAGTTGAACGCACACATCACAAAGAAGTTTCTGAGAATCATTCTGTCTAGTTTCTATATGAAGATATTTCCTATTCTACCATTGACCTCAAAGCGGCTGAAATCTCCACTTGCAAATTCCACAAAAAGAGTGTTTCAAGTCTGCTCTGTGTAAAGGATCGTTCAACTCTGTGAGTTGAAAACACACAACACAAGGAAGTTTCTGAGAATTCTTCTGTCTAGCATAATATGTAGAAATCCCGTTTCCAACGAAGGCCTCATAGAGGTCTGAATATCCACATGCAGACTTTACAAACAGAGTGTTTCCTAACTGCTCTATGAGAAGAAAAGTTAAACTCTGTGAGTTGAACGCACACATCACAAAAGATTTTCTGAGAATCATTCTGTCTGGTTTTTATACGAAGATATTTCCTTTTCTACCATTGACCTCAACGCGGCTGAAATCTCCACTTGCAAATTCCACAAAAAGTGTGTTTCAAGTCCGCTCTGTGTAAAGGATCGTTCAACTCTGTGAGTTGAATACACACAACACAAGGAAGTTACTGAGAATTCTTCTGTCTAGCACAGTATGAAGAAATCCCGTTTCCAACGAAGGCCTCAAAGAGGTCTGAATATCCACTTGCAGACTTTACAAGCAGAGTGTTTCCTAACTGCTCTATGAAAAGAAAGGTTAAACTCTGTGAGTTGAACGCACACATCACAAAGGAGTTTCTGAGAATCATTCTGTCTAGTTTTGAAACGAAGATGTTTCCTTTTCTGCCATTGACCTTAAAGCGCTTGAAATCTCCACTTGCCAATTGCACAAAAAGAGTGTTTCAAATCTGCTCTGTCTAAGGGAACGTTCAACTGCTTGTGAGTTGAATGTACACAACACAAGGATAGTTACTGGGAATTCTTCTGTCTAGCCTTACAGGAAAAAAACCCGTTTGCAACGAAGGCCTCTAAGTGGTCAAAATATCCACGTGCAGACATTACAAACAGAGTGTTTCCAAACTGCTGAATGAAAAGAAAAGTTAAACTCTGAGAGTTGAACGCACACATCGCAGAGCAGTTTCTGAGAATGATTCTGTCTAGTTTTTATACGAAGATATTTCCTTTTCTGCCTTTGGCCTCAAAGCGCTTGTAATCTCCGCTTGCAAATTCCACAAAAAGAGTGTTTCAAATCTGCTCTGTCTAAATGAGAGTTCAACTCTGTCAGTTGACTACACACAACACAAGGAAGTTACTGAAAATTCTTCTGTCTAGCATAATATGAAGAAATCCCGTTTCCAACGAAGGCCTCAAAGAGGTCTGAATATCCACTTGCAGACTTTACAAATAGAGTGTTTCCTAACTGCTCTATGAAAAGAAAAGTTAAACTCTGTGAGTTGAACGCACACATCACAAAGGAGTTTCTGAGAATCATTCTGTCTAGTTTTTCTACGAAGATATTTCCTTTTCTACTATTGACCTAAAAGCGGCTGAAATCTCCACTTGCAAATTCCACAAAAAGAGTGTTTCAAGTCTGCTCTGTGTAAAGGATCGTTCAACTCTGTGAGTTGAATACACACAACACAAGGAAGTTACTGAGAACTCTTCTGTCTACCAGAAAATGAAGAAATCCCGTTTCCAACGAAGGCCTCAAGGAGGTCTGAATATCCACTTGCAGACTTTACAAACAGAGTGTTTCCTAACTGCTCTATGAACAGAAAGGTTAAACTCTGTGAGTCGAACGAACACATCACAACGCAGTTTGTGGGAATGATTCTGTCTAGTTTTGAAACGAAGATATTTCCTTTTCTGCCATTGACCTTAAAGCGCTTGAAATCTCCACTTGCCAATTGCACAAAAAGAGAGTTTCAAATCTGCTCTGTCTAAGGGAACGTTCAACTCTGTGAGTTGAATGTACACAACACAAGGAAGTTACTGGGAATTCTTCTGTCTAGCCTTACATTAAAAAAACCCGTTTCCAACGAAGGCCTCTAAGTGGTCAAGTTATCCACGTGCAGACTTTACAAACAGAGTGTTTCCAAACTGCTGAATGAAAAGAAAAGTTAAACTCTGAGAGTTGAACGCACACATCGCAGAGCAGTTTCTGAGAATGATTCTGTCTAGTTTTTATACGAAGATATTTCCTTTTCTGCCTTTGGCCCCAAAGCGCTGGAAATCTCCACTTGCAAATTCCACAAAAACAGTGTTTCAAATCTGCTCTCTCTAAATGAAAGTTCAACTCTGTCAGTTGAATACACACAACACAAGGAAGTTACTGAGAATTCTTCTGTCTAGCAGAATATGAAGAAATCCCGTTTCCAACGAAGGCCTCAAAGAGGTCTTAATATCCACTTGCAGACTTTACAAACAGAGTGTTTCCTAACTGCTCTATGAAACGAAAGGTTAAACTCTGTGAGTTGAACGCACACATCACAAAGGAGTTTCTGAGAATCATTCTGTCTAATTTTTATACGAAGATATTTCCTTTCCTACCATTGACCTCAAAGCGGCTGAAATCTCCACTTGCAAATTCCACAAAAAGAGTGTTTCAAGTCTGCTCTGTGTAAACGATCGTTCAACTCTGTGAGTTGAATACACACAACCCAAGGAAGTTTCTGAGAATTCTTCTGTCTAGCAGAATATGAAGAAATCCCGTTTCCAACGAAGGCCACAAGATGTCAGAATATCCACTTACAGAATTTACAAACAGACTGTTTCCTAACTGCTCTATGAAAAGAAAGGTTAAACTCTGTGAGTTGAACAAACACATCACAACGCAGTTTGTGGGAATGATTCTGTCTAGTTTTTATAGGAAGATATTTCCTTTTCTACCTTTGACTTCAAAGCGGCTGAAATCTCCACTTGCAAATTCCACAAAAAGAGTGTTACAAGACTGCTCTGTGTAAAGGATCGTTCAACTCTGTGAGTTGAATACACACAACACAAGGAAGTTACTGAGAATTCTTCTGTCTAGCCTTACATGAAAAAAACCCGTTTCCATCGAAGACCTCTAAGTGGTCAAATTATGCACGTGCAGACTTTACAAACAGAGTGTTTCCAAACTGCTGAATGAAAAGAAAAGTTAAACTCTGAGAGTTGAACGCACACATCACAGAGCAGTTTCTGAGAATGATTTCTGTCTAGTTTTTATACGAAGATATTTCCTTTTCTGCCTTTGGCCCCAAAGCGCTTGAAATCTCCACTTGCAAATTCCACAAAAACAGTGTTTCAAATCTGCTCTCTCTAAATGAAAGTTCAACTCTGTCAGTTGAATAAACACAACACAAGGAAGTTACTGAGAATTCTTCTGTCTAGCATAATATGAAGAAATCCCGTTTCCAACGAAGGCCTCAAGGAGGTCTGAATATCCACTTGCAGACTTTACAAACAGAGTGTTTCCTAACTGCTCTATGAAAAGAAAGGTTAAACTCTGTGAGTTGAACGCAGACATCACAAAGGAGTTTCTGAGAATCACTCTGTCTAGTTTTTATAGGAAGATATTTCCTTTTCTACCTTTGACTTCAAAGCGGCTGAAATCTCCACTTGCAAATTCCACAAAAAGAGTGTTTCAAGTCTGCTCTGTGTAAAGGATCGTTCAACTCTGTGAGTTGAATACACACAACACAAGGGAAGATTCTGAGAATTCTTCTGTCTAGCAGAATATGAAGAAATCCCGTTTCCAACGAAGGCCACAAGATGTCAGAATATCCACTTACAGAATTTACAAACAGACTGTTTCCTAACTGCTCTATGAAAAGAAAGGTTAAACTTCTGTGAGTTGAACGAACACATCACAACGCAGTTTGTGGGAATGATTTCTGTCTAGTTTTGAAACGAAGAAATTTCCTTTTCTGCCATTGACCTTAAAGCGCTTGAAATCTACACTTGCAAATTGCACAAATAGAGTGTTTCAAATCTGCTCTGTCTAAGGGAACGTTCAACTCTGTGAGTTGAATGCACACAACACAAGGAAGTTACTGGGAATTCTTCTGTCTAGCCTTACATGAAAAAAAACCCGTTTCCAACGAAGGCCTCTAAGTGGTCAAAATATCCAAGTGCAGACTTTACAAACAGAGTGTTTCCAAACCGCTGAATGAAAAGAAAAGTTAAACTCTGAGAGTTGAACGCACACATCACGCAGCAGTTTCTGAGAATGATTCTGTCTAGTTTTTATACGAAGATATTTCCTTTTCTTCCTTTGGCCCCAAAGCGCTTGAAATCTCCACTTGCAAATTCCACAAAAACAGTGTTTCAAATCTGCTATCTCTAAATGAAAGTTCAACTCTGTCAGTTGAATACACACAACACAAGGAAGTTACTGAGAATTCTTCTGTCTAGCATAATATGAAGAAATCCCGTTTCCAACGAAGGCCTCAAAGAGGTCTGAATATCCACTTGCAGACTTTAAAAACAGAGTGTTTCCTAACTACTCTAGGAAAAGAAAGGTTAAACACTGTGAGTTGAACGCACACATCACAAAGGAGTTTCTGAGAATCATTCTGTCTAGTTTTTATACGAAGATATTTCCTTTTCTACCATTGACCTCAAAGCGGCTGAAATCTCCACCCTGCCAATTCCACAAAAAGAGTGTTTCAAGTCTACTCTCTGTAAAGGATCGTTGAACTCTGTGAGTTGAAAACACACAACAGAACGAAGTTTCTGAGAATTCTTCTGTCTAGCAGAATATGAAGAAATCCCGTTTCCAACGAAGGCCACAAGATGTCAGAATATCCACTTACAGACTTTACAAACAGAGTGTTTCCTAACTGCTCTATGAACAGAAAGGTTAAACTCTGTGAGTTGAACGAACACATCACAACGCAGTTTGTTGGAATGATTCTGTCTAGTTTTGAAACGAAGATATTTCCTTTTCTGCCATTGATCTTAAAGCGCTTGAAATCTCCATTTGCCAATTGCACAAAAAGAGTGTTTCAAATCTGCTCTGTCTAAGGGAACGTTCAACTCTGTGAGTTGAATGTACACAACACAAGGAAGTTACTGGGAATTCTTCTGTCTAGCCTTACAGGAAAAAAACCCGTTTCCAACGAAGGCCTCTAAGTGGTCAAAATATCCACGTGCAGACTTTACAAACAGAGTGTTTCCAAACTGCTGAATGAAAAGAAAAGTTAAACTCTGAGAGTTGAAGGCACACATCGCAGAGCAGTTTCTGAGAATGATTCTGTCTAGTTTTGAAACGAAGATATTTCCTTTTCTGCCTTTGGCCTCAAAGCGCTTGAAATCTCCACTTGCAAATTCCACAAAAAGAGTGTTTCAAATCTACTCTGTGTAAATGAAAGTTCAACTCTGTGAGTTGAACACACACAACAGAAGGAAGTTACTGGGAATTCTTCTGTCTAGCATAGTATGAAGAAATCCCGTTTCCAACGAAGGCCTCAAAGAGGTCTGAATATCCACTTGCAGAGTTTACAAACAGAGTGTTTCCTAACTGCTCTATGAAAAGAAAGGTTAAACTCTGTGAGTTGAACGCACACATCGCAAAGAAGTTTCTGAGAATCATTCTGTCTGGTTTCTATAGGAAGATATTTCCTATTCTACCATTGACCTCAAAGCGGCTGAAATCTCCACTTGCAAATTCCACAAAAAGAGTGTTTCAAGTCTACTCTGTGTAAAGGATCGTTCAACTCTGTGAGTTGAATACACACAACACAAGGAAGTTACTGAGAATTCTTCTGTCTAGAAGAATATGAAGAAATCCCGCTTCCAAAGAAGGCCTCAAAGAGGTCTGAATATCCACTTGCAGACTTTACAAACAGAGTGTTTCCCAACTGCTCTATGAAAAGAAAGGTTGAACTCTGTGAGTTGAACGCACACATCACAAAGGAGTTTCTGAGAATCATTCTGTCTAGTCTTTATACGAAGATATTTCCTTTTCTACCATTGACCTCAAAACGGCTGAAATCTCCACTTGCAAATTTCACAAAAAGAGTGTTTCAAGTCTGCTCTGTGTAAAGGATCGTTCAACTCTGTGAGTTGAATACACACAACACAAGGAAGTTACTGAGAATTCTTCTGTCTAGCAGAATATGAAGAAATCCCGTTTCCAACGAAGGCCTCAAGGAGGTCTGAATATCCACTTGCAGACTTTACAAACAGAGTGTTTCCTAAATGCTCTATGAACAGAAAGGTTAAACTCTGTGAGTTGAACGAACACATCACAACGCAGTTTGTGGGAATGATTCTGTCTAGTTTTGAAACGAAGATATTTCCTTTTCTGCCATTGACCTTAAAGCGCTTGGAATCTACACTTGCAAATTGCACAAATAGAGTGTTTCAAATCTGCTCTGTCTAAGGGAACGTTCAACTCTGTGAGTTGAATGCACACAACACAAGGAAGTTACTGGGAATTCTTCTGTCTAGCCTTACAGGAAAGAAACCCGTTTCCAACGAAGGCCTCTAAGTGGTCAAAATATCCACGTGCAGACTTTACAAACAGAGTGTTTCCAAACTGCTGAATGAAAAGAAAAGTTAAACTCTGAGAGTTGAACGCACACATCGCAGAGTAGTTTCTGAGAATGATTCTGTCTAGTTTCTATAGGAAGATATTTCCTATTCTACCATTGACCTCAAAGCGGCTGAAATCTCCACTTGCAAATTCCACAAAAACAGTGTTTCAAATCTGCTCTCTCTAAATGAAAGTTCAACTCTGTGAGTTGAATACACACAACACAAGGAAGTTACTGAGAATTATTCTGTCTAGCAGAATATGAAGAAATCCCGTTTCCAACGAAGGCCTCAAAGAGGTCTGAATATCCACTTGCAGACTTTACAAACAGAGTGTTTCCTAACTGCTCTATGAACAGAAAGGTTAAACTCTGTGAGTTGAACGCACACATCACAAAGGAGTTTCTGAGAATCATTCTGTCTATTTTCTATAGGAAGATATTTCCTATTCTACCATTGACCTCAAAGCGGCTGAAATCTCCACTTGCAAATTCCACAAAAAGAGTGTTTCAAGTCTGCTCTGTGTAAAGGATCGTTCAACTCTGTGAGTTGAATACACACAACACAAGGAAGTTACTGATAATTCTTCTGTCTAGCAGAATATGAAGAAATCCCGTTTCCAACGAAGGCCACAAGATGTCAGAATATCCACTTACAGAATTTACAAACAGACTGTTTCCTAACTGCTCTATGAAAAGAAAGGTTAAACTCTGTGAGTTGAACGCACACATCACAATGAAGTTTCTGAGAATCATTCTGTCTAGTTTTGAAACGAAGATATTTCCTTTTCTGCCATTGACCTTAAATCGCTTGAAATCTCCATTTGCCAATTGCACAAAAAGAGTGTTTCAAATCTGCTCTGTCTAAGGGAACGTTCAACTCTGTGAGTTGAATGTACACAACACAAGGAAGTTACTGGGAATTCTTCTGTCTAGTTGAATATGAAGAAATCCCGCTTCCAACGAAGGCCTCAAAGAAGTCTGAATATCCACTTGCAGACTTTACAAACAGAGTGTTTCCCAACTGCTCTATGAAAAGAAAGGTTGAACTCTGTGCGTTGAACGCACACATCACAAAGGAGTTTCTGAGAATCATTCTGTCTAGTTTTTATACGAAGATATTTCTTTTTCTACCATTGACCTCAAAGCGGCTGAAATCTCCACCCTGCCAATTCCACAAAAAGAGTGTTTCAAGTCTACTCTGTGTAAAGGATCGTTGAACTCTGTGATTTGAAAACACACAACACATCGAAGTTTCTGAGAATTCTTCTGTCTAGCAGAATATGAAGAAATCCCGCTTCCAACGAAGGCCTCAAAGAAGTCTGAATATGCATTTGCAGAATTTACAAACAGAGTGTTTCCCAACTGCTCTATGAAAAGAAAGGTTGAACTCTGTGAGTTGAACGCACACATCACAAAGGAGTTTCTGAGAATCATTCTGTCTAGTTTTTATACGAAGATATTTCCTTTTCTACCATTGACCTCAAAGCGGCTGAAATCTCCACTTGCAAATTCTACAAAAAGAGTTTTTCAAGTCTACTCTGTGTAAAGGATCGTTCAACTCTGTGAGTTGAAAACACACAACACAACGAAGTTTCTGAGAATTCTTCTGTCTAGCAGAATATGAAGAAATCCCGTTTCCAACGAAGGCCACAAGATGTCAGAATATCCACTTACAGAATTTACAAACAGACTGTTTCCTAACTGCTCTATGAAAAGAAAGGTTAAACTCTGTGAGATGAACGAACACATCACAACGCAGTTTGTGGGAATGATTCTGTCTAGTTTTGAAACGAAGATATTTCCTTTTCTGCCATTGACCTTAAAGCGCTTGAAATCTCCATTTGCCAATTGCAGAAAAAGAGTCTTTCAAATCTGCTCTGTCTAAGGGAACGTTCAACTCTGTGAGTTGAATGTACACAACACAAGGAAGTTACTGGGAATTCTTCTGTCTAGCCTTACATGAAGAAAACCCGTTTCCAACGAAGGCCTCTAAGAGGTCAAAATATCCACGTGCAGACTTTACAAAGAGAGTGTTTCCAAACCGCTGAATGAAAAGAAAAGTTAAACTCTGAGAGTTGAACGCAGACATCACGCAGCAGTTTCTGAGAATGATTCTGTCTAGTTTTTATACGAAGATATTTCCTTTTCTGCCTTTGGCCCTAAAGCGCTTGAAATCTCCAATTGCAAATTCCACAAAAACAGTGTTTCAAATCTGCTCTCTCTAAATGAACGTTCAACTCTCTCAGTTGAATACACACAACACAAGGAAGTTACTGAGAATTATTCTGTCTAGCCTTATATGAAAAAATCCCGTTTCCAACGAAGGCCTCAAAGAGGTCTGAATATCCACTTGCAGACTTTACAAACAGAGTGTTTCCTAACTGCTCTATGAAAAGAAAGGTTAAACTCTGTGAGTTGAACGCACACACCACAAAGGAGTTTCTGAGAATCATTCTGTCTAGTTTTTCTACGAAGACATTTCCTTTTCTACTATTGACCTCAAAGCGGCTGAAATCTCCACTTGCAAATTCCACAAAAAGAGTGTTTCAAGTCTGCTCTGTGTAAAGGATCGTTCAACTCTGTGAGTTGAATACACACAACACAAGGAAGTTACTGAGAATTGTTCTGTCTAGCAGAATATGAAGAAATCCCGTTTCCAACGAAGGCCACAAGATGTCAGAATATCCCCTTACAGAATTTACCAAACAGACTGTTTCCTAACTGCTCTATGAAAAGAAAGGTTAAACTCTGTGAGTTGAACGAACACCATCACAACGCAGTTTGTGGGAATGATTCTGTCTAGTTTTTATAGGAAGATATTTCCTTTTCTACCTTTGACTTCAAAGCGGCTGAAATCTCCACTTGCAAATTCCACAAAAAGAGTGTTCCAAGTCTGCTCTGTGTAAAGGATCGTTCAACTGTGTGAGTTGAATACACACAACACAAGGAAGTTACTGAGAATTCTTCTGTCTAGCCTTACATGAAAAAAACCCGTTTCCAACGAAGGCCTCTAAGTGGTCAAATTATCCACGTGCAGACTTTACAAACAGAGTGTTTCCAAACTGCTGAATGAAAAGCAAATTTAAACTCTGAGAGTTGAACGCACACATCGCAGAGCAGTTTCTTGGAATGATTCTGTCTAGTTTTGAAACGAAGATATTTCCTTTTCTGCCTTTGGCCTCAAAGCGCTTGAAATCTCCATTTGCAAATTCCACAAAAAGAGTCTTTCAAATCTGATCTGTGTAAATGAAAGTTCAACTCTGTGAGTTGAACACACACAACACAAGGATGTTACTGGGAATTCTTCTGTCTAGCCTTATAGGAAAAAAACCTGTTTCCAACGAAGGCCTCAAAGAGGTCTGAATATCCACTTGCAGACTTTACAAACAGAGTGTTTCCTAACTGCTCTATGAAAAGAAAGGTTAAACTCTGTGAGTTGAACGCACACATCACAAAGGAGTTTCTGAGAATCATTCTGTCTAGTCTTTATACGAAGATATTTCCTTTTCTACCATTGACATCAAAGCGGCTGAAATCTCCACTTGCAAATTCCACAAAAAGAGTGTTTCAAGTCTGCTCTGTGTAAAGGATCGTTCAACTCTGTGTGTTGAATACACACAACACAAGGAAGTTACTGAGAATTCTTCTGTCTAGCACAATATGAAGAAATCCCGTTTCCAACGAAGGCCACAAGATGTCAGAATATCCACTTACAGACTTTACAAACACAGTGTTTCCTAACTGCTCTATGAACAGAAAGGTTAAACTCTGTGAGTTGAACGAACATATCACAACGCAGTTTGTGGGAATGATTCTGTCTAGTTTTGAAACGAAGATATTTCCTTTTCTGCCGTTGACCTTAAAGCGCTTGAAATCTACACTTGCAAATTGCACAAATAGAGTGTTTCAAATCTGCTCTGTCTAAAGGAACGTTCAACTCTGTGAGTTGAATGCACACAACACAAGGAAGTTACTGGGAATTCTTCTGTCTAGCCTTACATGAAGAAAACCCGTTTCCAAAGAAGGCCTCTAAGTGGTCAAAATATCCACGTGCAGACTTTACAAACAGAGTGTTTCCAAACCGCTGAATGAAAAGAAAAGTTAAACTCTGAGAGTTGAACGCACACATCACGCAGCAGTTTCTGAGAATGATTCTGTCTAGTTTTTCTACGAAGATATTTCCTTTTCTACTATTGACCTCAAAGCGGCTGAAATCTCCACTTGCAAATTCCACAAAAAGAGTGTTTCAAGTGTGCTCTGTGTAAAGGATCGTTCAACTCTGTGAGTTGAATACACACAACACAAGGAAGTTACTGAGAATTCTTCTGTCTAGCATTATATGAAGAAATCCCGTTTCCAACGAAGGCCTCAAGGAGGTCTGAATATCCACTTGCAGACTTTACAAACAGAGTGTTTCCCAACTGCTCTATGAAAAGAAAGGTTAAACTCTGTGAGTTGAACGCACACATCACAAAGGAGTTTCTGAGAATCATTCTGTCTAGTTTCTATATGAAGATATTTCCTATTCTACCATTGACCTGAAAGCGGCTGAAATCTCCACTTGCAAATTCCACAAAAAGAATGTTTCAAGTCTGCTCTGTGTAAAGGATCGTTCAACTCTGTGAGTTGAATACACACAACACAAGGAAGTTACTGAGAATTCTTCTGTCTAGCAGAATATGAAGAAATCCCGTTTCCAACGAAGGCCACAAGATGTCAGAATATCCACTTACAGACTTTAGAAATAGAGTGTTTCCTAACTGCTCTATGAACAGAAAGGTTAAACTCTGTGAGTTGAACGAACACATCACAACGCAGTTTGTGGGAATGATTCTGTCTAGTTTTGAAACGAAGATATTTCCTTTTCTGCCATTGACCTTAAAGCGCTTGACATCTACACTTGCAAATTGCACAAATAGAGTGTTTCAAATCTGCTCTGTCTAAGGGAACGTTCAACTCTGTGAGTTGAATGCACACAACACAAGGAAGTTACTGGGAATTCTTCTGTCTAGCAGAACATGAAGAAATCCCGTTTCCAACGAAGGCCTCAAAGATGTCTCAATATCCACTTGCAGACTTTACAAACAGAGTGTTTCCTAACTGCTCTATGAAAAGAAAGGTTAAACTCTGTGAGTTGAACGCACACATCACGAAGGAGTTTCTGAGAATCATTCTGTCTAGTTTTTATAGGAAGATATTTCCTTTTCTACCTTTGATTCAAAGCGGCTGAAATCTCCACTTGCAAATTCCACAAAAAGAGTGTTACAAGTCTGCTCTGTGTAAAGGATCGTTCAACTCTGTGAGTTGAATACACACAACACAAGGAAGTTACTGAGAATTCTTCTGTCTAGCACAGTATGAAGAAATCCCGTTTCCAACGAAGGCCTCAAAGAGGTCTGAATATCCACTTGCAGAGTTTACAAACAGAGTGTTTCCTAACTGCTCTATGAAAAGAAAGGTTAAACTCTGTGAGTTGAACGCACACATCACAATGAAGTTTCTGAGAATCATTCTGTCTAGTTTCTATAGGAAGATATTTCCTATTCTACCATTGACCTCAAAGCGGCTGAAATCTCCACTTGCAAATTCCACAAAAAGAGTGTTTCAAGTCTGCTCTCTGTAAAGGATCGTTCAACTCTGTGAGTTGAATACACACAACACAAGGAAGTTACTTAGAATTCTTCTGTCTAGCAGAATATGAAGAAATCCCGTTTCCAACGAAGGCCACAAGAGGTCAGAATATCCACTTACAGACTTTACAAACAGAGTGTTTCCTAACTGCTCTATGAACAGAAAGGTTAAACTCTGTGAGTTGAACGAACACATCACAACGCAGTTTGTGGGAATGATTCTGTCTAGTTTTGAAACGAAGATATTCCCTTTTCTGCCATTGACCTTAAAGCGCTTGAAATCTACACTTGCAAATTGCACAAATAGAGTGTTTCAAATCTGCTCTGTCTAAGGGAACGTTCAACTCTGTGAGTTGAATGCACACAACACAAGGAAGTTACTGGGAATTCTTCGGTCTAGCCTTACATGAAAAAATCCCGTTTCCAACGAAGGCCTCTAAGTGGTCAAAATATCCACGTGCAGACTTTATAAACAGAGTGTTTCCAAACTGCTGAATGAAAAGAAAAGATACACTCTGAGAGTTGAACGCACACATCGCAGAGCAGTTTCTGAGAATCATTCTGTCTAGTTTTTATACGAAGATATTTCCTTTTCTGCCTTTGACCTCAAAGCGCTTGAAATCTCCATTTGCAAATTCCACAAAAAGAGTGTTTCAAATCTGCTCTGTGTAAATGAAAGTTCAACTCTGTGAGTTGAACACACACAACACAAGGAAGTTACTGGGAATTCTTCTGTCTAGCCTTATATGAAAAAAACCCGTTTCCAACGAAGGCCTCAAAGAGGTCTGAATATCCACTTGCAGACTTTACAAACAGAGTGTTTCCTAACTGCTCTATGAAAAGAAAGGTTAAACTTTGTGAGTTGAACACACACATCACAAAGGAGTTTCTGAGAATCATTCTGTCTAGTCTTTATACGAAGATATTTCCTTTTCTACCATTGACCTCAAATCGTCTGAAATCTCCACTTGCAAATTACACAAAAAGAGTGTTTCAAGTCTGCTCTGTGTAAAGGATCGTTCAACTCTGTGAGTTGAATACACACAACACAAGGAAGTTACTGAGAATTCTTCTGTCTAGCAGAATATGAAGAAATCCCGTTTCCAACGAAGGCCACAAGATGTCAGAATATCCACTTACAGGCTTTACAAACAGAGTGTTTCCTAACTGCTCTATGAACAGAAAGGTTAAACTCTGTGAGTTGAACGAACACATCACAACGCAGTTTGTGGGAATGATTCTGTCTAGTTTTGAAACGAAGATATTTCCTTTTCTGCCATTGACCTTAAAGCGCTTGAAATCTACACTTGCAAATTGCACAAATAGAGTGTTTCAAATCTGCTCTGTCTAAGGGAACGTTCAACTCTGTGAGTTGAATGCACACAACACAAGGAAATTACTGGGAATTCTTCTGTCTAGCCTTACATGAAAAAAACCCGTTTCCAACGAAGGCCTCTAAGTGGTCAAAATATCCACGTGCAGACTTTACAAACAGAGTGTTTCCAAACCGCTGAATGAAAAGAAAAGTTAAACTTTGAGAGTTGAACGCACGCATCATGCAGCAGTTTCTGAGAATGATTCTGTCTAGTTTCTATAGGAAGATATTTCGTATTCTACCATTGACCTCAAAGAGGCAGAAATCTCCACTTGCAAATTCCACAAAAAGAGTGTTTCAAGTCTGCTCTGTGTAAAGGATCGTTCAACTCTGTGAGTTGAATACACACAACACAAGGAAGTTACTGAGAATTCTTCTGTCTAGCATAATATGTAGAAATCCCGTTTCCAACGAAGGCCTCAAGGAGGTCTGAATATCCACTTGCAGACTTTACAAACAGAGTGTTTCCTAACTGCTCTATGAAAAGAAAGGTTAAACTCTGTGAGTTGAACGCACACATCACAAAGGAGTTTCTGAGAATCATTCTGTCTAGTTTTTATACGAAGATATTTCCTATTCTACCATTGACCTCAAAGCGGCTGAAATCTCCACTTGCAAATTCCACAAAAAGAGTGTTTCAAGTCTGCTCTGTGTAAAGGATCGTTCAACTCTGTGAGTTAAATACACACAACACAAGGAAGTTACTGAGAATTCTTCTGTCTAGCAGAATATGAAGAAATCCCGTTTCCAACGAAGGCCACAAGATGTCAGAACATCCACTTACAGAATTGACAAACAGACTGTTTCCTAACTGCTCTATGAAAAGAAAGGTTAAACTCTGTGAGTTGAACGAACACATCACAACGCAGTTTGTGGGAATGATTCTGTCCAGTTTTGAAACGAAGATATTTCCTTTTCTGCCATTGAACTTAAAGCGCTTGAAATCTCCATTTGCCAATTGCACAAAAAGAGTGTTTCAAATCTGCTCTGTCTAAGGGAACGTTCAACTCTGTGAGTTGAATGTACACAACACAAGGAAGTTACTGGGAATTCTTCTGTCTAGCCTTACAGGAAAAAAACCCGTTTCCAACGAAGGCCTCTAAGTGGTCAAAATATCCACGTGCAGACTTTACAAACAGAGTGTTTCCAAACTGCTGAATGAAAAGAAAAGTTACACTCTGAGAGTTGAACGCACACATCGCAGAGCAGTTTCTGAGAATCATTCTGTCTAGTTTTGAAACGAAGATATTTCCTTTTCTGCCTTTGGCCTAAAAGCGCTTGAAATCTCCACTTGCATATTCCACAAAAAGAGTGTTTCAAATCTGCTCTGTGTAAATGAAAGTTCAACTCTGTGAGTTGAACACACACAACACAAGGAAGTTACTGGGAATTCTTCTGTCTAGCAGAATATGAAGAAATCCCGTTTCCAACGAAGGCCTCAAGGAGGTCTGAATATCCACTTGCAGACTTTACAAACAGAGTGTTTCCTAACTGCTCTATGAACAGAAAGGTTAAACTCTGTGAGTTGAATGCACACATCACAAAGGAGTTTCTGAGAATCATTCTGTCTAGTCTTTATACGAAGATATTTACTTTTCTACCATTGACCTCAAAGCGGCTGAAATCTCCACTTGCAAATTCCACAAAAAGAGTGTTTCAAGTCTGCTCTGCGTAAAGGATCATTCAACTCTGTGAGTTGAATAAACACAACACAAGGAAGTTACTGAGAATTCTTCTGTCTAGCAGAATATGAAGAAATCCCGTTTCCAACGAAGGCCACAAGATGTCTGAATATCCACTTACAGACTTTACAAACAGAGTGTTTCCTAACTGCTCTATGAACAGAAAGGTTAAACTCTGTGAGTTGTACGAACACATCACAACGCAGTTTGTGGGAATGATTCTCTCTAGTTTTGAAACGAAGATATTTCCTTTTCTGCCATTGACCTTAAAGCGCTTGAAATCTACACTTGCAAATTGCACAAATAGAGTGTTTCAAATCTGCTCCGTCTAAGGGAACGTTCAACTCTGTGAGTTGAATGCACACAACACAAGGAAGTTACTGGGAATTCTTCTGTCTAGCCTTACATGAAGAAAACCCGTTTCCAACGAAGGCCTCTAAGTGGTCAAAATATCCACGTGCAGACTTTACAAACAGAGTGTTTCCAAACTGCTGAATGAAAAGAAAAGTTAAACTCTGAGAGTTGAACGCACACATCACAGAGCAGTTTCTGAGAATGATTCTGTCTAGTTTTTATATGAAGATATTTCCTTTTCTGCCTTTGGCCCCAAAAGCGCTTGAAATCTCCACTTGCAAAATCCACAAAAAGAGTGTTTCAAGTCTGCTCTGTGTAAAGGATCGTTCAACTCTGTGAGTTGAATATACACTACACAAGGAAGTTTCTGAGAATTCTTCTGTCTAGCAGAATAGGAAGAAATCCCGTTTCCAACGAAGGCCTCAAGGAGGTCTGAAAATCCACTTGCAGACATTACAAACAGAGTGTTTCCTAACTGCTCTATGAAAAGAAAGGTTAAACTCTGTGAGTTGAACGCACACATCACAAAGGAGTTTCTGAGAATCGTTCCTGTCTAGTTTCTATAGGAAGATATTTCCTATTCTACCATTGACCTCAAAGCGGCTGAAATCTCCACTTGCAAATTCCACAAAAAGAATGTTTCAAGTCTGCTCTGTGTAAAGGATCGTTCAACTCTGTGAGTTGAATACACACAACACAAGGAAGTTACTGAGAATTCTTCTGTCTAGCAGAATATGAAGAAATCCCGTTTCCAACGAAGGCCACAAGATGTCAGAATATCCACTTACAGACTTTACAAAGAGAGTGTTTCCTAACTGCTCTATGAACAGAAAGGTTAAACTCTGTGAGTTGAACGAACACATCACAACGCAGTTTGTGGGAATGATTCTGTCTAGTTTTGAAACGAAGATATTTCCTTTTCTGCCGTTGACCTTAAAGCGCTTGAAATCTCCACTTGCCAATTGCACAAAAAGAGTGTTTCAAATCTGCTCTGTCTAAGGGAACGTTCAACTCTGTGAGTTGAATGTACACAACACAAGGAAGTTACTGGGAATTCTTCTGTCTAGCCTTATATGAAAAAAACCCGTTTCCAACGAAGGCCTCAAAGAGGTCTCAATATCCACTTGCAGACATTACAAACAGAGTGTTTCCTAACTGCTCTATGAAAAGAAAGGTTAAACTCTGTGAGTTGAACACACACATCACAAAGGAGTTTCTGAGAATCATTCTGTCTAGTTTCTATAAGAAGATATTTCCTATTCTACCATTGACCTCAAAGCGGCAGAAATCTCCACTTGCAAATTCGACAAAAAGAGTGTTTCAAGCCTGCTCTCTGTAAAGGATCTTTCAACTCTGTGAGTTGAATACACACAACACAAGGAAGTTACTGAGAATTATTCTGTCTAGCACAGTATGAAGAAATCCCGTTTCCAACGAAGGCCTCAAAGAGGTCTGAATATCCACTTGCAGAGTTTACAAACAGAGTGTTTCCTAACTTCTCTATGAAAAGAAAGGTTAAACTCTGTGAGTTGAACGCACACATCACAATGAAGTTTCTGAGAATCATTCTGTCTAGTTTTTATACGAAGATATTTCCTTTTCTACCATTGACCTCAACGCGGCTGAAATCTCCACTTACAAATTCCACAAAAAGAGTGTTACATGTCTGCTCTGTGTAAAGGATCGTTCAACTCTGTGAGTTGAATACACACAACACAAGGAAGTTACTGAGAATTCTTCTGTCTAGCAGAATATGAAGAAATCCCGTTTCCAACGAAGGCCACAAGATGTCAGAATATCCACTTACAGACTTTACAAACAGAGTGTTTCCTAACTGCTCTATGAACAGAAAGTTTAAACTCTGTGAGTTGAACGAGCACATCCCAACGCAGTTTGTGGGAATGATTCTGTCTAGTTTTGAAACGAAGATATTTCCTTTTCTGCCATTGACCTTAAAGTGCTTGAAATCTACACTTGCAAATTGCACAAATAGAGTGTTTCAAATCTGCTCTGTCTAAGGGAACGTTCATCTCTGTGAGTTGAATGCACACAACACAAGGAAGTTACTGGGAATTCTTCTGTCTAGCCTTACATGAAAAAAACCCGTTTCCAACGAAGGTCTCTAAGTGGTCAAAATATCCACGTGTAGACTTTACAAACAGAGTGTTTCCAAACTGCTGAATGAAAAGAAAAGTTAAACTCTGAGAGTTGAACGCACACATCACAGAGCAGTTTCTGAGAATGATTCTGTCTAGTTTTGAAACGGAGATATTTCCTTTTCTGCCTTTGGCCTCAAAGCGCTTGAAATCTCCACTTGCAAATTCCACAAAAAGAGTGTTTCAAATCTGCTCTGTGTAAATGAACGTTCAACTCTGTGAGTTGAACACACACAACACAAGGAAGTTACTGGGAATTCTTCTGTCTAGCATAATATGAAGAAATCCCGTTTCCAACGAAGGCCTCAAAGGGGTCTGAATATCCACTTGCAGACTTTATAAACAGAGTGTTTACTAACTGCTCTATGAAAAGAAAGGTTAAACTCTGTGAGTTGAACACACACATCACAAAGGAGTTTCTGAGAATTATTCTGTCTAGTTTTTATACGAAGATATTTCCTTTTATACCATTGACCTCAACGCGGCTGAAATCTCCACTTGCAAATTCCACAAAAAGAGTGTTTCAAGTCCGCTCTGTGTAAAGGATCGTTCAACTCTGTGAGTTGAATACACACAACACAAGGAAGTTACTGAGAATTCTTCTGTCTAGCAGAATATGAAGAAATCCCGTTTCCAACGAAAGCCTCAAAGATGTCTGAATATCCACTTGCAGACTTTACAAACAGAGTGTTTCCTAACTGCTCTATGAAAAGAAAGGTTAAACTCTGTGAGTTGAACGCACACAGCTCAAAGGAGTTTCTGAGAATCATTCTGTATAATTTCTATATGAAGATACTTCCTTTTCTACTATTGACCTCAAAGCGGCTGAAATCTCCCCTTGCAAATTCCACAAAAAGAGTGTTTCAAGTCTGCTCTGTGTAAACGATCGTTCAACTCTGTGAGTTGAATACACACAACACAAGGAAGTTACTGAGAATTTTTCTGTCTAGCAGAATATGAAGAAATCCCGTTTCCAACGAAGGCCTCAAAGAGGTCTGAATATCCACTTGCCGACTTTATAAACAGAGTGTTTCCTAACTGCTCTATGAAAAGAAAGTTTAAACTCTGTGAGTTGAACGCACACATCACAAAGCAGTTTCTGAGAATTATTCTGTCTAGTTTCTATAGGAAGATATTTCCTATTCTACCATTGACCTCAAAGCGGCTGAAATCTCCACTTGCAAATTCCACAAAAAGAGTGTTTCAAGACTGTTCTGTGTAAAGGATCGTTCAACTCTGTGAGTTGAATACACACAACACAAGGAAGTTACTGAGAATTCTTCTGTCTAGCAGAATATGAAGAAATCCCGCTTCCAACGAAGGCCTCAAAGAAGTCTGAATATCCACTTGCAGACTTTACAAACAGAGTGTTTCCCAACTGCTCTATGAAAAGAAAGGTAGAACTCTGTGAGTTGAACGCACACATCACAAAGGAGTTTCTGAGAATCATTCTGTCTAGTTTTGAAACGAAGATATTTCCTTTTCTGTCATTGACCTTAAAGCGCTTGAAATCTACACTTGCAAATTGCACAAATAGAGTGTTTCAAATCTGCTCTGTCTAAGGGAACGTTCAACTCTGTGAGTTGAATGCACACAACACAAGGAAGTTACTGGGAATTCTTCTGTCTAGCCTTACATGAAAAAAACCCGTTTCCAACGAAGGCCTCTAAGTGGTCAAGTTATCCACGTGCAGACTTTACAAACAGAGTGTTTCCAAACTTCTGAATGAAAAGAAAAGTTAAACTCTGAGAGTTGAACGCACACATCGCAGAGCAGTTTCTGAGAATGATTCTGTCTAGTTTTTATACGAAGATATTTCCTTTTCTGCCTTTGGCCTCAAAGCGCTTGAAATCTCCACTTGCAAATTCCACAAAAAGAGTGTTTCAAATGTGCTCTGTGTAAATGAAAGTTCAACTCTGTGAGTTGAACACACACATCACAAGGAAGTTACTGGGAATTCTTCTGTCTAGCCTTATATGAAAAAAACCCGTTTCCAACGAAGGCCTCAAAGAGGTCTGAATATCCACTTGCAGACTTTACAAACAGAGTGTTTCCTAACTGCTCTATGAAAAGAAAGGTTAAACTCTGTGAGTTGAAGGCACACATCCCAAAGAAGTTTCTGAGAATCATTCTGTCTAGTTTCTATAGGAAGATATTTCCTATTCTACCATTGACCTCAAAGCGGCTGAAATCTCCAGTTGCAAATTCCACAAAAAGAATGTTTCAAGTCTGCTCTGTGTAAAGGATCGTTCAACTCTGTGAGTTGAATACACACAACACAAGGGACTTACTGAGAATTATTCTGTCCAGCAGAATATGAAGAAATCCCGTTTCCAACGAAGGCCACAAGATGTCAGAATATCCACTTACAGACTTTACAAACAGAGTGTTTCCTAACTGCTCTATGAACAGAAAGGTTAAACTCTGTGAGTTCAACGAACACATCACAACGCAGTTTGTCGGAATGATTCTGTCTAGTTTTGAAACGAAGATATTTCCTTTTCTGCCATTGACCTTAAAGCGCTTGAAATCTACACTTGCAAATTGCACAAATAGAGTGTTTCAAATCTGCTCTAAGGGAACGTTCAACTCTGTGAGTTGAATGCACACAACACAAGGAAGTTACTGGGAATTCTTCTGTCTAGCCTTACATGAAAAAAACCCGTTTCCAACGAAGGCCTCTAAGTGGTCAAATTATCCACGTGCAGACTTTAGAAACAGAGTGTTTCCAAACTACTGAATGAAAAGAAAAGTTAAACTCTGAGAGTTGAACGCACACATCGCAGAGCAGTTTCTGAGAATGATTCTGTCTAGTTTTTATACGAAGATATTTCCTTTTCTGCCTTTGGCCTCAAAGCGCTTGAAATCTCCACTTGCAAATTCCACAAAAAGAGTGTTTCAAATCTGCTCTTTGTAAATGAAAGTTCAACTGTGTGAGTTGAACACACACAACACAAGGAAGTTACTGGGAATCCTTCTGTCTAGCCTTATATGAAAAAAACCCGTTTCCAACGAAGGCCTCAAAGAGGTCTGAATATCCACTTGCAGACTTTACAAACAGAGTGTTTCCTAACTGCTCTATGAAAAGAAAGGTTAAACTCTGTGAGTTGAACACACTCATCACAAAGGAGTTTCTGAGAATCATTCTGTCTAGTTTTTATAGGAAGATATTTCCTTTTCTACCTTTGACTTCAAAGCGGCTGAAATCTCCACTTGCAAATTCCACAAAAAGAGTGTTACAAGTCTGCTCTGTGTAAAGGATCGTTCAACTCTGTGAGTTGAATACACACAACACAAGGAAGTTACTGAGAATTTTTCTGTCTAGCAGAATATGCAGAAATCCCGTTTCCAACGAAGGCCACAAGATGTCAGAATATCCACTTACAGACTTTACAAACAGAGTGTTTCCTAACTGCTCTATGAACAGAAAGGTTAAACTCTGTGAGTTGAACGCACACATCACAAAGGAGTTTCTGAGAATCATTCTGTCTAGTTTTGAAACGAAGATATTTCCTTTTCTGCCATTGACCTTAAAGCGCTTGAAATCTACACTTGCAAATTACACAAATAGAGTGTTTCAAATCTGCTCTGTCTAAGGGAACGTTCAACTCTGTGAGTTGAATGCACTCAACACAAGGAAGTTACTGGGAATTCTTCTGTCTAGCCTTACATGAAAAAAACCCGTTTCCAACGAAGGCCTCTAAGTGGTCAAAATATCCACGTGCAGACTTTACAAACAGAGTGTTTCCAAACCGCTGAATGAAAAGAAAAGTTAAACTCTGAGAGTTGAACGCACACATCACGCAGCAGTTTCTGAAAATGATTCTGTCTAGTTTTTATACGAAGATATATCCTTTTCTGCCTTTGGCCCCAAAGCGCTTGAAATCTCCACTTGCAAATTCCACAAAAACAGTGTTTCAAATCTGCTCCCTCTAAATGAAAGTTCAACTTTGTCAGTTGAATACACACAACACAAGGAAAGTTACTGAGAATTCTTCTGTCTAGCAGAATATGAAGAAATCCCGTTTCCAACGAAGGCCTCAAAGGGGTCTGAATATCCACTTGCAGACTTTATAAACAGAGTGTTTACTAACTCCTCTATGAAAAGAAAGGTTAAACTCTGTGTGTTGAACGCACACATCACAAAGGAGTTTCTGAGAATCATTCTGTCTAGTTTCTATAGGAAGATATTTCCTATTCTACCATTGACCTCAAAGCGGCTGAAATCTCCACTTGCAAATTCCACAAAAAGAGTGTTTCAAGTCTGCTCTGTTTAAAGGATCGTTCAACCCTGTGAGTTTAATACACACAACACAAGGAAGTTACTGAGAATTCTTCTGTCTAGCAGAATATGAAGAAATCCGGTTTCCAACGAAGGCCACAAGATGTCAGAATATCCACTTACAGACTTTACAAACAGAGTGTTTCCTAACTGCTCTATGAACACAAAGGTTAAACTCTGTGAGTTGAACGAACACATCACAACGCAGTTTGTGGGAATGATTCTGTATAGTTTTTCTACGAAGATATTTCCTTTTCTACTATTGACCTCAAAGCGGCTGAAATCTCCACTTGCAAATTCCACAAAAAGAGTGTTTCAAGTCTGCTCTGTGTAAAGGATCGTACAACTCTGTGAGTTGAATACACACAACACAAGGAAGTTACTGAGAATTCTTCTGTCTAGCAGAATATGAAGAAATCCCGTTTCCAACGAAGGCCTCAAAGAGGTCTGAATATCCACTTGCAGACTTTACAAACAGAGTGTTTCCTAACTGCTCTATGAAAAGAAAGGTTAAACTCTGTGAGTTGTACGCACACATCACAAAGGAGTTTCTGAGAATCGTTCTGTCTAGTCTTTATACGAAGATATTTCCTTTTCTACCATTGACCTCAAAGCGGCTGAAATCTCCACTTGCAGATTCCACAAAAAGAGTGTTTCAAGTCTGCTCTGTGTAAAGGATCATTCAACTCTGTGAGTTGAATAAACACAACACAAGGAAGTTACTGAGAATTCTTCTGTCTAGCACAGTATGAAGAAATCCCGTTTCCAACGAAGGCCACAAGATGTCAGAATATCCACTTACAGAATTTACAAACAGAGTGTTTCCTAACTGCTCTATGAAAAGAAAGGTTAAACTCTGTGAGATGAACGAACACATCACAACGCAGTTTGTGGGAATGATTCTGTCTAGTTTCTATAGGAAGATATTTCCTATTCTACCATTGACCTCAAAGCGGCTGAAATCTCCACTTGCAAATTCCACAAAAAGAGTGTTTCAAGTCTGCTCTGTGTAAAGGATCGTTCAACTCTGTGAGTTGAATGCACACAACACAAGGAAGTTACTGGGAATTCTTCTGTCTAACCTTACATGAAAAAAACCCGTTTCCAACGAAGGCCTCTAAGTGGTCAAATTATCCACGTGCAGACTTTACAAACAGAGTGTTTCCAAACTGCTGAATGAAAAGAAAAGTTAAACTCTGAGAGTTGAACACACACATCGCAGAGCAGCTTCTGAGAATGATTCTGTCTAGTTTTTATACGAAGATATTTCCTTTTCTGCCTTTGGCCTCAAAGCGCTTGAAATCTCCACTTGCAAATTCCACAAAAAGAGTGTTTCAAATCTGCTCTGTGTAAATGAAAGTTCAACTCTGTCAGTTGAACACACACAACACAAGGAAGTTACTGGGAATTCTTCTGTCTAGAAGAATATGAAGAAATCCCGCTTCCAACGAAGGCCTCAAAGAGGTCTGAATATCCACTTGCAGACTTTACAAACAGAGTGTTTCCCAACGGCTCTATGAAAAGAAAGGTTGAACTCTGTGAGTTGAACGCACACATCACAAAGGAGTTTCTGAGAATCATTCTGTCTAGTTTCTATAGGAAGATATTTCCTATTCTACCATTGAACTCAAAGCGGCTGAAATCTCCAATTGCAAATTCCACAAAAAGAGTGTTTCAAGTCTGCTCTGTGTAAAGGATCGTTCAACTCTGTGAGTTGAATACACACAACACAAGGAAGTTACTGAGAATTCTTCTGTCTAGCATAATATGAAGAAATTCCGTTTCCAACGAAGGCCTCAAAGGGGTCTGAATATCCACTTGCAGACTTTATAAACAGAGTGTTTACTAACTGCTCTATGAAAAGAAAGGTTAAACTCTGTGAGTTGAACACACACATCACAAAGGAGTTTCTGAGAATCATTCTGTCTAGTTTTTATACGAAGATATTTCCTTTTCTACCATGGACCTCAAAGCTGCTGAAATCTCCACTTGCAAATTCCACAAAAAGAGTGTTTCAAGTCTGCTCTGTGTAAAGGATCGTTCAACTCTGTGAGTTGAATACACACAACACAAGGAAGATTCTGAGAATTCTTCTGTCTAGCAGAATATGAAGAAATACCGTTTCCAACGAAGGCCACAAGATGTCAGAATATCCACTTACAGACTTTACAAACAGAGTGTTTCCTAACTGCTCTATGAACAGAAAGGTTAAACTCTGTGAGTTGAACGAACACATCACAACGCAGTTTGTGGGAATGATTCTGTCTAGTTTTGAAACGAAGATATTTCCTTTTCTGCCATTGACCTTAAAGCGCTTGAAATCTACACTTGCAAATTACACAAATAGAGTGTTTCAAATCTGCTCTGTCTAAGGGAATGTTCATCTCTGTGAGTTGAATGCACACAACAAAAGGAAGTTACTGGGAATTCTTCTGTCTGGTCTTACATGAAAAAAACCCGTTTCCAACGAAGGCCTCTAAGTGGTCAAAATATCCACGTGCAGACTTTACAAACAGAGTGTTTCCAAACTGCTGAATGAAAAGAAAACTTAAACTCTGAGAGGTGAACGCACACATCACAGAGCAGTTTCTGAGAATGATTCTGTCTAGTTTTGAAACGAAGATATTTCCTTTTCTGCCTTTGGCCTCAAAGCGCTTGAAATCTCCACTTGCAAATTCCACAAAAAGAGTGTTTCAAGTCTGCTCTGTGTAAATGAAAGTTCAACTCTGTGAGTTGGACACACACAACACAAGGAAGTTACTGGGAATTCTTCTGTCTAGCCTTACATGAAAAAAACCCGTTTCCAACGAAGGCCTGAAAGAGGTCTGAATATCCACCTGCAGACTTTATAAACAGAGTGTTTCCTAACTGCTCTATGAAAAGAAAGGTTAAACTCTGTGAGTTGAACGCACACATCACAAAGGAGTTTCTGAGAATCATTCTGTCTAGTTTCTATAGGAAGATATTTCCTATTCTACCATTGAACTCAAAGCGGCTGAAATCTCCACTTGCAAATTCCACAAAAAGAGTGTTTCAAGTCTGCTCTGTGTAAAGGATCGTTCATCTCTGTGAGTTGAATACACACAACACAAGGAAGTTACTGAGAATTCTTCTGTCTAGCAGAATATGAAGAAATTCCGTTTCCAACGAAGGCCGCAAGATGTCAGAATATCCACTTACAGACTTTACAAACAGAGTGTTTCCTAACTGCTCTATGAACAGAAAGGTTAAAATCTGTGAGTTGAACGAGCACTTCACAACGCAGTTTGTGGGAATGATTCTGTCTAGTTTTGAAACGAAGATATTTCCTTTTCTGCCATTGACCTTAAAGCGCTTGAAATCTCCACTTGCCAATTGCACAAAAAGAGTGTTTCAAATCTGCTCTGTCTAAGGGAACGTTCAACACTGTGAGTTGAATGTACACAACACAAGGAAGTTACTGGGAATTCTTCTGTTTAGCCTTACAGGAAAAAAACCCGTTTCCAACGAAGGCCTCTAAGTGGTCAAAATATCCACGTGCAGACTTTACAAACAGAGTGTTTCCAAACTGCTGAATGAAAAGAAAAGTTAAACTCTGAGAGTTGAACGCACACATTGCAGAGCAGTTTCTGAGAATGATTCTGTCTAGTTTTGAAACGAAGATATTTCCTTTTCTGCCTTTGGCCTCAAAGCGCTTGAAATCTCCACTTGCAAATTCCACAAAAAGAGTGTTTCAAATCTGCTCTGTGTAAATGAAAGTTCAACTCTGTGAGTCGAACACACACAACACAAGGAAGTTACTGGGAATTCTTCTGTCTAGCATAATATGAAGAAATCCCGTTTCCAACGAAGGCCTCAAAGAGATCTGAATATCCACTTGCAGACTTTACAAACAGAGTGTCTACTAACTGCTCTATGAAAAGAAAGGTTAAACTCTGTGAGTTGAACGCACACATCACAAAGGAGTTTCTCAGAATCATTCTGTCTAGTTTCTATAGGAAGATATTTCCTATTCTACCATTGACCTCAAAGCGGCTGAAATCTCCACTTGCAAATTCCACAAAAAGAGTGTTTCAAGTCTGCTCTCTGTAAAGGATCGTTCAACTCTGTGAGTTGAATACACACAACAGAAGGAAGTTACTGAGAATTCTTCTGTCTAGCAGAATATGAAAAATTCCCGTTTCCAACGAAGGCCTCAAAGAGGTCTGAATATCCACTTGCAGACTTTACAAACAGAGTGTTTCCTAACTGCTCTATGAAAAGAAAAGTTAAACTCTGTGAGTTGAACGCACACATCACAAAGGATTTTTTGAGAATCATTCTGTCTAGTTTTTATAGGAAGTTATTTCCTTTTCTACCTTCGACTTCAAAGCGGCTGAAATCTCCACTTGCAAATTCCACAAAAAGAGTGTTACCAGTCTGCTCTGTGTAAAGGATCGTTCAACTCTGTGAGTTGAATACACACAACACAAGGAAGTTACTGAGAATTCTTCTGTCTAGCAGAATATGAAGAAATCCCGTTTCCAACGAAGGCCACAAGATGTCAGAATATCCACTTACAGAATTTACAAACAGACTGTTTCCTAACTCCTCTATGAAAACAAAGGTTAAACTCTGTGAGTTGAACGAACACATCACAACGCAGTTTGTGGGAATGATGCTGTCTAGTTTTGAAACGAAGATATTTCCTTTTCTGCCGTTGACCTCAAAGCGCTTGAAATCTCCACTTGCCAATTGCACAAAAAGAGTGTTTCAAATCTGCTCTGTCTAAGGGAACGTTCAACTCTCTGAGTTGAATGTACACAACACAAGGAAGTTACTGGGAATTCTTCTGTCTAGCCTTACATGAAAAAAACCCGTTTCCAACGAAGGCCTCTAAGTGGTCAAATTATCCACGTGCAGACTTTACAAACAGAGTGTTTCCAAACTGCTGAATGAAAAGAAAAGTTAAACTCTGAGAGTTGAACGCACACATCACAGAGCAGTTTCTGAGAATGATTCTGTCTAGTTTTCAAACGAAGATATTTCCTTTTCTGCCTTTGGCCTCTAAGGGCTTGAAATCTCCACTTGCAAATTCCACAAAAAGAGTGTTTCAAATCTGCTCTGTGTAAATGAAAGTTCAACTCTGTGAGTTGAACACACACAACACAAGGAAGTTACTGGGAATTCTTCTGTCTAGCCTTATATGAAAAAAACCCGTTTCCAACCGAAGGCCTCAAAGAGGTCTGAATATCCACTTGCAGACTTTACAAACAGAGTGTTTCCTAACTGCTCTATGAAAAGAAAGGTTAAACTCTGTGAGTTGAACACACACATCACAAAGGAGTTTCTGAGAATCATTCTGTCTAGTTTCTATTGGAAGATATTTCCTATTCTACCATTGACCTCAAACGGCTGAAATCTCCACTTGCAAATTCCACAAAAAGAGTGTTTCAAGTCTGCTCTCTGTAAAGGATCCTTCAACTCTGTGAGTTGAATACACACAACACAAGGAAGTTACTGAGAATTATTCTGTCTAGGAGAATATGAAGAAGTCCCGTTTCCAACGAAGGCCACAAGATGTCAGAATATCCACTTACAGAATTGACAAACAGACTGTTTCCTAACTGCTCTATGAAAAGAAAGGTTAAACTCTGTGAGTTGAACGAACACATCACAACGCAGTTTGTGGGAATGATTCTGTCTAGTTTTGAAACGAAGATATTTCCTTTCCTGCCATTGACCTTAAAGCGCTTGAAATCTCCATTTGCCAATTGCACAAAAAGAGTGTTTCAAATCTGCTCTGTCTAAGGGAACGTTCAACTCTGTGAGTTGAATGTACACAACACAAGGAGGTTACTGGGAATTCTTCTGTCTAGCCTTACAGGAAAAAAACCCGTTTCCAACGAAGGCCTCTAAGTGGTCAAAATATCCACTTGCAGACTTTACAAACAGAGTGTTTCCAAACTGCTGAATGAAAAGAAAAGTTAAACTGTGAGAGTTGAACGCACACATCGCAGAGCAGTTTCTGAGAATGATTCTGTCTATTTTTTATACGAAGATATTTCCTTTTCTGCCTTTGGCCTCAAAGCGCTTGAAACCTCCATTTGCAAGTTCCACAAAAAGAGTGTTTCAAATCTGCTCTGTGTAAATGAAAGTTCAACTCTGTGAGTTGAACACACACAACACAAGGAAGTTACTGGGAATTCTTCTGTCTAGCCTTATATGAAAAAAACCCGTTTCCAACGAAGGCCTCAAAGAGGTCTGAATATCCACTTGCAGACTTTACAAGCAGAGTGTTTCCTAACTGCTCTATGAAAAGAAAGGTTAAACTCTGTGAGTTGAACGCACACATCACAAAGGAGTTTCTGAGAATCATTCTGTCTAGTTTCTATAAGACGATATTTCCTATTCTACCATTGACCTCAAAGCGGCTGAAATCTCCACTTGCAAATTCGACAAAAAGAGTGTTTCAAGCCTGCTCTCTGTAAAGGATCCTTCAACTATGTGAGTTGAATACACACAACACAAGGAAGTTACTGAGAATTATTCTGTCTAGCATAATATGAAGAAATCCCGTTTCCAACGAAGGCCTCAAAGAGGTCTGAATATCCACTTGCAGACTTTACAAACAGAGTGTTTCCTAACTGCTCTATGAAAAGAAAGGTTAAACTCTGTGAGTTGAACGCACACATCACAAAGGAGTTTATGAGAATCTTTCTGAAGAGTTTTGAAACGAAGATATTTCCTTTTCTGCCATTGACCTTAAAGCGCTTGAAATCTCCACTTGCCAATTGCACAAAAAGAGTGTTTCAAATCTGCTCTGTCTAAGGGAACGTTCAACTCTGTGAGTTGAATGTACACAACACAAGGAAGTTACCGGGAATTCTTCTGTCTAGCCTTACATGAAAAAAACCCGTTTCCAACGAAGGCCTCTAAGTGGTCAAGTTATCCACGTGCAGACTTTACAAACAGAGTGTTTCCAAACTCCTGAATGAAAAGAAAAGTTAAACTCTGAGAGTTGAACGCACACATCGCAGAGCAGTTTCTGAAAATGATTCTGTCTAGTTTTTATACGAAGATATTTCCTTTTCTGCTTTGGCCTCAAAGCGCTTGAAATCTCCATTTGCAAATTCCACAAAAAGAGTGTTTCAAATCTGCTCTGTGTAAATGAAAGTTCAACTCTGTGAGTTGAACACACACAACACAAGGAAGTTACTGGGAATTCTTCTGTCTAGCCTTATATGAAAAAAACCCGTTTCCAACGAAGGCCTCAAAGAGGTCTGAATATCCACTTGCAGACTTTACAAACAGAGTGATTCCTAACTGCTCTATGAAAAGAAATGTTAAACTCTGTGAGTTGAACACACACATCTCAAAGGAGTTTCTGAGAATCATTCTGTCTAGTTTCTATAGGAAGATATTTCCTATTCTACCATTGACCTCAAAGCGGCAGAAATCTCCACTTGCAAATTCCACAAAAAGAGTGTTTCAAGACTGCTCTGTGTAAAGGATCGTTCAACTCTGTGAGTTGAATACACACAACACAAGGAAGTTACTGAGAATTGTTCTGTCTAGGAGAATATGAAGAAATCCCATTTCCAACGAAGGCCACAAGATGTCAGAATATCCACTTACAGACTTTACAAACAGAGTGTTTCCTAACTGCTCTATGAACAGAAAGGTTAAACTCTGTGAGTTGAACGAACACATCACAACGCAGTTTGTGGGAATGATTCTGTCTAGTTTTGAAACGAAGATATTTCCTTTTCTGCCATTGACCTTAAAGCGCTTGAAATCTACCCTTGCAAATTGCACAAATGGAGTGTTTCAAATCTGCTCTGTCTAAGGGAACGTTCAACTCTGTGAGTTGAATGCACACAACACAAGGAAGTTACTGGGAATTCTTCTGTCTAGCCTTACATGAAAAAATCCCATTTCCAACGAAGGCCTCTAAGTGGTCAAAATATCCACGTGCAGACTTTACAAACAGAGTGTTTCCAAACCGCTGAATGAAAAGAAAAGTTAAACTCTGAGAGTTGAACGCACACATCACGCAGCAGTTTCTGAGAATGATTCTGTCTAGTTTTGAAACGAAGATATTTCCTTTTCTGCCTTTGGCCTCAAAGCGCTTGAAATCTCCATTTGCAAATTCCACAAAAAGAGTGTTTCAAATCTGCTCTGTGTAAATGAAAGTTCAACTCTGTGAGTTGAACACACACAACACAAGGAAGTTACTGGAAATTCTTCTGTCTAGCAGAATATGAAGAAATCCCGTTTCCAACGAAGGCCTCAAAGAGGTCTGAATATCCACTTGCAGACTTTACAAACAGAGTGTTTCCTAACTGCTCTATGAAAAGAAAGGTTAAACTCTGTGAGTTGAACGCACACATTACAAAGGAGTTTCTGAGAATCGTTCTGTCTAGTTTCTATAGGAAGATATTTCCTATTCTACCATTGACCTCAAAGAGGCTGAAATCTCCACTTGCAAATTCCACAACAAGAGTGTTTCAAGTCTACTCTGTGTAAAGCATCGTTCAACTCTGTGAGTTGAAAACACACAACACAAGGAAGTTTCTGAGAATTCTTCTGTCTAGCAGAATATGAAGAAATCCCGTTTCCAACGAAGGCCACAAGAGGTCAGAATATCCACTTACAGACTTTACAAACAGACTGTTTCCTAACTGCTCTATGAAAAGAAAAGTTAAACTCTGTGAGTTGGACGAACACATCACAACGCAGTTTGTGGGAATGATTCTGTCTAGTTTTTCTACGAAGATATTTCCTTTTCTACAATTGACCTCAAATCGGCTGAAATCACCACTTGCCAATTGCACAAAAAGAGTGTTTCAAATCTGCTCTGTCTAAGGGAACGTTCAACTCTGTGAGTTGAATGTACACAACACAAGGAAGTTACTGGGAATTCTTCTGTCTACCCTTATATGAAAAAAACCCGTTTCCAACGAAGGCCTCAAAGAGGTCTGAATATCCACTTGCAGACTTTACAAACAGAGTGTTTCCTAACTGCTCTATGAAAAGAAAGGTTAAACTCTGTGACTTGAACGCACACATCACAAAGGAGTTTCTGAGAATCATTCTGTCTAGTTTTGAAACGACGATATTTCCTTTTCTGCCTTTGGCCTCAAAGCGCTTGAAATCTCCACTTGCAAATTCCACAAAAAGAGTGTTTCAAATCTGCTCTGTGTAAATGAAAGTTCAACTCTGTGAGTTGAACACACACAACACAAGGAAGTTACTGGGAATTCTTCTGTCTAGCAGAATAGGAAGAAATCCCGTTTCCAACGAAAGCCTCAAAGAGGTCTGAATATCCACTTGCAGACTTTACAAACAGAGTGTTTCCTAACTGCTCTATGAAAAGAAAGGTTAAACTCTGTGAGTTGAACGCACACATCACAAAGGAGTTTCTGAGAATCGTTCTGTCTAGTTTCTATAGGAAGATATTTCCTTTTCTACCATTGAACTCAAAGCGGCTGAAATCTCCACTTGCAAATTCCACAAAAAGAGTGTTTCAAGTCTGCTCTGTGTAAAGGATCGTTCAACTCTGTGAGTTGAATACACACAACACAAGGAAGTTACTGAGAATTCTTCTGTCTAGCAGAATATGAAGAAATCCCGTTTCCAACGAAGGCCACAAGATGTCAGAATATCCACTTACAGACTTTACAAACAGAGTATTTCCTAACTGCTCTATGAACAGAAAGGTTAAACTCTGTGAGTTGAACGAACACATCACAACGCAGTTTGTGGGAATGATTCTGTCTAGTTTTGAAACGAAGATATTTCCTTTTCTGCCATTGACCTTAAAGCGCTTGAAATCTACACTTGCAAATTGCACAAATAGAGTGTTTCAAATCTGCTCTGTCTAAGGGAACGTTCAACTCTGTGAGTTGAATACACACAACACAAGGAAGTTACTGAGAATTCTTCTGTCTAGCCTTACAGGAAAAAACCCGTTTCCAACGAAGGCCTCTAAGTGGTCAAAATATCCACGTGCAGACTTTACAAACAGAGTGTTTCCAAACTGCTGAATGAAAAGAAAAGTTAAACTCTGAGAGTTGAACGCACACATCGCAGAGCAGTTTCTGAGAATGATTCTGTCTAGTTTTTATACGAAGATATTTCCTTTTCTGCCTTTGGCCTCAAAGCGCTTGAAATCTCCATTTGCAAATTCCACAAAAAGAGTGTTTCAAATCTGTTCTGTGTAAATGAAAGTTCAACTCTGTGAGTTGAACACACACAACACAAGGAAGTTACTGGGAATTCTTCTGTCTAGCATAATATGAAGAAATCCCGTTTCCAACGAAGGCCTCAAGGAAGTCTGAATATCCACTTGCAGACTTTACAAACAGAGTGTTTCCTAACTGCTCTATGAAAAGAAAGGTTAAACTCTGTGAGTTGAACGCACACATCACAAGGGAGTTTCTGAGAATCATTCTGTCTAGTTTTTCTACGAAGATATTTCCTTTTCTACTATTGACCTCAAAGCGGCTGAAATCTCCACTTGCAAATTCCACAAAAAGAGTGTTTCAAGTCTGCTCTGTGCAAAGGATCGTTCAACTCTGTGAGTTGAATACACACAACACAAGGAAGTTACTGAGAATTCTTCTGTCTAGCAGAATATGAAGAAATCCCGTTTCCAACGAAGGCCTCAAGGAGGTCTGAATATCCACTTGCAGACTTTACAAACAGAGGGTTTCCTAACTGCTCTATGAACAGAAAGGTAAAACTCTGTGAGTTGAACGCACACATCACAAAGGAGTTTCTGAGAATCATTCTGTCTAGTTTTGAAACGAAGATATTTCCTTTTCTGTCATTGACCTTAAAGCGCTTGAAATCTACACTTGCAAATTGCACAAATAGAGTGTTTCAAATCTGCTCTGTCTAAGGGAACGTTCAACTCTGTGAGTTGAATGCACACAACACAAGGAAGTTACTGGGAATTCTTCTGTCTAGCCTTACATGAAAAAAACCCGTTTCCAACGAAGGCCTCTAAGTGGTCAAAATATCCACGTGCAGACTTTACAAACAGAGTATTTCCAAACCGCTGAATGAAAAGAAAAGTTAAACTCTGAGAGTTGAACGCACACATCACGCAGCAGTTTCTGAGAATGATTCTGTCTAGTTTTCAAACGAAGATATTTCCTTTTCTGCCTTTGGCCTCAAAGCGCTTGAAATCTCCACTTGCAAATTCCACAAAAAGAGTGTTTCAAATCTGCTCTGTGTAAATGAAAGTTCAACTCTGTGAGTTGAACACACACAACACAAGGAAGTTACTGCGAATTCTTCTGTCTAGCATAGTATGAAGAAATCCCGTTTCCAACGAAGGCCTCAAACAGGTCTGAGTATCCACTTGCAGAGTTTACAAACAGAGTGTTTCCTAACTGCTCTATGAAAAGAAAGGTTAAACTCTGTGAGTTGAACGCACACATCACAAAGAAGTTTCTGAGAATCATTCTGCCTAGTTTCTATAGGAAGATATATCCTATTCTACCATTGACCTCAAAGAGGCTGAAATCTCCACTTGCAAATTCCACAAAAAGAGTGTTTCAAGTCTGCTCTGTGTAAAGGATCGTTCAACTCTGTGAGTTGAATACACACAACACAAGGAAGTTACTGAGAATTCTTCTGTCTAGCAGAATATGAAGAAATCCCGTTTCAAACGAAGGCCACAAGATGTCAGAATATCCACTTTCAGACTTTACAAACAGAGTGTTTCCTAACTGCTCTATGAACAGAAAGGTTAAACTCTGTGAGTTGAACGAACACATCACAACGCAGTTTGTGGGAATGATTCTGTCTAGTTTTGAAACGAAGATATTTCCTTTTCTGCCATTGACCTTAAAGCGCTTGAAACCTACACTTGCAAATTGCACAAATAGAGTGTTTCAAATCTGCTCTGTCTAAGGGAACGTTCAACTCTGTGAGTTGAATGCACACAACACAAGGAAGTTACTGGGAATTCTTCTGTCTAGCCTTACATGAAAAAATCCCGTTTCCAACGAAGGCCTCTAAGTGGTCAAAATTTCCACGTGCAGACTTTACAAACAGAGTGTTTCCAAACCGCTGAATGAAAAGAAAAGTTAAACTCTGAGAGTTGAACGAACACATCATGCAGCAGTTTCTGAGAATGATTCTGTCTAGTTTTTATACGAAGATATTTCCTTTTCTGCCTTTGGCCCCAAAGCACTTGAAATCTCCAATTGCAAATTCCACAAAAACAGTGTTTCAAATCTGCTCTCTCTAAATGAAAGTTCAACTCTGTCAGTTGAATACACACAACACAAGGAAGTTACTGAGAATTCTTCTGTCTAGCAGAATATGAAGAAATCCCGTTTCCAACGAAGGCCTCAAAGAGGTCTGAATATCCACTTGCACACTTTACAAACAGAGTGTTTCCTAACTGCTCTATGAGAAGAAAAGTTAAACTCTGTGAGTTGAACGCACACATCACAAAAGATTTTCTGAGAATCATTCTGTCTAGTCTTTATAAGAGGATAGTTTCCTTTTCTACCATTGACCTCAAAGCGGCTGAAATCTCCACTTGCAAATTCCACAAAAAGAGTGTTTCAAGTCTGCTCTGTGTAAAGGATCGTTCAACTCTGTGAGTTGAATACACACAACAGAAGGAAGTTACTGAGAATTCTTCTGTCTAGCAGAATATGAAGAAATCCCGTTTCCAACGAAGGCCACAAGATGTCAGAATATCCACTTACAGAATTGACAAACAGATTGTTTCCTAACTGCTCTATGAAAAGAAAGGTTAAACTCTGTGAGTTGAACGAACACATCACAACGCAGTTTGTGGGAATGATTCTGTCTAGTTTTTATACGAAGATATTTCCTTTTCTACCATTGACCTCAAAGCGGCTGAAATCACCACTTGCCAATTGCACAAAAAGAGTGTTTCAAATCTGCTCTGTCTAAGGGAACGTTCAACTCTGTGAGTTGAATGTACACAACACAAGGAAGTTACTGGGAATTCTTCTGTCTAGCCTTACATGAAAAAAACCCGTTTCCAACGAAGGCCTCTAAGTGGTCAAAATATCCATGTGCAGACTTTACAAACAGAGTGTTTCCAAACCGCTGAATAAAAAGAAAAGTTAAACTCTGAGAGTTGAACGCACACATCACCCAGCAGTTTCTGAGAATGATTCTGTCTAGTTTTTATACGAAGATATTTCCTTTTCTGCCTTTGGCCCCAAAGCGCTTGAAATCTCCACTTGCAAATTCCACAAAAACAGTGTTTCAAATCTGCTCTCTCTAAATGAAAGTTCAACTCTGTCAGTTGAATACACACACCACAAGGAAGTTACTGAGAATTCTTCTGTATAGCAGAATATGAAGAAAACCCGTTTCCAACGAAAGCCTCAAAGATGTCTGAATATCCACTGGCAGACATTACAAACAGAGTGTTTCCTAACTGCTCTATGAAAAGAAAGGTTAAACTCTGTGAGTTGAACGCACACATCACAAAGGAGTTTCTGAGAATCATTCTGTCTAGTCTTTATACGAAGATATTTCCTACTCTACCATTGACCTCAAAGCGGCTGAAATCTCCACTTGCAAATTCCACAAAAAGAGTGTTTCAAGTCTGCTCTGTGTAAAGGATCGTTCAACTCTGTGAGTTGAATACACACAACACAAGGGAAGTTACTGAGAATTCTTCTGTCTAGGAGAATATGAAGAAATCCCGTTTCCAACGAAGGCCACAAGATGTCAGAATATCCACTTACAGAATTGACAAACAGACTGTTTCCTAACTGCTCTATGAAAAGAAAGGTTAAACTCTGTGAGTTGAACGAACACATCACAACGCAGTTTGTGGGAATGATTCTGTCTAGTTTTGAAACGAAGATATTTCCTTTTCTGCCATTGACCTTTAAGCGCTTGAAATCTCCACTTGCCAATGGCACAAAAAGAGTGTTTCAAATCTGCTCTGTGTAAAGGATCGTTCAACTCTGTGAGTTGAATACACACAACAAAAGGAAGTTACTGAGAATTCTTCTGTCTAGCCTTACATGAAAAAACCCGTTTCCAACGAAGGCCTCTAAGTGGTCAAAATATCCACGTGCAGACTTTACAAACAGAGTGATTCCAAACCGATGAATGAAAAGAAAAGTTAAACTCTGAGAGTTGAACGCACACATCACGCAGCAGTTTCTGAGAATGATTCTGTCTAGTTTCTATAGGAAGATATTTCCTATTCTACCATTGACCTCAAAGCGGCTGAAATCTCCACTTGCAAATTCCACAAAAAGAGTGTTTCAAGTCTGCTCTGTGTAAAGGATCGTTCAACTCTGTGAGTTGAATACACACAACACAGGCAGTTACTGAGAATTCTTCTGTCTAGCAGAACATGAAGAAATCCCGCTTCCAACGAAGGCCTCAAAGAAGTCTGAATATCCACTTGCAGACTTTACAAACAGAGTGTTTCCCAACTGCTCTATGAAAAGAAAGGTTGAACTGTGTGAGTTGAACGCACACATCACAAAGGAGTTTCTGAGAATCATTCTGTCTAGTTTCTATAGGAAGATATTTCCCATTCTACCATTGACCTCAAAGCGGCTGAAATCTCCACTTGCAAATTCCACAAAAAGAATGTTTCAAGTCTGCTCTGTGTAAAGGATCGTTCAACTCTGTGAGATGAATACACACAACACAAGGAAGTTACTGAGAATTCTTCTGTCTAGCAGAATATGAAGAAATCCCGTTTCCAACGAAGGCCACAAGATGTCAGAATATCCACTTACAGAATTGACAAACAGACTGTTTCCTAAGTGCTCTATGAAAAGAAAGGTTAAACTCTGTGAGTTGAACGAACACATCACAACGCAGTTTGTGGGAATGATTCTGTCTAGTTCTGAAACGAAGATATTTCCTTTTCTGCCATTGAACTTAAAGCGCTTGAAATCTCCATTTGCCAATTGCACAAAAAGAGTGTTTCAAATCTGCTCTGTCTAAGGGAACGTTCAACTCTGTGAGTTGAATGTACACAACACAAGGAAGTTACTGGGAATTCTTCCGTCTAGCCTTACATGAAAAAAACCCGTTTCCAACGAAGGCCTCAAAGAAGTCCAAATATCCACGTGCAGAATTTACAAACAGAGTGTTTCCTAACGGCTCTATGAAAAGAAAGGTTAAACTCTGTGAGTTGAACGCCCACATCACAAAGGAGTTTCTGAGAATCATTCTGTCTAGTTTTGAAACGAAGACATTTCCTTTTCTGCCTTTGGCCTCAAAGCGCTTGAAATCTCCACTTGCAAATTCCACAAAAAGAGTGTTTCAAATCTGCTCTGTGTAAATGAAAGTTCAACTCTGTGAGTTGAACACACACAACACAAGGAAGTTACTGGGAATTCTTCTGTCTAGCATAATATGAAGAAATCCCGTTTCCAACAAAGGCCTCAACGAGGTCTGAATATCCACTTGCAGACTTTACAACCAGAGTGTTTCTTAAATGCTCTATGAAAAGAAAGGTTAAACTCTGTGAGTTGAACGCACACATCACAAAGGAGTTTCTGAGAATCATTCTGTCTAGTTTTTATACGAAGATATTTCCTTTTCTACCATTGACCTCAAAGCGGCTGAAATCTCCACTGGCCAATTCAACAAAAAGAGTTTTTCAAGTCTACTCTGTGTAACGGATCGTTGAACTCTGTGAGTTGAAAACACGCAACACCAGGAAGTTTCTGAGAATTCTTCTGTCTAGCAGAATATGAAGAAATCCCGTTTCCAACGAAGGCCTCAAAGAGGTCTGAATATCGACTTGCAGACTTTACAAACAGAGTGTTTCCTAACTGCTCTATGAAAAGAAAGGTTAAACTACTGTGAGTTGAACGCACACATCACAAAGGAGTTTATGAGAATCATTCTGTCTAGTTTCTATAGGAAGATATTTCCTATTCTACCATTGACCTCAAAGCGGCTGAAATCTCCACTTGCAAATTCCACAAAAAGAGGGTTTCAAGTCTGCTCTGTGTAAAGGATCGTTCAACTCTGTGAGTTGAATACACACAACACAAGGAAGTTACTGAGAATTCTTCTTTCTAGCAGAATATGAAGAAATCCCGTTTCCAACGAAAGCCTCAAGGAGGTCTGAATATCCACTTGCAGACTTTACAAACAGAGTGTTTCCTAACTGTTCTATGAAAAGAAAGGTTAAACTCTGTGAGTTGAACGCACACATCACAAAGGAGTTTCTGAGAATCATTCTGTGTAGTTTTGAAACGAAGATATTTCCTTTTCTGCCATTGACCTCAAAGCGCTTGAAATCTCCACTTGCCAATTGCACAAAAAGAGTGTTTCAAATCTGCTCTGTCTAAGGGAAAGTTCAACTCTGTGAGTTGAATGTACACAACACAAGGAAGTTACTGGGAATTCTTCTGTCTAGCCTTACATGAAAAAAACCCGTTTCCATCGAAGGCCTCTAACTGGTCAAGTTATCCACGTGCAGACTTTACAAACAGAGTGTTTCCAAACTTCTGAATGAAAAGAAAAGTTAAACTCTGAGAGTTGAACGCACACATCGCAGAGCAGTTTCTGAGAATGATTCTGTCTAGTTTTTATACGAAGATATTTCCTTTTCTGCCTTTGGCCTCAAAGCGCTTGAAATCTCCATTTGCAAATTCCACAAAAAGAGTGTTTCAAATCTGCTCTGTGTAAATGAAAGTTCAACTCTGTGAGTTGAACACACACAACACAAGGGAAGTTACTGGGAATTCTTCTGTCTAGCATAATATGAAGAAATCCCGTTTCCAACGAAGGCCTCAAAGGGGTCTGAATATCCACTTGCAGACTTTAGAAACAGAGTGTTTTCTAACTGCTCTATGAAAAGAAAGGTTAAACTCTGTGAGTTGAACACACACATCACAAAGGAGTTTCTGAGAATCATTCTGTCTAGTTTTTATAGGAAGATATTTCCTTTTCTACCTTTGACTTCAAAGCGGCTGAAATCTCCACTTGCAAATTACACAAAAAGAGTGTTACAAGTCTGCTCTGTGTAAAGGATCGTTCAACTCTGTGAGTTGAATACACACAACACAAGGAAGTTACTTGAGAATTCTTCTGTCTAGCCTTACATGAACAAAACCCGTTTCCAACGAAGGCCTCTAAGTGGTCAAGTTATCCACGTGCAGACTTTACAAACAGAGTGTTTCCAAACTGCTGAATGAAAAGAAAAGTTAAACTCTGAGAGTTGAACGCACACATCGCAGAGCAGTTTCTGAGAATGATTCTGTCTAGTTTTGAAACGAAGATATTTCCTTTTCTGCCATTGACCTTAAAGCGCTTGAAATCTCCATTTGTCAATTGCACAAAAAGAGTGTTTCAAATCTGCTCTGTCTAAGGGAACGTTCAACTCTGTGAGTTGAATGTACACGAACACAAGGAAGTTACTGGGAATTCTTCTGTCTAGCCTTACATGAAAAAAACCCGTTTCCAACGAAGGCCTCTAAGTGGTCAAAATATCCACGTGCAGACTTTACAAACACAGTGTTTCCAAACCGCTGAATGAAAAGAAAAGTTAAAGTCTGAGAGTTGAACGCACACATCACGCAGCAGTTTCTGAGAATGATTCTGTCTAGTTTTTATACGAAGATATTTCCTTTTCTGCCTTTGGCCTCAAAGCGCTTGAAATCTCCAATTGCAAATTCCACAAAAAGAGTGTTTCAAATCTGCTCTGTCTAAATGAAAGTTCAACTCTGTCAGTTGAACACACACAACACAAGGAAGTTACTGGGAATTCTTCTGTCTAGCAGAACATGAAGAAATCCCGTTTCCAACGAAGGCCTCAAAGATGTCTGAATATCCATATGCAGACTTTACAAACAGAGTGTTTCCTAACTGCTCTATGAAAAGAAAGGATAAACTCTGTGAGTTGAACGCACACATCACAAAGGAGTTTCTGAGAATCATTCTGTCTAGCTTCTATAGGAAGATATTTCCTATTCTACCATTGACCTCAAAGCGGCTGAAATCTCCACTTGCAAATTCCACAAAAAGAGTGTTTCAAGTCTGCTCTGTGTAAAGGATCGTTCAACTCTGTGAGTTGAATACACACAACACAAGGAAGTTACTGAGAATTCTTCTGTCTAGCCTTATATGAAAAAAACCCGTTTCCAACGAAGGCCTCAAAGAGGTCTGAATATCCACTTGCAGACTTTACAAACAGAGTGTTTCCTAACTGCTCTATGAAAAGAAAGGTTAAGCTCTGTGAGTTGAAAGCACACATCACAAAGGAGTTTCTGAGAATCATTCTGTCTAGTTTTTATACGAAGATATTTCCTTTTCTACCATTGACCTCAACGTGGCTGAAATCTCCACTTGCAAATTCCACAAAAAGAGCGTTTCAAGTCTGCTCTGTGTAAAGGATCGTTCAACTCTGTGAGTTGAATACACACAACACAAGGAAGTTACTGAGAATTCTTCTGTCCAGCAGAATATGAAGAAATCCCGTTTCCAACGAAGGCCACAAGATGTCAGAATATCCACTTACAGACTTTACAAACAGAGTGTTTCCTAACTGCTCTATGAACAGAAAGGTTAAACTCTGTGAGTTGAACGAACACATCACAACGCAGTTTGTGGGAATGATTCTGTCTAGTTTTTATAGGAAGATATTTCCTTTTCTACATTTGACTTCATAGCGGCTGAAATCTCCACTTGCAAATTCCACAAAAAGAGTGTTACAAGTCTGCTCTGTGTAAAGGATCGTTCAACTCTGTGAGTTGAATACACACAACACAAGGAAGTTACTGAGAATTCTTCTATCTAGCCTTACATGCAAAAAACCCATTTCCAACGAAGGCCTCTAAGTGGTCAAAATATCCACGTGCAGACTTCACAAACAGAGTGTTTCCAAACCGCTGAATGAAAAGAAAAGTTAAACTCTGAGAGTTGAACGCACACATCACGCAGCAGCTTCTGAGAATGATTCTGTCTAGTTTTGAAACGAAGATATTTCCTTTTCTGCCTTTGGCCTCAAAGCGCTTGAAATCTCCACTTGCAAATTCCACAAAAAGAGTGTTTCAAATCTTCTCTGTGTAAATGAAAGTTCAACTCTGTGAGTTGAACACACACAACACAAGGAAAGTTACTGGGAATTCTTCTGTCTAGCATAATATGAAGAATTCCCGTTTCCAACGAAGGCCTCAAAGGGGTCTGAATATCCACTTGCAGACTTTATAAACAGAGTGTTTACTAACTGCTCTATGAAAAGAAAGGTTAAACTGCTGTGAGTTGAACACACACATCACAAAGGAGTTTCTGAGAATCATTCTGTCTAGTCTATATACGAAGATATTTCCTTTTCTACCATTGACCTCAAAGCGGCTGAAATCTCCACTTGCAAATTCCACAAAAAGAGTGTTTCAAGTCTGCTCTGTGTAAAGGATCGTTCAACTCTGTGAGTTGAATACACACAACACAAGGAAGTTACTGAGAATTCTTCTGTCTAGTCTTATATGAAAAAACCCGTTTCCAACGAAGGCCTCAAAGAGGTCAGAATATCCACTTGCAGACTTTACAAACAGAGTGTTTCCTAACTGCTCTATGAAAAGAAAGGTTAAACTCTGTGAGTTGAACGCACACATCACAAAGGAGATTCTGAGAATCATTCTGTCTAGTTTTTCTAGGAAGATATTTCCTTTTCTACTATTGACCTCAAAGCGGCTGAAACCTCCACTTGCAAATTCCACAAAAAGAGTGTTTCAAGCCTGCTCTCTGTAAAGGATCCTTCAACTCTGTGAGTTGAATACACACAACACAAGGAAGTTACTGAGAATTATTCTGTCTAGCAGAATATGAAGAAATCCCGTTTCCAACGAAGGCCTCAAAGAGGTCTGAATATCCACTTACAGACTTTACAAACAGAGTGTTTCCTAACTGCTCTATGAACAGAAAGGTTAAACTCTGTGAGTTGAACGAACACATCACAACGCAGTTTGTGGGAATGATTCTGTCTAGTTTTGAAACGAAGATATTTCCTTTTCTGCCATTGACCTTAAAGCGCTTGAAATCTCCACTTGCCAATTGCACAAAAAGAGTATTTCAAATCTGCTCTGTCTAAGGGAACGTTCAACTCTGTGAGTTGAATGTACACAACACAAGGAAGTTACTGGGAATTCTTCTCTCTAGCCTTACATGAAAAAAACCCGTTTCCAACGAAGGCCTCTAAGTGGTCAAATTATCCACGTGCAGACTTTACAAACAGAGTGTTTCCAAACTGCTGAATGAAAAGAAAAGTTAAACTCTGAGAGTTCAACGCACACATCACAGAGCAGTTTCTGAGAATGATTCTGTCTAGTTTTTATACGAAGATATTTCCTTTTCTGCCTTTGGCCTCAAAGCGCTTGAAATCTCCATTTGCAAATTCCACAAAAAGAGTTTTTCAAATCTGCTCTGTGTAAATGAAAGTTCAACTCTGTGAGTTGAACACACACAACCCAAGGAAGTTACTGGGAATTCTTCTGTCTATCCTTACATGAAAAAACCCGTTTCCAACGAAGGCCTCAAAGAGGTCAAAATATCCACATGCAGACTTTACAAACAGAGTGTTTCCTAACTGCTCTATGAAAAGAAAGGTTAAACTCTGTGAGTTGAACACACACATCACAAAGGAGTTTCTGAGAATCATTCTGTGTAGTTTCTATAGGAAGATATTTCCTATTCTACCATTGAACTCAAAGCGGCTGAAATCTCCACTTGCAAATTCCACAAAAAGAGTGTTTCAAGTCTGCTCTGTGTAAAGGATCGTTCAACTCTGTGAGTTGAATACACACAACACAAGGAAGTTCCTGAGAATTCTTCTGTCTAGCAGAATATGAAGAAATCCCGTTTCCAACGAAGGCCATAAGATGTCAGAATATCCACTTACAGACTTTACAAACAGAGTGTTTCCTAACTGCTCTATGAACAGAAAGGTTAAACTCTGTGAGTTGAACGAACACATCACAACGCAGTTTGTGGGAATGATTCTGTCTAGTTTTGAAACGAAGATATTTCCTTTTCTGCCGTTGACCATAAAGAGCTTGAAAACTACACTTGCAAATTGCACAAATAGAGTGTTTCAAATCTGCTCTGTCTAAGGGAACGTTCAACTCTGTGAGTTGAATGCACACAACACAAGGAAGTTACTGGGAATTCTTCTGTCTAGACTTACAGGAAAAAAACCCGTTTCCAACGAAGGCCTCTAAGTGGTCAAAATATCCACGTGCAGACTTTACAAACAGAGTGTTTCCAAACTGCTGAATGAAAAGAAAAGTTAAACTCTGAGAGTTGAACGCACACATCGCAGAGCAGTTTCTGAGAATGATTCTGTCTAGTTTTTATACGAAGATATTTCCTTTTCTGCCTTTAGCCTCAAAGCGCTTGAAATCTCCACTTGCAAATTCCACAAAAAGAGTGTTTCAAATCTGCTCTGTGTAAATGAAAGTTCAACTCTGTGAGTTGAACACACACAACACAAGGAAGTTACTGGGAATTCTTCTGTCTAGCATAATATGAAGAAATCCGGTTTCCAACGAAGGCCTCAAAGGGGTCTGAATATCCACTTGCAGACTTTATAAACAGAGTGTTTACTAACTGCTCTATGAAAAGAAAGCTTAAACTTTGTGAGTTGAACACACACATCACAAAGGAGTTTCTGAGAATCATTCTGTCTAGTCTTTATACGAAGATATTTCCTTTTCTACCATTGACCTCAAAACGGCTGAAATCTCCACTTGCAAATTCCACAAAAAGTGTGTTTCAAGTCTGCTCTGTGTAAAGGATCGTTCAACTCTGTGAGTTGAATACACACAACACAAGGAAGTTACTGAGAATTCTTCTGTCTAGCAGAATATGAAGAAATCCCGTTTCCAACGAAGGCCACAAGATGTCAGAATATCCACTTACAGACTTTACAAACAAAGTGTTTCCTAACTGCTCTATGAACAGAAAGGTTAAACTCTGTGAGTTGAACGAACACATCACAACGCAGTTTGTGGGAATGATTCTGTCTAGTTTTAATACGAAGATATTTCCTTTTATACCATTGACCTCAAAGCGGCTGAAATCACCACTTGCCAATTGCACAAAAAGAGTGTTTCAAATCTGCTCTGTCTAAGGGAACGTTCAACTCTGTGAGTTGAATGTACACAACACAAGGAAGTTACTAGGAATTCTTCTGTCTAGCCTTACAAGAAAAAAACCCGTTTCCAACGAAGGCCTCTAAGTGGTCAAAATATCCACGTGCAGACTTTACAAACAGAGTGTTTCCAAACTGCTGAATGAAAAGAAAAGTTAAACTCTGAGAATTGAACGCACACATCGCAGAGCAGTTTCTGAGAATGATTCTGTCTAGTTTTTATACGAAGATATTTCCTTTTCTGCCTTTGGCCCCAAAGCGCTTGAAATCTCCACTTGCAAATTCCACAAAAAGAGTGTTTCAAATCTGCTCTGTGTAAATCAAAGTTCAACTCTGTGAGTTGAACACACACAACACAAGGGAAGTTACTGGGGATTCTTCTGTCTAGCATAATATGAAGAAATCCCGTTTCCAAAGAAGGCCTCAAGGAGGTCTGAATATCCACTTGCAGACTTTACAAACAGAGTGTTTCCTAACTGCTCTATGAAAAGAAAGGTTAAACTCTGTGAGTTGAACGCACACATCACAAAGTAGTTTCTGAGAATCATTCTGTCTAGTTTCTATAGGAAGATACTTCCTATTCTACCATTGACCTCAAAGCGGCTGAAATCTCCACTTGCAAATTCCACAAAAAGAGTGTTTCAAGTCTGCTCTGTGTAAAGCATCGTTCAACTCTGTGAGTTGAATACACACAACACAAGGAAGTTACTGAGAATTCCTCTGTCTAGCATAATATGAAGAAATCCCGTTTCCAAAGAAGGCCTCAAGGAGGTCTGAATATCCACATGCAGACTTTACAAACAGAGTGTTTCCTAACTGCTCTATGAAAAGAAAGGTTAAACTCTGTGAGTTGAACGCACACATCACAGAGGAGTTTCTGAGAATCATTCTGTCTAGTTTTGAAACCAAGATATTTCCTTTTCTGCCGTTGACCTTAAAGAGCTTGAAAACTACACTTGCAAATTGCACAAATAGAGTGTTTCAAATCTGCTCTGTCTAAGGGAACGTTCAACTCTGTGAGTTGAATGCACACAACACAAGGAAGTTACTGGGAATTCTTCTGTCTAGCCTTACATGAAAAAAACCCGTTTCCAACGAAGGCCTCAAAGAGGTCTGAATATCCACGTGCAGACTTTACAAACAGAGTGTTTCCAAACCGCTGAATGAAAAGAAAGGTTAAACTCTGTGAGTTGAACGCACACATCACAAAGGAGTTTCTGAGAATCATTCTGTCTAGTTTTTATACGAAGATATTTCCTTTTCTGCCTTTGGCCACAAAGCGCTTGAAATCTCCACTTGCAAATTCCACAAAAAGAGTGTTTCAAATCTGCTCTGTGTAAATCAAAGTTCAACTCTGTGAGTTGAACACACACAACACAAGGAAGTTACTGGGAATTCTTCTGTCTAGCATAATATGAAGAAATCCCGTTTCCAACGAAGGCCTCAAAGGGGTCTGAATATCCATTTGCAGACTTTATAAACAGAGTGTTTACTAACTGCTCTATGAAAAGAAAGGTTAAACTCTGTGAGTTGAACACACACATCACAAAGGAGTTTCTGAGAATCATTCTGTCTAGTTTTTATACGAAGATATTTCCTTTTCTACCATTGACCTCAAAGCGGCTGAAATCTCCACTTGCAAATTCCACACAAAGAGTGTTTCAAATCTGCTCTGTGTAAACCATCGTTCAACTCTGTGAGTGGAATACACACAACACAAGGAAGATTCTGAGAATTCTTCTGTCTAGCAGAATATGAAGAAATCCCGTTTCCAACGAAGGCCAAAAGATGTCAGAATATCCACTTACAGAATTTACAAACAGACTGTTTCCTAACTGCTCTATGAAAAGAAAGGTTAAACTCTGTGAGTTGAACGAACACATCACAACGCAGTTTGTGGGAATGATTCTGTCTAGTTTTGAAACGAAGATATTTCCTTTTCTGCCATTGACCTTAAAGCGCTTGAAATCTACACTTGCAAATTGCAGAAATAGAGTGTTTCAAATCTGCTCTGTCTAAGGGAACGTTCAACTCTGTGAGTTGAATGCACACAACACAAGGAAGTTACTGGGAATTCTTCTGTCTAGCCTTACATGAAAAAAACCCGTTTCCAACGAAGGCCTCTAAGTGGTCTAATTATCCACGTGCAGACTTTACAAACAGAGTGTTTCCAAACTGCTGAATGAAAAGCAAAGTTAAACTCTGAGAGTTGAACGCACACATCGCAGAGCAGTTTCTGAGAATGATTCTGTCTGGTTTTTATAGGAAGATATTTCCTTTTCTGCCTTTGGCCTCAAAGCGCTTGAAACCTCCACTTGCAAATTCCACGAAAACAGTGTTTCAAATCTGATCTGTCTAAATGAAAGTTCAACTCTGTCAGTTGAATACACACAACACAAGAAGTTACTGAGAATTCTTCTGTCTAGCATAATATGAAGAAATCCCGTTTCCAACGAAGGCCTCAAAGAAGTCTGAATATCCACTTGCAGACTTTACAAACAGAGTGTTTCCCAACTGCTCTATGAAAAGAAAGGTTGAACTCTGTGAGTTGAACGCACACATCACAAAGGAGTTTCTGAGAATCATTCTGTCTAGTTTCTATAGGAAGATATTTCCTATTCTACCATTGACCTCAAAGCGGCTGAAATCTCCACTTGCAAATTCCGCAAAAAGAGTGTTTCAAGTCTGCTCTGTGTAAAGGATCGTTCAACTCTGTGAGTTGAATACACAAAACACAAGGAAGTTACTGAGAATTCTTCTGTGTATCATAATATGAAGAAATCCCGTTTCCAATGAAGGCCTCAAAGAGGTCTGAATATCCACTTGCAGACTTTACAAACAGAGTGTCTCCTAACTGCTCTATGAAAAGAAAGGTTAAACTCTGTGAGTTGAACGAACACATCACAACGCAGTTTGTGGGAATGATTCTGTCTAGTTTTGAAACGAAGATATTTCCTTTTCTGCCATTGACCTTAAAGCGCTTGAAATCTCCACTTGCCAATTGCACAAAAAGAGTGTTTCAAATCTGCTGTGTCTAAGGGAACGTTCAACTCTGTGAGTTGAATGTACACAACACAAGGAAGTTACTGGGAATTCTTCTGTCTAGCCTTACATGAAAAAAACCCGTTTCCAACGAAGGCCTCTAAGTGGTCAAAATATCCACGTGCAGACTTTACAAACAGAGTGTTTCCAAACCGCTGAATGAAAAGAAAAGTTAAACTCTGAGAGTTGAACGCACACATCACGCAGCAGTTTCTGAGAATCATTCTGTCTAGTTTCTATAGGAAGTTTTTTCCTATTCTACCATTGACCTCAAACCGGCAGAAATCTCCACTTGCAAATTCCACAAAAAGAGTGTTTCAAGACTGCTCTGTGTAAAGGATCGTTCAACTCTGTGAGTTGAATACACACAACACAAGGAAGTTACTGGGAATTCTTCTGTCTAGCAGAATATGAAGAAATCCCGTTTCCAACGAAGGCCTCAAAGAGGTCTGAATATCCACTTGCAGACTTTACAACCAGAGTGTTTCCTAACTGCTCTATGAAAAGAAAGGTTAAACTCTGTGAGTTGAACGCACACATCACAAAGGAGTTTCTGAGAATCATTCTGTCTAGTCTTTATACAAAGATATTTCCTTTTCTACCATTGACCTCAAAGCGGCTGAAATCTCCACTTGCAAATTCCACAAAAAGAGTGTTTCAAGTCTGCTCTCTGTAAAGGATCGTTCAACTCTGTGAGTTGAGTACACACAACACAAGGAAGTTACTGAGAATTATTCTGTCTAGCAGAATATGAAGAAATCCCGTTTCCAACGAAGGCCACAAGATGTCAGAATATCCACTTACAGACTTTACAAACAGAGTGTTTCCTAACTGCTCTATGAACAGAAATGTTAAACTCTGTGAGTTGAACGAACACATCACAACGCAGTTTGTGGGAATGATTCTGTCTAGTTTTTATACGAAGATATTTCCTTTTCTACCATTGACCTCAAAGAGGCTGAAATCACCACTTGCCAATTGCACAAAAAGAGTGTTTCAAATCTGCTCTGTCTAAGGGAACGTTCAACTCTGTGAGTTGAATGTACACAACACAAGGAAGTTCCTGGGAATTCTTCTGTCTAGCCTTACAGGAAAAAAACCCGTTTCCAACGAAGGCCTCTAAGTGGTCAAAATATCCACGTGCAGTCTTTACAAACAGAGTGTTTTCAAACTGTTGAATGAAAAGAAAAGTTAAACTCTGAGATTTGAACGCACACATCGCAGAGCAGTTTCTGAGAATGATTCTGTCTAGTTTCTATAGGAAGATATTTCCTATTCTACCATTGACCTCAAAGCGGCTGAAATCTCCAATTGCAAATTCCACAAAAAGAGTGTTTCAAGTCTGCTCTGTGTAAAGGATCGTTCAACTCTGTGAGTTGAATACACACAACACAAGGAAGTTACTGAGAATTCTTCTGTCTAGCAGAATATGAAGAAATCCCGCTTCCAACGAAGGCCTCAAAGAACTCTGAATATGCACATGCAGACTTTACAAACAGAGTGTTTCCCAACTGCTCTATAAAAAGAAAGGTTGAACTCTGTGAGTTGAAGGCACACATCACAAAGGAGTTTCTGAGAATCATTCTGTCTAGTTTTGAAACGAAGATATTTCCTTTTCTACCATTGACCTCAACGCGGCTGAAATCTCCATTTGCAAATTCCACAAAAAGGGTGTTTCAAATCTGCTCTGTGTAAATGAAAGTTCAACTCTGTGAGTTGAACACACACAACACAAGGAAGTTACTGGGAATTCTTCTGTCTAGCAGAATATGAAGAAATCCCGTTTCCAACGAAGGCCACAAGATGTCAGAATATCCACTTACAGACTTTACAGAGTGTTTCCTAACTGCTCTATGAACAGAAAGGTTAAACTCTGTGAGTTGAACGAACACATCACAACGCAGTTTGTGGGAATGATTCTGTCTAGTTTTGAAACGAAGATATTTCCTTTTCGGCCGTTGACCTTAAAGCGCTTGAAATCTACACTTGCAAATTGCACAAATAGAGTGTTTCAAATCTGCTCTGTCTAAGGGAACGTTCAACTCTGTGAGTTGAATGCACACAACACAAGGAAGTTACTGGGAATTCTTCTGTCTAGCCTTACATGAAAAAAACCCGTTTCCAACGAAGGCCTCTAAGTGGTCAAAATATCCACGTGCAGACTTTACAAACAGAGTGTTTCCAAACCGCTGAATGAAAAGAAAAGTTAAACTCTGAGAGTTGAACGCAAACATCACGCAGCAGTTTTTGAGAATGATTCTGTCTAGTTTTTATACGAAGATATTTCCTTTTCTGCCTTTGGCCCCAAAGCGATTGAAATCTCCACTTGCAAATTCCACAAAAACAGTGTTTCAAATCTGCTCTCTCTAAATGAAAGTTCAACTCTGTCAGTTGAATACACACAACACAAGGAAGTTACTGAGAATTCTTCTGTCTAGCATAATATGAAGAAATCCCGTTTCCAACGAAGGCCTCAAAGATGTCTGAATATCCACTTGCAGACTTTACAGAGTGTTTCCTAACTGCTCTATGAAAAGAAAGGTTAAACTCTGTGAGTTGAACGCACACATCACAAAGGAGTTTCTGAGAATCATTCTGTCTACTTTCTATAGGAAGATATTTCCTATTCTACCATTGACCTCAAAGCGGCTGAAATCTCCACTTGCAAATTCCACAAAAAGAGTGTTTCAAGTCTGCTCTGTGTAAAGGATCGTTCAACTCTGTGAGTTGAATACACACAACACAAGGGAAGTTACTGAGAATTCTTCTGTCTAGCAGAATATGAAGAAATCCCGTTTCCAGCGAAGGCCACAAGATGTCAGAATATCCACTTACAGAATTTACAAACAGAGTGTTTCCTAACTGCTCTATGAAAAGAAAGGTTAAACTCTGTGAGATGAACGAGCACATCACAACGCAGTTTGTGGGAATGATTCTGTCTAGTTTTGAAACGAAGAAATTTCCTTTTCTGCCATTGACCTTAAAGCGCTTGAAATCTACACTTGCAAATTGCACAAATACAGTGTTTCAAATCTGCTCTGTCAAAGGGAACGTTCAACTCTGTGAGTTGAATGCACACAACACAAGGAAGTTACTGGGAATTCTTCTGTCTAGCCTTACATGAAAAAAACCCGTTTCCAACGAAGGCCTCTAAGTGGTCAAATTATCCACGTGCAGACTTTACAAACAGAGTGTTTCCAAACTGCTGAATGAAAAGAAAAGTTAAACTCTGAGAGTTGAACGCACACATCGCAGAGCAGTTTCTGAGCATGATTCTGTCTAGTCTTTATACGAAGATATTTACTTTTCTACCATTGACCGCAAAGCGGCTGAAATCTCCACTTGCAAATTCCACAAAAAGAGTGTTTCAAGTCTGCTCTGTGTAAAGGATCATTCAACTCTGTGAGTTGAATAAACACAACACAAGGAAGTTACTGAGAATTCTTCTGTCTAGCAGAATATGAAGAAATCCCGTTTCCAACGAAGGCCTCAACGAGGTCTGAATATCCACTTGCAGACTTTACAAACAGAGTGTTTCCTAACTGCTCTATGAAAAAGAAAGGTTAAACTCTGTGAGTTGAACCCACACATCACAAAGGAGTTTCTGAGAATCATTCTGTCTAGTCTTTATACGAAGATATTTACTTTTCTACCATTGACCTCAAAGCGGCTGTAATCTCCACTTGCAAATTCCACAAAAAGAGTGTTTCAAGTCTGCTCTGTGTAAAGGATCATTCAACTCTGTGAGTTGAATAAACACAACACAAGGAAGTTACTGAGAATTCTTTTGTCTAGCAGAATATGAAGAAATCCCGTTTCCAACGAAGGTCACAAGATGTCAGAATATCCACTTACAGAATTGACAAACAGACTGTTTCCTAACTGCTCTATGAAAAGAAAGGTTAAACTCTGTGAGTTGAACGAACACATCACAACGCAGTTTGTGGGAATGATTCTGTCTAGTTTTGAAACGAAGATATTTCCTTTTCTGCCATTGACCTTAAAGCGCTTGAAATCTCCATTTGCCAATTGCACAAAAAGAGTGTTTCAAATCTGCTCTGTCTAAGTGAACGTTCAACTCTGTGAGTTGAATGTACACAACACAAGGAAGTTACTGGGAATTCTTCTGTTTAGCCTTACAGGAAAAAAACCCGTTTCCAACGAAGGCCTCTAAGTGGTCAAAATATCCACGTGCAGACTTTACAAACAGAGTGTTTCCAAACTGCTGAATGAAAAGAAAAGTTAAACTCTGAGAGTTGAACGCACACATCGCAGAGCAGTTTCTGAGAATGATTCTGTCTAGTTTTTATACGAAGATATTTCCTTTTCTGCCTTTGGCCCCAAAGCGCTTGAAATCTCCACTTGCAAATTCCACAAAAACAGTGTTTCAAATCTGCTCTCTCTAAATGATAGTTCAACTCTGTCAGTTGAATACACACAACACAAGGAAGTTACTGAGAATTCTTCTGTCTAGCATAATATGAAGAAATCCCGTTTCCAACGAAGGCCTCAAAGAGGTCTGAATATCCACTTGCAGACTTTACAAACAGGGTGTTTCCTAACTGCTCTATGAACAGAAAGGTTAAACTCTGTGAGTTGAACGAACACATCACAACGCAGTTTGTGGGAATGATTCTGTCTAGTTTCTATAGGAAGATATTTCCTATTCTACCATTGAACTCAAAGCGGCTGAAATCTCCACTTGCAAATTCCACAAAAAGATTGTTTCAAGTCTGCTCTGTGTAAAGGATCGTGCAACTCTGTGAGTTGAATACACACAACACAAGGAAGTTACTGAGAATTCTTCTGTCTAGCAGAATATGAAGAAATCCCATTTCCAACGAAGGCCACAAGATGTCAGAATATCCACTTACAGACTTGACAAACAGAGTGTTTCCTAACTGCTCTATGAACAGAAAGGTAAAACGCTGTGAGTTGAACGAACACATCACAACGCAGTTTGTGGGAATGATTCTGTCTAGTTTTGAAACCAAGATATTTCCTTTTCTGCCGTTGACCTAAAAGAGCTTGAAAACTACACTTGCAAATTGCTCAAATAGAGTGTTTCAAATCTGCTCTGTCTAAGGGAACGTTCAACTCTGTGAGTTGAATGCACACAACACAAGGAAGTTACTGGGAATTCTTCTGTCTAGCCTTACATGAAAAAAACCCGTTTCCAACGAAGGCCTCTAAGTGGTCAAAATATCCACGTACAGATGTTACAAACAGAGTGTTTCCAAACCGCTGAATGAAAAGAAAAGTTAAACTCTGAGAGTTGAACGCACACATCACGCAGCAGTTTCTGAGAATGATTCTGTCTAGTTTTGAAACGAAGATATTTCCTTTTCTGCCTTTGGCCTCAAAGCGCTTGAAATCTCCACTTACATATTCCACAAAAAGAGTGTTTCAAATCTGCTCTGTGTAAATGAAAGTTCAACTCTGTGAGTTGAACACACACAACACAAGGAAGTTACTGGGAATTCTTCTGTCTAGCCTTATATGAAAAAAACCCGTTTCCAACGAAGACCTCAAGGAGGTCTGAATATCCACTTGCAGACTTTACAAACAGAGTGTTTCCTAACTGCTCTATGAAAAGAAAGGTTAAACTCTGTGAGTTGAACGCACACATCACAAAGGAGTTTCTGAGAATCATTCTGTCTAGTTGTTATACGAAGATATTTCCTTTTCTACCATTGACCTCAAAGCGGCTGAAATCTCCACTTGCAAATTCCACCAAATGAGTGTTTCAAATCTGCTCTGTGTAAAGGATCGTTCAACCGTGTGAGTTGAATACACACAACACAAGGAAGATTCTGAGAATTCTTCTGTCTAGCAGAATATGAAGAAATCCTGTTTCCAACGAAGGCCACAAGATGTCTGAATATCCACTTACAGACTTTACAAACAGAGTGTTTCCTAACTGCTCTATGAACAGAAAGGTTAAACTCTGTGAGTTGAACGAACACATCACAACGCAGTTTGTGGGAATGATTCTGTCTAGTTTTGAAATGAAGATATTTCCTTTTCTGGCGTTGACCTTAAAGCGCTTGAAATCTACACTTGCAAATTGCACAAATAGAGTGTTTCAAATCTGCTCTGTCTAAGGGAACGTTCAACTCTGTGAGTTGAATTCACACAACACAAGGAAGTTACTGGGAATTCTTCTGTCTAGCATTACAGGAAAAAAACCCGTTTCCAACGAAGGCCTCTAAGTGGTCAAAATATCCACGTGCAGACTTTACAAACAGAGTGTTTCCAAACTGCTGAATGAAAAGAAAAGTTAAACTCTGAGAGTTGAACGCACACATCGCAGAGCAGTTTCTGAGAATGATTCTGTCTAGTTTTTATACGAAGGTATTTCCTTTTCTGCCTTTGGCCTCAAAGCGCTTGAAATCTCCACTTGCAAATTCCACAAAAAGAGTGTTTCAAATCTGCTCTGTGTAAATGAAAGTTCAACTCTGTGAGTTGAACACACACAACACAAGGAAGTTACTGGGAATTCTTCTGTCTAGCAGAATATGAAGAAATCCCGTTTCCAACGAAAGCCTCAAAGATGTCTGAATATCCACTTGCAGACTTTACAAACAGAGTGTTTCCTAACTGCTCTATGAAAAGAAAGGTTAAACTCTGTGAGTTCAACGCACACATCACAAAGGAGTTTCTGAGAATCATTCTGTCTAGTTTCTATAGGAAGGTATTTCCTATTCTACCATTGACCTCAAAGCGGCTGAAATCTCCAATTGCAAATTCCACAAAAAGAGAGTTTCAAGTCTGCTCTGTGTAAAGGATCGTTCAACTCTGTGAGTTGAAAACACACAACACAAGGAAGTTTCTGAGAATTCTTCTGTCTAGCCTTATATGAAAAAAACCCGTTTCCAACGAAGGCCTCAAAGAGGTCTGAATATCCACTTGCAGACTTTACAAACAGAGTGATTCTTAACTGCTCTATGAAAAGAAAGGTTAAACTCTGTGAGTTGAACACACACATCTCAAAGGAGTTTCTGAGAATCATTCTGTCTAGTTTCTATAGGAAGATATTTCCTATTCTACCATTGACCTCAAAGCGTCAGAAATCTCCACTTGCAAATTCCACAAAAAGAGTGTTTCAAGACTGCTCTGTGTAAAGGATCGTTGAACTCTGTGAGTTGAATACACACAACACAAGGAAGTTACTGAGAATTCTTCTGTCTAGCAGAATATGAAGAAATCCCGTTTCCAACGAAGGCCACAGGATGTCTGAATATCCACTTACAGACTTTACAAACAGAGTGTTTCCTAACTGCTCTATGAACAGAAAGGTTAAACTCTGTGAGTTGTACCAACACATCACAACGCAGTTTGTGGGAATGATTCTGTCTAGTTTTGAAACGAAAATATTTCCTTTTCTGCCATTGACCTTAAAGCGCTTGAAATCTCCACTTGCCAATTGCACAAAAAGAGTGTTTCAAATCTGCTCTGTCTAAGGGAACGTTCAACTCTGTGAGTTGAATGTACACAACACAAGGAAGTTACTGGGAATTCTTCTGTCTAGCCTTACATGAAAAAAACCCGTTTCCAACGAAGGCCTCTAAGTGGTCAAGTTATCCACGTGCAGACTTTACAAACAGAGTGTTTCCAAACTGCTGAATGAAAAGAAAAGTTAAACTCTGAGAGTTGAATGCACACATCGCAGAGCAGTTTGCTGAGAATGATTCTGTCTAGTTTTTATACGAAGATATTTCCTTTTCTGCCTTTGGCCTGAAAGCGCTTGAAATCTCCACTTGCAAATTCCACAAAAAGAGTGTTTCAAATCTGCTCTGTGTAAATGAAAGTTCAACTCTGTGAGTTCAACACACACAACACAAGGTAAGTTACTGGGAATTCTTCTTTCTAGCAGAATATGAAGAAATCCCGTTTCCAACGAAAGCCTCAAGGATGTCTGAATATCCACTTGCAGACTTTACAAACAGAGTGTTTCCTAACTGCTCTATGAAAAGAAAGGGTAAACTCCGTGAGTTGAACGCACACATCACAAAGGAGTTTCTGAGAATCATTCTGTCTAGTTTTTGTACGAAGATATTTCCTTTTCTACCCTTTACCTCAAAGCGGCTGAAATCTCCACTTGCCAATTCCACAAAAAGAGTGTTTCAAGTCTACTCTGTGTAAAGGATCGTTGAACTCTGTGAGTTGAAAACACACAACACCAGGAAGTTTCTGAGAATTCTTCTGTCTAGCAGAATATGAAGAAATCCCGTTTCCAACGAAGGCCACAAGATGTCAGAATATCCACTTACAGACTTTACAAACAGAGTGTTTCCTAACTGCTCTATGAACAGAGAGGTTAAACTCTGTGAGTTGAACGAACACATCACAACGCAGTTTGTGGGAATGATTCTGTCTAGTTTTGAAACGAAGATATTTCCTTTTCTGCCGTTGACCTTAAAGAGCTTGAAAACTACACTTGCAAATTGCACAAATAGAGTGTTTCAAATCTGCTCTGTCTAAGGGAACGTTCAACTCTGTGAGTTGAATGCACACAACACAAGGAAGTTACTGGGAATTCTTCTGTCTAGCCTTACAGGAAAAAAACCCGTTTCCAACGAAGGCCTCTAAGTGGTCAAGTTATCCACGTGCAGACTTTACAAACAGAGTGTTTCCAAACTGCTGAATGAAAAGAAAAGTTAAACTCTGAGAGTTGAACGCACACAGCGCAGAGCAGTTTCTGAGAATGATTCTGTCTAGTTTTTATACGAAGATATTTCCTTTTCTGCCTTTGGCCCCAAAGCGCTTGAAATCTCCATTTGCAAATTCCACAAAAACAGTGTTGCAAATCTGCTCTCTCTAAATGAAAGTTCAACTCTGTGAGTGGAATACACACAACACAAGGAAGTTACTGAGAATTCTTCTGTCTAGCACAGTATGAAGAAATCCCGTTTCCAACGAAGGCCTCAAAGAGGTCTGAATATCCACTTGCAGAGTTTACAAACAGAGTGTTTCCTAACTGCTCTATGAATAGAAAGGTTAAACTCTGTGAGTTGAACGCACACATCACAAAGAAGTTTCTGAGAATCATTCTGTCTAGTTTTTATACGAAGATATTTCCTTTTCTACCATTGACCTCAAAGCGGCTGAAATCTCCACTTGCAAATTCCACAAAAAGAGTGTTTCAAGTCTGCTCTGTGTAAAGGATCGTTCAAATCTGTGAGTTGAATACACACAACACAAGGAAGTTACTGAGAATTCTTCTGTCTAGCGGAATATGAAGAAATCCCGTTTCCAACGAAGGCCAGAAGATGTCAGAATATCCACTTACGGACTTTACAAAGAGCGTGTTTCCTAACTGCTCTATGAACAGAAAGGTTAAACTCTGTGAGTTGAACGAACACATCACAACGCAGTTTGTGGGAATGATTCTGTCTAGTTTTGAAACGAAGATATTTCCTTTTCTGCCATTGACCTTAAAGCGCTTGAAATCTACACTTGCAAATTGCACAAATAGAGTGTTTCAAATCTGCTCTGTCTAAGAGAACGTTCAACTCTGTGAGTTGAATGCACACAACACAAGGAAGTTACTGGGAATTCTTCTGTCTAGCCTTACATGAAAAAATCCCGTTTCCAACGAAGGGCTCTAAGTGGTCAAAATATCCACGTGCAGACTTTACAAACAGAGTGTTTCCAAACCGCTGAATGAAAAGAAAAGTTAAACTCTGAGAGTTGAACGCACACATCACACAGCAGTTTCTGAGAATGATTCTGTCTAGTTTTCATACGAAGATATTTCCTTTTCTGCCTTTGGCCCCAAAGCGTTTGAAATCTCCACTTGCAAATTCCACAAAAACAGTATTTCAAATCTGCTCTCTCTAAATGAAAGTTCAACTCTGTCAGTTGAATACACACAACACAAGGAAGTTACTGAGAATTCTTCTGTCTAGCCTTATATGAAAAAAACCCGTTTCCAACGAAGGCCTCAAAGAGGTCTGAATATCCACTTGCAGACTTTACAAACAGAGTGTTTCCTAAGTGCTCTATGCAAAGAAAGGTTAAACTCTGTGAGTTGAACGCACACATCACAAAGGAGTTTCTGAGAATCATTCTGTCTTGTTTCTATACGAAGATATTTCCTTTTCTACCATTGACCTCAAAGCGGCTGAAATCTCCACTTGCAAATTCCACAAAAAGAGTGTTTCAAGTCTGCTCTGTTTAAAGGATCGTTCAACTCTGTGAGTTGAATACACACAACACAAGGAAGTTACTGAGAATTCTTCTGTCTAGCATAATATGAAGAAATAACGTTTCCAACGAAGGCCTCAAAGAGGTCTGAATATGCACTTGCAGACTTTACAAACAGAGTGTTTCCTAACTGCTCTATGAACAGAAAGGTTAAACTCTGTGAGTTGAACGAACACATCACAATGCAGTTTGTGGGAATGATTCTGTCTAGTTTTGAAACGAAGATATTTCCTTTTCTGCCGTTGACCTTAAAGCGCTTGAAATCTACACTTGCAAATTGTACAAATAGAGTGTTTCAAATCTGCTCTGTCTAAGGGAACGTTCAACTCTGTGAGTTGAATGCACACAACACAAGGAAGTTACTGGGAATTCTTCTGTCTAGCCTTACAGGAAAGAAACCCGTTTCCAACGAAGGCCTCTAAGTGGTCAAAATATCCATGTGCAGACTTTACAAACAGAGTGTTTCCAAACTGCTGAATGAAAAGAAAAGTTAAACTCTGAGAGTTGAACGCAAACATCGCAGAGTAGTTTCTGAGAATGATTCTGTCTAGTTTTTATACGAAGATATTTCCTTTTCAGCCTTTGGCCTCAAAGCGCTTGAAATCTCCACTTGCAAATTCCACAAAAAGAGTGTTTCCAATCTGCTCTGTGTAAATGAAAGTTCAACTCTGTGAGTTGAACACACACAACACAAGGAAGTTACTGGGAATTCTTCTGTCTAGCCTTATATGAAAACAACCCGTTTCCAACGAAGGCCTCAAAGAGGTCTGAATATCCACTTGCAGACTTTACAAACAGAGTGTTTCCTAACTGCTCTATGAAAAGAAAGGTTAAACTCTGTGAGTTGATCGCACACATCACAAAGGAGTTTCTGAGAATCATTTTGTCTAGTTTCTATAAGAAGATGTTTCGTATTCTACCATTGACCACAAAGCGGCTGAAATCTCCACTTGCAAATTCGACAAAAAGAGTGTTTCAAGCCTGCTGTCTGTAAAGGATCCTTCAACTACTGTGAGTTGAATACACACAACACAAGGAAGTTACTGAGAATTATTCTGTCTAGCAGAATATGAACAAATCCCGTTTCCAACGAAGGCCACAAGATGTCTGAATATCCACTTACAGACTTTACAAACAGAGTGTTTCCTAACTGCTCTATGAACAGAAAGGTTAAACTCTGTGAGTTGAACGAACACATCACAACGCAGTTTGTGGGAATGATTCTGTCTAGTTTTTATAGGAAGATATTTCCTTTTCTACCTTTGACTTCAAAGCGGCTGAAATCTCCACTTGCAAATTCCACAAAAAGAGTGTTACAAGTCTGCTCTGTGTAAAGGATCGTTCAACTCTGTGAGTTGAATACACACAACACAAGGAAGTTACTAAGAATTCTTCTGTCTAGCCTTACATGCAAAAAACCCGATTCCAACGAAGGCCTCTAAGTGGTCAAAATATCCACGTGCAGACTTTACAAACAGAGTGTTTCCAAACCGCTGAATGAAAAGAAAAGTTAAACTCTGAGAGTTGAACGCACACATCACGCAGCAGTTTCTGAGAATGATTCTGTCTAGTTTTTATACGAAGATATTTCCTTTTCTGCCTTTGGCCCCAAAGCGCTTGAAATCTCCACTTGCAAATTCCACAAAAACAGTGTTTCACATCTGCTCTCTCTAAATGAAAGTTCAACTCTGTCAGTTGAATACACACAACACAAGGAAGTTACTGAGAATTCTTCTGTCTAGCCTTATATGAAAAAAACCCGTTTCCAACGAAGGCCCCAAAGAGGTCTGAATATCCACTTGCAGACTTTACAAACAGAGTGTTTCCTAACTGCTCTATGAAAAGAAAGGTTAAACTCTGTGAGTTGAACGCACACATCACAAAGGAGTTTCTGAGAATCTATCTGTCTTGTTTCTATAGGAAGATATTTCCTATTCTACCATTGACCTCAAATCGGCTAAAATCTCCACTTGCAAATTCCACAAAAAGAGTGTTTCAAGTCCGCTCTGTGTAAAGGATCGTTCAACTCTGTGAGTTGAATACACACAACACAAGGAAGTTACTGAGAATTCTTCTGTCTAGCAGAATATGAAGAAATCCCGTTTCCAACGAAGGCCACAAGATGTCAGAATATCCACTTACAGACTTTACAAACAGAGTGTTTCCTAACTACTCTATGAACAGAAAGGTTAAACTCTGTGAGTTGAACGAAAACATCACAACGCAGTTTGTGGGAATGATTCTGTCTAGTTTTGAAACCAAGATATTTCCTTTTCTGCCGTTGACCTTAAAGAGCTTGAAAACTACACTTGCAAATTGCACAAATAGAGTGTTTCAAATCTGCTCTGTCTAAGGGAACGTTCAACTCTGTGAGTTGAATGCACACAACACAAGGAAGTTACTGGGAATTCTTCTGTCTAGCCTTACATGAAAAAAACCCGTTTCCAACGAAGACCTCTAAGTGGTCAAATTATCCACGTGCAGACTTTACAAACAGAGTGTTTCCAAACTGCTGAATGAAAAGAAAAGTTAAACTCTGAGAGTTGAACGCACACATCGCAGAGCAGTTTCTGAGAATGATTCTGTCTAGTTTTTATACGAAGATATTTCCTTTTCTGCCTCTGGCCTCAAAGCGCTTGAAATCTCCATTTGCAAATTCTACAAAAAGAGTGTTTCAAATCTGCTCAGTGTAAATGAAAGTTCAACTCTCTGAGTTGAACACACACAACACATGGAAGTTACTGGGAATTCTTCTGTCTAGCCTTATATGAAAAAAACCCGTTTCCAACGAAGGCCTCAAAGAGGTCTGAATATCCACTTGCAGACTTTAGAAACAGAGTGTTTCCTAACTGCTCTATGAAAAGAAAGGTTAAACTCTGTGAGTTGAACGCACACATCACAAAGGAGTTTCTGAGAATCTTTCTGTCTAGTCTTTATACGAAGATATTTCCTTTTCTACCATTGACCTCAAAGCGGCTGAAGTCTCCACTTGCAAATTCCACAAAAAGAGTGTTTAAAGTCTGCTCTCTGTAAAGGATCGTTCAACTCTGTGAGTTGAATACACACAGCACAAGGAAGTTACTGAGAATTCTTCTGTCTAGCCTTACAGGAAAAAAACCCGTTTCCAACGAAGGCCTCTAAGTGGTCAAAATATCCACGTGCAGACTTAACAAACAGAGTTTTTCCACACTGCTGAATGAAAAGAAAAGTTAAACTCTGAGAGTTGAACGCACACATCGCAGAGCAGTTTCTGAGAATGATTCTGTCTAGTTTTGAAACGAAGATATTTCCTTTTCTGCCGTTGACCTTAAAGCACTTGAAATCTACACTTGCAAATTGCACAAATAGAGTGTTTCAAATCTGCTCTGTCTAAGGGAACGTTCAACTCTGTGAGTTGAATGCACACAACACAAGGAAGTTACTGGGATTTCTTCTGTCTACCCTTACATGAAAAAACCCGTTTCCAACGAAGGCCTCTAAGTGGTCAAAATATCCACGTGCAGACTTTACAAACAGAGTGTTTCCAAACTGCTGAATGAAAAGAAAAGTTAAACTCTGAGAGTTGAACGCACACATCACAGAGGATTTTCTGAGAATGATTCTGTCTACTTTTTATACGAAGATATTTCCTTTTCTGCCTTTGGCCCCAAAGCGCTTGAAATCTCCACTTGCAAATTCCACAAAAACAGTGTTTCAAATCTGCTCTCTCTAAATGAAAGTTCAACTCTGTCAGTTGAATACACACCACACAAGGAAGTTACTGAGAATTCTTCTGTCTAGCAAAATATGAAGAAATCCCGTTTCCAACGAAGGCCTCAAAGAGGTCTGAATATCCACTTGCAGACTTTACAAACAGAGTGTTTCCTAACTGCTCTATGAAAAGAAAAGTTAAACTCTGTGAGTTGAACGCACACATCACAAAGGAGTTTATGAGAATCATTCTGTCTACTCTTTATACGAAGATATTTCCTTTTCTACCATTGACCTCAAAGCGGCTGAAATCTCCACTTGCAAATTCCACAAAAAGAGTGTTTCAAGTCTGCTCTGTGTAAAGAATCGTTCAACTCTGTGAGTTGAATACACACAACACAAGGAAGTTACTGAGAATTCTTCTGTCTAGCAGAATATGAAGAAATCCCGTTTCCAACGAAGGCCACAAGATGTCAGAATATCCACTTACAGACTTTACAAACAGAGAGTTTCCTAACTGCTCTATGAACAGAAAGGTTAAACTCTGTGAGTTGAACGAACACATCACAACGCAGTTTGAGGGAATGATTCTGTCTAGTTTTGAAACGAAGATATTCCCTTTTCTGCCATTGACCTTAAAGCGCTTGAAATCTACACTTGCAATTTGCACAAATAGAGTGTTTCAAATCTGCTCTGTCTAAGGGAACGTTCAACTCTCTGAGTAGAATGCACACAACACAAGGAAGTTACTGGGAATTCTTCTGTCTAGCCTTACATGAAAAAAACCCGTTTCCAACGAAGACCTCTAAGTGGTCAAAATATCCACGTGCAGACTTTACAAACAGAGTGTTTCCAAACTGCTGAATGGAAAGAAAAGTTAAACTCTGAGAGTTGAACACACACATCACAGAGCGGTTTCTGAGAATGATTCTGTCTAGTTTTTATACGAAGATATTTCCTTTTCTGCCTTTGGCCTCAAAGCGCTTGAAATCTCCACTTGCAAATTCCACAAAAAGAGTGTTTCAAATCTGCTCTGTGTAAGTGAAAGTTCAACTCTGTGAGTTGAACACACACAACAAAAGGAAGTTACTGGGAATTCTTCTGTCTAGCCTTATATGAAAAAAACCCGTTTCCAAAGAAGGCCTCAAAGAGGTCTGAATATCCACTTGCAGACTTTACAAACAGAGTGTTTCCTAACTGCTCTATGAAAAGAAATGTTAAACTCTGTGAGTTGAACGCACACATCACAAAGGAGTTTCTGAGAATCATTCTGTCTAGTTTTTCTAGGAAGATATTTCCTTTTCTACTATTGACCTCAAAGCGGCTGAAATCTCCACTTGCAAATTCCACAAAAAGAGTGTTTCAAGTCTGCTCTGTGTAAAGGATCGTTCAACTCTGTGAGTTGAATACACACAACACAAGGAAGTTACTGAGTATTCTTCTGTCTAGCAGAATATGAAGAAATCCCGTTTCCAACGAAGGCCACAAGATGTCAGAATATCCACTTACAGAATTTACAAACAGACTGTTTCCTAACTGCTCTATGAAAAGAAAGGTTAAACTCTGTGAGATGAACGAACACATCACAACGCAGTTTGTGGTAATGATTCTGTCTAGTTTTGAAACGAAGATATTTCCTTTTCTGCCATTGACCTTAAAGCGCTTGAAATCTCCACTTGCCAATTGCACAAAAAGAGTGTTTCAAATCTGCTCTGTCTAAGGGAACGTTCAACTCTGTGAGTTGAATTTACACAACACAAGGAAGTTACTGGGAATTCTTCTGTCTAGCCTTACAGGAAAGAAACCCGTTTCCAACGAAGGCCTCTAAGTGGTCAAAATATCCACGTGCAGACTTTACAAACAGAGTGTTTCCAAACTGCTGAATCAAAAGAAAAGTTAAACTCTGAGAGTTGAACGCACACATCGCAGAGCAGTTTCTGAGAATGATTCTGTGTAGTTTTTATACGAAGATATTTCCTTTTCTGCCTTTGGCCTCAAAGCGCTTGAAATCTCCATTTGCAAATTCCACAAAAAGAGTGTTTCAAATCTGCTCTGTGTAAATGAAAGTTCAACTCTGTGAGTTGAACACACACAACACAAGGAAGTTATTGGGAATTCTTCTGTCTAGCCTTATATGAAAAAAACCCGTTTCCAACGAAGTCCTCAAAGAGGTCTGAATATCCACTTGCAGACATTACAAACAGAGTGTTTCCTAACTGCTCTATGAAAAGAAAGGTTAAACTCTGTGAGTTGAACACACACATCACAAAGGAGTTTCTGAGAATCATTCTGTCTAGTTTTTCTACGAAGATATTTCCTTTTCTACTATTGACCTCACAGCGGCTGAAATCTCCACTTGCAAATTCCACAAAAAGAGTGTTTCAAGTCTGCTCTGTGTAAAGGATCGTTCAACTCTGTGAGTTGAATACACACAACACAAGGAAGTTACTGAGAATTCTTCTGTCTAGCAGAATATGAAGAAATCCCTTTTCCAACGAAGGCCACAAGATGTCAGAATATCCACTTACAGAATTTACAAACAGACTGTTTCCTAACTGCTCTATGAAAAGAAAGGTTAAACTCTGTGAGTTGAACGAACACATCACAACGCAGTTTGTGGGAATGATTCTGTCTAGTTTTGAAAGGAAGATATTTCCTTTTCTGCCGTTGACCTTAAAGTGCTTGAAATGTACACTTGCAAATTGCACAAATAGGCTGTTTCAAATCTGCTCTGTCTAAGGGAACGTTCAACTCTGTGAGTTGAATGCGCACAACACAAGGAAGTTACTGGGAATTCTTCTGTCTAGCCTTACATGAAAAAAACCCGTTTCCAACGAAGGTCTCTAAGTGGTCAAAATATCCACGTGCAGACTTTACAAACAGAGTGTTTCCAAACCGCTGAATGAAAAGAAAAGTTAAACTCTGAGAGTTGAACGCACACATCACGCAGCAGTTTCTGAGAATGATTCTGTGTATTTTGTATACGAAGATATTTCCTTTTCTGCCTTTGGCCTCAAAGCGCTTGAAATCTCCATTTGCAAATTCCACAAAAAGAGTGTTTCAAATCTGCTCTGTGTAAATGAAAGTTCAACTCTGTGAGTTGAACACACACAACACAAGGAAGTTATTGGGAATTCTTCTGTCTAGCAGAATATGAAGAAATCCCGTTTCTAACGAAGGCCTCAAAGAGGTCTGATTATCCACTTGCAGACTTTACAAACAGAGTGTTTCCTAAATGCTCTATTAAAAGAAAGGTTAAACTCTGTGAGTTGAACGCACACATCACAAAGGAGTTTCTGAGAATCATTCTGTCTAGTTTTTATACGAAGATATTTCCTTTTCTACCATTGACCTCAAAGCGGCTGAAATCTCCACTTGCAGATTCCACAAAAAGAGTGTTTCAAATCTGCTCTGTGTAAACCATCGTTCAACTCTGTGAGTTGAATACACACAACACAAGGAAGATTCTGAGAATTCTTCTGTCTAGCAGAATATGAAGAAATCCCGTTTCCAACGAAGGCCTCAAAGAGGTCTGAATATCCACTTGCAGACTTTACAAACAGAGTGTTTCCTAACTGCTCTATGAAAAGAAAGGTTAAACTCTGTGACTTGGACGCACACATCACAAAGGAGTTTCTGAGAATCATTCTGTCTAGTTTTTATACGAAGATATTTCGTTTTCTACCATGGACCTCAAAGCGGCTGAAATCTCCACTTGCAAATTCCACAAAAAGAGTGTTTCAAGTCTGCTCTGTGTAAAGGATCGTTCAACTCTGTGAGTTGAATACACACAACACAAGGAAGATTCTGAGAATTCTTCTGTCTAGCAGAATATGAAGAAATCACGTTTCCAACGAAGGCCACAAGATGTCAGAATATCCACTTACAGACTTTACAAACAGAGTGTTTCCTAACTGCTCTATGAACAGAAAGGTTAAACTCTGTGAGTTGAACGAACACATCACAACGCAGTTTGTGGGAATGATTCTGTCTAGTTTTGAAACGAAGATATTTCCTTTTCTGCCATTGACCTTAAAGCGCTTGAAATCTACACTTGCAAATTGCACAAATAGAGTGTTTCAAATCTGCTCTGTCTAAGCGAACGTTCATCTCTGTGAGTTGAATGCACACAACACAAGGAAAGTTACTGGGAATTCTTCTGTCTAGCCTTACAGGAAAAAAACCCGTTTCCAACGAAGGCCTCTAAGTGGTCAAAATATCCACGTGCAGACTTTACAAACAGAGTGTTTCCAAACTGCTGAATGAAAAGAAAAGTTAAACTCTGAGAGTTGAACCCACACATCGCAGAGCAGTTTCTGAGAATGATTCTGTCTAGTTTTTATACGAAGATATTTCCTTTTCTGCCTTTGGCCTCAAAGCGCTTGAAATCTCCACCTGCAAATTCCACAAAAAGAGTGTTTCAAATCTGCTCTGTGTAAATGAAAGTTCAACTCTGTGAGTTAAACACACACAACACAAGGAAGTTACTGGGAATTCTTCTGTCTAGCATAATATGAAGAAATCCCGTTTCCAACGAACGCCTCAAAGGGTTCTGAATATCCACTTGCAGCCTTTATAAACAGAGTGTTTCCTAACTGCTCTATGAGAAGAAAGGTTAAACTCTGTGAGTTGAACGCACACATCACAAAGGAGTTTCTGAGAATCATTCTGTCTAGTTTCTATAGGAAGATATTTCCTATTCTACCATTGACCTCCAAGCGGCTGAAATCTCCACTTGCAAATTCCACAAAAAGAGTGTTTCAAGTCTGCTCTCTGTAAAGGATCGTTCAACTCTGTGAGTTGAATACACACAGCACAAGGAATTTACTGAGAATTATTCTGTCTAGCAGAATATGAAGAAATCCCGTTTCCAACGAAGGCCACAAGATGTCAGAATATCCACTTACAGAATTGACAAACAGACTGTTTCCTAACTGCTCTATGAAAAGAAAGGTTAAACTCTGTGAGCTGAACGAACACATCACAACGCAGTTTGTGGGAATGATTCTGTCTAGTTTTGAAACGAAGATATTTCCTTTTCTGCCATTGACCTTAAAGCGCTTGAAATCTACATTTGCCAATTGCACAAAAAGAGTGTTTCAAATCTGCTCTGTCTAAGGGAACGTTCAACTCTGTGAGTTGAATGTACACAACACAAGGAAGTTACTTGGAATTCTTCTGTCTAGCCTTACATGAAAAAAACCCGTTTCCAACGAAGGCCTCTAAGTGGTCAAATTATCCACGTGCAGACTTTACAAACAGAGTGTTTCCAAACTGCTAAATGAAAAGAAAAGTTAAACTCTGAGAGTTGAACGCACACATCACAGAGCAGTTTCTGAGAATGATTCTGTCTAGTTTTTATACGAAGATATTTCCTTTTCTGCCTTTGGCCTCAAAGCGCTTGAAATCTCCACTTGCAAATTCCACAAAACGAGTGTTTCAAATCTGCTCTGTGTAAATGAAAGTTCAACTCTGTGAGTTGAACACACACAACACAAGGAAGTTACTGGGAATTCTTCTGTGTAGCAGAATATGAAGAAATCCCGTTTCCAACGAAGGCCTCAGGGAGGTCTGAATATCCACTTGCAGACTTTACAAACAGAGTGTTTCCTAACTGCTCTATGAAAAGAAAGGTTAAACTCTGTGAGTTGAACGCACACATCACAAAGGAGTTTCTGAGAATCATTCTGTCTACTTTCTATAGGAAGATATTTCCTATTCTACCATTGACCTCAAAGCGGCTGAAATCTCCACTTGCAAATTCCACAAAAGGAGTGTTTCAAGTCTGCTCTGTGTAAAGGATCGTTCAACTCTGTGAGTTGAAAACACACAACACAAGGAAGTTTCTAAGAATTCTTCTGTCTAGCAGAATATGAAGAAATCCCGTTTCCAACTAAGGCCACAAGATGTCAGAATATCCACTTACAGAATTGACAAACAGACTGTTTCCTCACTGCTCTATGAAAAGAAAGGTTAAACTCTGTGAGTTGAACGAACACATCACAACGCAGTTTGTGGGAATGATTCTGTCTAGTTTTTATACGAAGATATTTCCTTTTCTACCATTGACCTCAAAGCGGCTGAAATCACCACTTGCCAATTGCACAAAAAGAGTGTTTCAAATCTGTTCTGTCTAAGGGAACGTTCAACTCTGTGAGTTGAATGTAGACAACACAAGGAAGTTACTGGGAATTCTTCTGTCTAGCCTTACATTCAAAAAACCCGTTTCCAACGAAGGCCTCTAAGTGGTCAAAATATCCACGTGCAGACTTTACAAACAGAGTGTATCCAAACCGCTGAATGAAAAGAAAAGTTAAACTCTGTGAGTTGAACAGACACATCACAAAGGAGTTTCTGAGAATCATTCTGTCTAGTTTTTATACGAAGATATTTCCTTTTCTGCCTTTGGCCCCAAAGCGCTTGAAATCTCCACTTGCAAATTCCACAAAAACAGTGTTTCAAATCTGCTCTCTCTAAATGAAAGTTCAACTCTGTCAGTTGAATACACACAACACAAGGAAGATTCTGAGAATTATTCTGTCTAGCCTTATATGAAAAAAACCCGTTTCCAAAGAAGGCCTCAAAGAGGTCTGAATATCCACTTGCAGACTTTACAAACAGAGTGTTTCCTAACTGCTCTATGAAAAGAAAGGTTAAACTCTGTGAGTTGAACGCACACATCACAAAGAAGTTTCTGAGAATCATTTTGTCTAGTTTTTCTACGAAGATATTTCGTTTTCTACTATTGACCTCAAAGCGGCTGAAATCTCCACTTGCAAATTCCACAAAAAGAGTGTTTCAAGTCTGCTCTGTGTAAAGGATCGTTCAACTCTGTGAGTTGAATACACACAACACAAGGAAGTTACTGAGAATTCTTCTGTCTAGCAGAATATGAAGAAATCCCGTTTCCAACGAAGGCCTCAAAGAGGTCTGAATATCCACTTGCAGAGTTTACAAACAGAGTGTTTCCTAACGGCTCTATGAAAATAAACGTTAAACTCTGTGAGTTGAACGAACACATCACAACGCAGTTTGTGGGAATGATTCTGTCTAGTTTTGAAACGAAGATATTTCCTTTTCGGCCATTGACCTTAAAGCGCTTGAAATCTCCACTTGCCAATTGCACAAAAAGAGTGTTTCAAATCTGCTCTGTCTAAGGGAACGTTCAACTCTGTGAGTTGAATATACACAACACAAGGAAGTTACTGGGAATTCTTCTGTCTAGCCTTACATGAAAAAATCCCGTTTCCAACGAAGGCCTCTAAGTGGTCAAAATATCCACGTGCAGACTTTACAAACAGAGTGTTTCCAAACCGCTGAATGAAAAGAAAACTTAAACTCTGTGAGTTGAACGCACACATCACGCAGCAGTTTCTGAGAATGATTCTGTCTAGTTTTTATACGAAGATATTTCCTTTTCTGCCTTTGGCCCCAAAGCGCTTGAAATCTCCACTTGCAAATTCCACAAAAACACTGTTTCAAATCTGCTCTCTCTAAATGAAAGTTCAACTCTGTCAGTTGAATACACACAACACAAGGAAGTTACTGAGAATTCTTCTGTCTAGCCTTATATGAAAAAAACCCGTTTCCAACGAAGGCCTCAAAGAGGTCTGAATATCCACTTGCAGACTTTACAAACAGAGTGTTTCCTAACTGCTCTATGAAAAGAAAGGTTAAACTCTGTGAGTTGAACGCACACATCACAAAGGAGTTTCTGAGAATCTATCTGTCTAGTTTTTATACGAAGATATTTCCTTTTCTACCATGGGACCTCAAAGCGGCTGAAATCTCCACTTGCAAATTCCACAAAAAGAGTGTTTCAAGTCTGCTCTGTGTAAAGGAACGTTCAACTCTGTGAGTTGAATACACACAACAGAAGGAAGATTCTGAGAATTCTTCTGTCTAGCAGAATATGAAGAAATCCCGTTTCCAACGAAGGCCTCAAGGAGGTCTGAATATCCACTTGCAGACTTTACAAACAGAGTGTTTCCTAACTGCTCTATGAACAGAAAGGTTAAACTTCTGTGAGTTGAACGAACACATCACAACGCAGTTTGTGGGAATGATTCTGTCTAGTTTTGAAACGAAGAATATTTCCTTTTCTGCCATTGACCTTAAAGCGCTTGAAATCTCCATTTGCCAATTGCACAAAAAGAGTGTTTCAAATCTGCTCTGTCTAAGGGAACGTTCAACTCTGTGAGTTGAATGTACACAACACAAGGAAGTTACTGGGAATTCTTCTGTCTAGCCTTACATGAAGAAAACCCGTTTCCAACGAAGGCCTCTAAGTGGTCAAAATATCCACGTGCAGACTTTACAAACAGAGTGTTTCCAAACCGCTGAATGAAAAGAAAAGTTAAACTCTGAGAGTTGATCGCACACATCACGCAGCAGTTTCTGAGAATGATTCTGTCTAGTTTTTATACGAAGATATTTCCTTTTCTGCCTTTGGCCTGAAAGGGCTTGAAATCTCCATTTGCAAATTCCACAAAAAGAGTGTTTCAAATCTGCTCCTGTGTAAATGAAAGTTCAACTCTGTGAGTTGAATACACACAACACAAGGAAGTTACTGGGAATTCTTCTGTCTAGCAGAATATGAAGAAATCCCGCTTCCAACGAAGGCCTCAAAGAAGTCTGAATATCCACTTGCAGACTTTACAAACAGAGTGTTTCCCAACTGCTCTATGAAAAGAAAGGTTGAACTCTGTGGGTTGAACGCACACATCACAAAGGAGTTTCTGAGAATCATCTGTCTAGTCTTTATATGAAGATAGTTTCCTTTTCTACCTTTGACCTCAAAGCGGCTGAAATCTCCACTTGCAAATTCCACAAAAAGAGTGTTTCAAGTCTGCTCTGTGTAAAGGATCGTTCAACTCTGTGAGTTGAATACACACAACACAAGGAAGTTACTGAGAATTCTTTCTGTCTAGCAGAATATGAAGAAATCCCGTTTCCAACGAAGGCCTCAAGGAGGTCTGAATATCCACTTGCAGACTTTACAAACAGAGTGTTTCCTAACTGCTCTATGAACAGAAAGGTTAAAGTCTGTGAGTTGAACGAACACATCACAACGCAGTTTGTGGGAATGATTCTGTCTAATTTTGAAACGAAGATATTTCCTTTTCTGCCATTGACCTTAAAGCGCTTGAAATCTACACTTGCAAATTGCACAAATAGAGTGTTTCAAATCTGCTCTGTCTAAGGGAACGTTCAACTCTGTGAGTTGAATGCACACAACACAAGGAAGTTACTGGGAATTCTTCTCTCTAGCCTTACAGGAAAAAAACCCGTTTCCAACGAAGGCCTCTAAATGGTCAAAATATCCACGTGCAGACTTTACAAACAGAGTGTTTCCAAACTGCTGAATGAAAAGAAAAGTTAAACTCTGAGAGTTGAACGCACACATCGCAGAGCAGTTTCTGAGAATGATTCTGTGTAGTTTTTATACGAAGATATTTCCTTTTCTGCCTTTGGCCCCAAAGCGCTTGAAATCTCCAATTGCAAATTCCACAAAAACAGTGTTTCAAATCTGCTCTCTCTAAATGAAAGTTCAACTCTGTCAGTTGAATACACACAACACAAGGAAGTTACTGAGAATTCTTCTGTCTAGCCTTACATGAAAAAAACCCGTTTCCAACGAAGGCCTCAAAGAGGTCTGAATATCCACTTGCAGACTTTACAAACAGAGTGTTTCCTAACTGCTCTATGAAAAGAAAGGTTAAACTCTGTGAGTTGAACGCACACATCACAAAGCAGTTTCTGAGAATCATTCTGTCTAGTTTTTATACGAAGATATTTCCTTTTCTACCATTGACCTCAAAGCGGCTGAAATCTCCACTTGCAAATTCCACCAAAAGAGTGTTTCAAATCTGCTACTGTGTAAACCATCGTTCAACTCTGTGAGTTGAATACACACAACACAAGGAAGATTCTGAGAATTCTTCTGTCCAGCAGAATATGAAGAAATCCCGTTTCCAACGAAGGCCACAAGATGTCAGAATATCCACTTACAGACTTTACAAACAGAGTGTTTCCTAACTGCTCTATGAACAGAAAGGTTAAATTCTGTGAGTTGAACGAACACATCACAACGCAGTTTGTGGTAATGATTCTGTCTAGTTTTTATACGAAGATATTTCCTTTTCTACCATTGACCTCAAACCGGCTGAAATCACCACTTGCCAATTGCACAAAAAGAGTGTTTCAAATCTGCTCTGTCTAAGGGAACGTTCAACTCTCTCAGTTGAATGTACACAACATAAGGAAGTTCCTGGGAATTCTTCTGTCTAGCCTTACATGAAAAAAACCCGTTTCCAAAGAAGGCCTCTAAGTGGTCAAAATATCCACGTGCAGACTATACAAACAGAGTGTTTCCAAACCGCTGAATGAAAAGAAAAGTTAAACTCTGAGAGTCGAACGCACACATCACGCAGCAGTTTCTGAGAATGATTCTGTCTAGTTTTTATACGAATATATTTCCTTTTCTGCCTTTGGCCCCAAAGCGTTTGAAATCTCCACTTGCAAATTCCACAAAAACAGTGTTTCAAATCTCCTCTCTCTAAATGAAAGTTCAACTGCTGTCAGTTGAATACACACAACACAAGGAAGTTACTGAGAATTCTTCTGTCTAGCCTTATATGAAAAAAACCCGTTTCCAACGAAGGTCTCAAGGAGGTCTGAATATCCACTTGCAGACTTTACAAACAGAGTGTTTCCTAACTGCTCTATGAAAAGAAAGGTTTAAACTCTGTGAGTTGAACGCACACATCACAAAGGAGTTTCTGAGAATCATTCTGTCTAGTTTTTCTACGAAGATATTTCCTTTTCTACTATTGACCTCAAAGCGTCTGAAATCTCCACTTGCAAATTCCACAAAAAGAGTGTTTCAAGAATGCTCTGTGTAAAGGATCTTTCAACTCTGTGAGTTGAATACACACAACACAAGGAAGTTACTGAGAATTCTTCTGTCTAGCAGAATATGAAGAAATCCCGTTTCCAACGAAGGCCTCAAAGAGGTCTGAATATCCACTTGCAGACTTTACAAACAGAGTGTTTCCTAACTGCTCTATGAAAAGAAAGGTTAAACTCTGTGAGTTGAACGCACACATCAAAAAGGAGTTTCTGAGAATCATTCTGTCTAGTTTTTATAGGAAGATATTTCCTTTTCTACCTTTGATTTCAAAGCGGCTGAAATCTCCACTTGCAAATTCCACAAAAAGAGTGTTACAAGTCTGCTCTGTCTAAGGGAACGTTCAACTCTGTGAGTTGAATGTACACAACACAAGGAAGTTACTGGGAATTCTTCTGTCTAGCCTTACATGAAAAAAACCCGTTTCCAACGAAGGCCTCTAAGTGGTCAAATTATCCACGTGCAGACTTTACAAACAGAGTGTTTCCAAACTGCTGAATGAAAAGAAAAGTTAAACTCTTAGAGTTGCATGCACACATCGCAGAGCAGTTTCTGAGAATGATTCTGTCTAGTTTTTATACGAAGATATTTCCTTTTCTGCCTTTGGCCTCAAAGCGCTTGAAATCTCCATTTGCAAATTCCACAAAAAGAGTGTTTCAAATCTGCTCTGTGTAAAGGATCGTTCAACTCTGTGAGTTGAATACACACAACACAAGGAAGATTCTGAGAATTCTTCTGTCTAGCCTTATATGAAAAAAACCCGTTTCCAGCGAAGGCCTCAAAGAGGTCTGAATATCCACTTGCAGACTTTACAAACAGAGTGATTCCTAACTGCTCTATGAAAAGCAAGGTTAAACTCTGTGAGTTGAACACACACATCTCAAAGGAGTTTCTGAGAATCATTCTGTCTAGTTTCTATAGGAAGATATTTCCTATTCTACCATTGAACACAAAGCGGCTGAAATCTCCACCTGCAAATTCCACAAAAAGAGTGTTTCAAGTCTGCTCTGTGTAAAGGATCGTTCAACTCTGTGAGTTGAATACACACAACACAAGGGAAGTTACTGAGAATTCTTCTGTCTAGCAGAATATGAAGAAATCCCGTTTCCAACGAAGGCCTCAAGGAGGTCTGAATATCCACTTGCAGAATTTACAAACAGAGTGTTTCCTAACTGCTCTATGAACAGAAAGGTTAAACTCTGTGAGTTGAACGAACGCATCACAACGCAGTTTGTGGGAATGATTCTGTCTAGTTTTGAAACGAAGATATTTCCTTTTCTGCCATTGACCTTAAAGCGCTTGAAATCTACACTTGCAAATTGCACAAATAGAGTGTTTCAAATCTGCTCTAAGGGAACGTTCAACTCTGTGAGTTGAATGCACACAACACAATGAAGTTACTGGGAATTCTTCTGTCTAGCCTTACATGGAAAAAACCCGTTTCCAAAGAAGGCCTCAAAGAAGTCCAAATATCCACGTGCAGACATTACAAACCGAGTGTTTCCTAACTGCTCTATGAAAAGAAAGGTTAAACTATGCGAGTTGAACGCACACATCACAAAGGAGTTTCTGAGAATCATTTTGTCTAGTTTTTATACGAAGATATTTCCTTTTCTGCCTTTGGCCTCAAAGCGCTTGAAATCTCCACTTGCAAATTCCACAAAAAGAGTGTTTCAAATCTGCTCTGTGTAAATGAAAGTTTAACTCTGTGAGTTGAACACACACAACACAAGGAAGTTACTGGGAATTGTTCTGTCAAGCCTTATATGTAAAAACCCGTTTCCAACGAAGGCCTCAAAGAGGTCTGAATATCCACTTGCAGACTTTACAAACAGAGTGTTTCCTAACTGCTCTATGAAAAGAAAGGTTAAACTCTGTGAGTTGAACGCACACATCACAAAGGAGTTTCTGAGAATCATTCTGTCTAGTTTTTATACGAAGACATTTCCTTTTCTACCATTGACCTCAAAGCGGCTGAAATCTCCACTTGCAAATTCCACAAAAAGAGTGTTTCAAATCTGCTCTGTGTAAACCATCGTTCAACTCTGTGAGTTGAAGACACACAACACAAGGAAGATTCTGAGAATTCTTCTGTCTAGCAGAATATGAAGAAATCCCGTTTCCAACGAAGGCCACAAGATGTCAGAATATCCACTTACAGAATTTACAAACAGAGTGTTTCCTAACTGCACTATGAAAAGAAAGGTTAAACTCTGTGAGATGAACGAACACATCACAACGCAGTTTGTGGGAATGATTCTGTCTAGTTTTGAAACGAAGATATTTCCTTTTCTGCCATTGACCTTAAAGCGCTTGAAATCTCCACTTGCCAATTGCACAAAAAGAGTGTTTCAAATCTGCTCTGTCTAAGGGAACGTTCAACTCTGTGAGTTGAATGTACACAACACAAGGAATTTACTGGGAATTCTTCTGTCTAGCCTTACATGAAAAAAACCCGTTTCCAACGAAGGCCTCTAAGTGGTCAAAATTTCCACGTGCAGACTTTATAAACAGAGTGTTTCCAAACGGCTGAATGAAAAGAAAAGTTAAACTCTGAGAGTTGAACGCACACATCACGCAGCAGTTTCTGAGAATGATTCTGTCTAGTTTTGAAACGAAGATATTTCCTTTTCTGCCTTTGGCCTCAAAGCGCTTGAAATCTCCATTTGCAAATTCCACAAAAAGAGTGTTTCAAATGTGCTCTGTGTAAATGAAAGTTCAACTCTGTGAGTTGAACACACACAACACAAGGAAGTTACTGGGAATTCTTCTGTCTAGCATAATATGAAGAAATCCCGTTTCCAACGAATGCCTCAAGGAGGTCTGAATATCCACTTGCAGACTTTACAAACAGAGTGTTTCCTAACTGCTCTATGAAAAGAAAGGTTAAACAGTGTGAGTTGAACGCACACATCACAAAGGAGTTTCTGAGAATCATTCTGTCTAGTTTTTCTTCGAAGATATTTCCTTTTCTACTATTGACCTCAAAGCGGCTGAAATGTCCACTTGCAAATTCCACAAAAAGAGTGTTTCAAGTCTGCTCTGTGTAAAGGATCGTTCAACTCTGTGAGTTGAATGCACACAACACAAGGAAGTTACTGGGAATTCTTCTGTCTAGCAGAATATGAAGAAATCCCAGTTTCCAACGAAGGCCACAAGATGTCAGAATATCCACTTACAGACTTTAGAAATAGAGTGTTTCCTAACTGCTCTATGAACAGAAAGGTTAAACTCTGTGAGTTGAACGAACACATCACAACGCAGTTTGTGGGAATGATTCTGTCTAGTTTTGAAACGAAGATATTTCCTTTTCTGCCATTGACCTTAAAGCGCTTGAAATCTACAATTGCAAATTGCACAAATAGAGTGTTTCAAATCTGCTCTGTCTAAGGGAACGTTCAACTCTGTGAGTTGAATGCACACAACACAAGGAAGTTACTGGGAATTCTTCTGTCTAGCCTTACATGAAAATAACCCGTTTCCAACGAAGGCCTCTAAGTGGTCAAATTATCCACGTGCAGACTTTACAAACAGAGTGTTTCCAAACTGCTGAATGAAAAGAAAAGTTAAACTGTGAGAGTTGAACGCACACATCGCAGAGCAGTTTCTGAGAATGATTCTGTCTAGTTTCTATAGGAAGATATTACCTATTCTACCGTTGACCACAAAGCGGCTGAAATCTCCACTTGCAAATTCCACAACAAGAGTGTTTCAAGTCTGTTCTGTGTAAAGGATCATTCAACTCTGTGAGTTGAATACACACAACACAAGGAAGTTACTGAGAATTCTTCTGTCTAGCAGAACATGAAGAAATCCCGCTTCCAAAGAAGGCCTCAAAGAAGTCTGAATATCCACTTGCAGACTTTACAAACAGAGTGTTTCCCAACTGCTCTATGAAAAGAAAGGTTGAACTCTGTGAGTTGAACGCACACATCACAAAGGAGTTTCTGAGAATCATTCTGTCTAGTCTTTATACGAAGATATTTCCTTTTCTACCAGTGACATGAAAGCGGCTGAAATCTCCACTTGCAAATTCCACAAAAAGAGTGTTTCAAGTCTGCTCTGTGTAAAGAATCGTTCAACTCTGTGAGTTGAATACACACAACACAAGGAAGTTACTGAGAATTCTTCTGCCTAGCAGAATATGAAGAAATCCCGTTTCCAACGAAAGCCTCAAAGATGTCTGAATATCCACTTGCAGACTTTACAAACAGAGTGTTTCCTAACTGCTCTATGAAAAGAAAAGTTAAACTCTGTGAGTTGAACGCACACATCACAAAGGAGTTTCTGAGAATCATTCTGTCTAGTCTTTATACGAAGATAGTTTCCTTTTCTACCATTGACCTCAAAGCGCCTGAAATCTCCACTTGCAAATTCCACAAAAAGAGTGTTTGAAGTCTGCTCTCTGTAAAGGATCTTTCAACTCTGTGAGTTGAATACACACAACACAAGGAAGTTACTGAGAATTCTTCTGTCTTGCATAATATGAAGAAATCCCGTTTCCAACGAAGGCCTCAAGGAGGTCTGAATATCCACTTGCAGACTTTACAAACAGAGTGTTTCCTAACTGCTCTATGAAAAGAAAGGTTGAACTCTGTGAGTTGAACGCACACATCACAAAGGAGTTTCTGAGAATCATTCTGTCTAGTTTTTATACGAAGATATTTCCTTTTCTACCATTGACCTCAAGGTGGCTGAAATCTCCACTTGCAAATTCCACAAAAAGAGTGTTTCAGATCTGCTCTGTGTGAAAGATGGTTCAACTCTGTGAGTTGAATACACACAACACAAGGAAGTTACTGAGAATTCTTCTGTCTAGCAGAATATGAAGAAATCCCGTTTCCAACGAAGGCCACAAGATGTCAGAATATCCACTTACAGAATTTACAAACAGACTGTTTCCTAACTGCTCTATGAAAAGAATGGTTAAACTCTGTGAGTTTACCGAACACATCACAACGCAGTTTCTGGGAATGATTCTGTCTAGTTTTGAAACGAAGATATTTCCTTTTCTGCCATTGACCTTAAAGCGCTTGAAATCTCCACTTGCCAATTGCACAAAAAGAGTGTTTCAAATCTGCTCTGTGTAAGGGAACGTTCAACTCTGTGAGTTGAATGTACACAACACAAGGAAGTTACTGGGGAATTCTTCTGTCTAGCCTTACATGCAAAAAACCCGTTTCCAACGAAGGCCTCTAAGTGGACAAAATATCCACGTGCAGACTTTACAAACAGAGTGTTTCTAAACCGCTGAATGAAAAGAAAAGTTAAACTCTGAGAGTTGAACACACACATCACGCAGCAGTTTCTGATAATGATTCTGTCTAGTTTTTATACGAAGATATTTCCTTTTCTGCCTTTGGCCCCAAAGCGCTTGAAATCTCCACTTGCAAATTCCACAAAAAGAGTGTTTCAAATCTGCTCTCTCTAAACGAAAGTTCAACTCTGTCAGTTGAATACACACAACATAAGGAAGTTACTGAGAATTCTTCTGTCTAGCCTTATATGAAAAAAACCCGTTTCCAACGAAGGCCTCAAAGAGGTCTGAATATCCACTTGCAGACTTTACAAACAGAGTGATTCCTAACTGCTCTATGAAAACTAAGGTTAAACTCTGTGAGTTGAACACACACATCACAAAGGAGTTTCTGAGAATCATTCTGTCTAGTTTTTATACGAAGAGATTTCCTTTTCTACCATTGACCTCAACGCGGCTGAAATCTCCACTTGCAAATTCCACAAAAAGAGTGTTTCAAGTCCGCTCTGTGTAAAGGATCGTTCAACTCTGTGAGTTGAATACACACAACACAAGGAAGTTAATGAGAATTCATCTGTCTAGCATAATATGAAGAAATCCCGTTTCCAACGAAGGCCTCAAAGAGGTCTGAATATCCACTTGCAGACTTTATAAACAGAGGGTTTCCTAACTGCTCTATGAAAAGAAAGGTTAAACTCTGTGAGTTGAACGCACACATCACAAAGGAGTTTCTGAGAATCATTCTGTCTAGTCTTTATACGAAGATATATCCTTTTCTAACATTGACCTCAAAGCGGCTGAAATCTCCACTTGCGAATTCCACAAAAAGAGTGTTTCAAGTCTGCTCTCTGTAAAGGATCGTTCAACTCTGTGAGTTGAATACACACAACACAAGGAAGTTACTGAGAATTATTCTGTCTAGCAGAATATGCAGAAATCCCGTTTCCAACGAAGACCACAAGATGTCAGAATATCCACTTACAGACTTTACAAACAGAGTGTTTCCTAACTGCTCTATGAACAGAAAGGTTAAACTCTGTGAGTTGAACGCACACATCACAAAGGAGTTTCTGAGAATCATTCTGTCTAGTCTTTATACGAAGATATTTCCTTTTCTACCATTGACCTCAAAGCGGCTGAAATCTCCACTTGCAAATTCCACAAAAAGAGTGTTTCAATCTGCTCTGTGTAAAGGATCGTTCAACTCTGTGAGTTGAATACACACAACACAAGGAAGTTACTGAGAATTCTTCTGTCTAGCCTTACATGAAAAAAACCCGTTTCCAACCGAAGGCCTCTAAGTGGTCAAAATTTCCACGTGCAGACTTTACAAACAGAGTGTTTCCAAAGCGCTGAATGAAAAGAAAAGTTAAACTCTGAGAGTTGAACGCACACATCACGCAGCAGTTTCTGAGAATGATTCTGTCTAGTTTTTATACGAAGATATTTCCTTTTCTGCCTTTGGCCTCAAAGCGCTTGAAATCTCCACTTGCAAATTCCAGAAAAAGAGTGTTTCCAATCTGCTCTGTGTAAATGAAAGTTCAACACTGTGAGTTGAACACACACAACACAAGGAAGTTACTGGGAATTCTTCTGTCTAGCAGGAATATGAAGAAATCCCGTTTCCAACGAAGGCCTCAAAGAGGTCTGAATATCCACTTGCAGACTTTACAAACAGAGTGTTTCCTAACTGCTCTATGAAAAGAAAGGTTAAACTCTGTGAGTTGTACGCACACATCACAAAGGAGTTTCTGAGAATCGTTCTGTCCAGTTTCTATAGGAAGATATTTCCTATTCTACCATTGACCTCAAAGCGGCTGAAATCTCCACTTGCAAATTCCACAAAAAGAGTGTTTCAAGTCTGCTCTGTGTAAAGGATCGTTCAACTCTGTGAGTTGAATACACACAACACAAGGAAGTTACTGAGAATTCTTCTGTCTAGCATAATATGAAGAAATCCCGTTTCCAATGAAGGCCTCAAGGATGTCTGAATATCCACTTGCAGACTTTACAAACAGTGTTTCCTAACTGCTCTATGAAAAGAAAGGTTAAACTCTGTGAGTTGAACGCACACATCACAAAGGAGTTTCTGAGAATCATTCTGTCTAGTTTTTATACGAAGATATTTCCTTTTCTACCATTGACCTCAAAGCGGCTGAAATCACCACTTGCCAATTGCACAAAAAGAGTGCTTCAAATCTGCTCTGTCTAAGGGAACGTTCAACTCTGTGAGTTGAATGTACACAACACAAGGAAGTTCCTGGGAATTCTTCTGTCTAGCCTTACATGAAGAAAACCAGTTTCCAACGAAGGCCTCTAAGTGGTCAAAATATCCACGTGTAGACTTTACAAACAGAGTGTTTCCAAACCGCTGAATGAAAAGAAAAGTTAAACTCTGAGAGTTGAACGCACACACCACGCAGCAGTTTCTGAGAATGATTCTGTCTAGGTTTTATACGAAGATATTTCCTTTTCTGCCTTTGGCCTCAAAGCGCTTGAAATCTCCACCTGCAAATTCCACAAAAAGAGTGTTTCAAATCTGCTCTGTGTAAATGAAAGTTCAACTCTGTGAGTTGAACACACACAACACAAGGGAAGTTACTGGGAATTCTTCTGTCTAGCCTTATATGAAAAAAACCCGTTTCCAACGAAGGCCTCAAAGAGGTCTGAATATCCACTTGCAGACTTTACAAACAGAGTGTTTCCTAACTGCTCTATGAAAAGAAAGGTTATACTCTGTGAGTTGAACGCACACATCACAAAGGAGTTTCTGAGAATCATTCTGTCTAGTTTTTATACGTAGATATTTCCTTTTCTACCATTGACCTCAACGCGGCTGAAATCTCCACTTGCAAATTCCACAAAACGAGTGTTTCAAGTCCGCTCTGTGTAAAGGATCGTTCAACTCTGTGAGTTGAATACACACAACACAAGGTAGTTACTGAGAATTCTTCTGTCTAGCAGAATATGAAGAAATCCCGTTTCCAACGAAGGCCACAAGATGTCAGAATATCCACTTACAGAATTTACAAACAGACTGTTTCCTAACTGCTCTATGAAAAGAAAGGTTAAACTCTGTGAGTTGAACGAACACATCATAACGCAGTTTGTGGGAATGATTCTGTCTAGTTTTGAAACGAAGATATTTCCTTTTCTGCCATTGACCTTGAAGCGCTTGAAATCTACACTTGCAAATTGCACAAATAGAGTGTTTCAAATCTGCTCTGTCTAAGGGAAGGTTCAACTCTCTGAGCTGAATGCACACAACACAAGGAAGTTACTGGGAATTCTTCTGTCTAGCCTTACATGAAAAAAAACCCGTTTCCAACGAAGGCCTCTAAGTGGTCAAAATATCCACGTGCAGACTTTACAAACAGAGTGTTTCCAAACCGCTGAATGAAAAGAAAAGTTAAACTCTGAGAGTTGAACGCACACATCACGCAGCAGTTTCTGAGAATGATTCTGTCTAGTTTTGAAACGAAGATATTTCCTTTTCTTCCTTTGGCCTCAAAGCGCTTGAAATCTCCACTTGCAAATTCCACAAAAAGAGTGTTTCAAATCTGCTCTGTGTAAATGAAAGTTCAACTCTGTGAGTTGAACACACACAACACAAGGAAGTTACTGGGAATTCCTCTGTCTAGCCTTATATGAAAAAAACCCATTTCCAACGAAGGCCTCAAAGAGGGCTGAATATCCACTTGCAGACTTTACAAGCAGAGTGTTTCCTAACTGCTCTATGAAAAGAAAGGTTAAACTCTGTGAGTTGAACGCACATATCACAAAGGAGTTTCTGAGAATCATTCTGTCTAGTCTTTATACGAAGATATTTCCTTTTCTACCATTGACCACAAAGCGGCTGAAATCTCCACATGCAAATTCCACAAAAAGAGTGTTTCAAGTCTGCTCTGTGTAAAGGATCATTCAACTCTGTGAGTTGAATAAACACAACACAAGGAAGTTACTCAGAATTCTTCTGTCTAGCAGAATATGAAGAAATCCCGTTTCCAACGAAGGCCTCAACTAGGTCTGAATATCCACTTGCAGACTTTACAAACAGAGTGTTTCCTAACTGCTCTATGAAAAGAAATGTTAAACTCTGTGAGTTGAACACACACATCACAAAGGAGTTTCTGAGAATCATTCTGTCTAGTTTTTATAGGAAGATATTTCCTTTTCTACCTTTGACTTCAAAGCGGCTGAAATCTCCACTTGCAAATTCCACAAAAAGAGTGTTACAAGTCTGCTCTGTCTAAGGGAACGTTCAACTCTGTGATTTGAATGTACACAACACAAGGAAGTTACTGGGAATTCTTCTGTCTAGCCTTACAGGAAAAAAACCCGTTTCCAACGAAGTCCTCTAAGTGGTCAAGTTATCCACGTGCAGACTTTACAAACAGAGTGTTTCCAAACTGCTGCATGAAAAGAAAAGTTAAACTCTGAGAGTTGAACGCACACATCGCAGAGCAGTTTCTGAGAATGATTCTGTCTAGTTTTGAACGAAGATATTTCCTTTTCTGCCTTTGGCCTCAAAGCGCTTGAAATCTCCACTTGCAAATTCCACAAAAAGAGTGTTTCAAATCTGCTCTGTGTAAATGAAAGTTCAACTCTGTGAGTTGAACACACACAACACAAGGAAGTTACTGGGAATTCTTCTGTCTAGCATAATATGAAGAAATCCCGTTTCCAACGAAGGCCTCAAAGAGGTCTGAATATCCACTTGCAGACTTTAAAAACAGAGTGTTTCCTAACTACTCTAGGAAAAGAAAGGTTAAACTCTGTGAGTTGAACGCACACATCACAAAGTAGTTTCTGAGAATCATTCTGTCTAGTTTCTATACGAAGATATATCCTTTTCTACCATTGACCTCAAAGCGGCTGAAATCTCCACTTGCAAAATCCACAAAAAGTGTGTTTCTAATCTGCTCTGTGTAAAGGATCATTCAACTATGTGAGTTGAATACACACAGCAAAAGGAAGTTACTGAGAATTCTTCTGTCTAGCAGAATATGAAGAAATCCCGTTTCCAACGAAGGCCACAAGATGTCAGAATATCCACTTACAGACTTTACAAACAAAGTGTTTCCTAACTGCTCTATGAACAGAAAGGTTAAACTCTGTGAGTTGGACGAACACATCACAACGCAGTTTGTGGGAATGATTCTGTCTAGTTTTGAAACGAAGATATTTCCTTTTCTGCCGTTGACCTTAAAGAGCTTGAAAACTACACTTGCAAATTGCACAAATAGAGTGTTTCAAATCTGCTCTGTCTAAGGGAACGTTCAACTCTGTGAGTTGAATGCACACAACACAAGGAAGTTACTGGGAATTCTTCTGTCTAGCCTTACATGAAAAAATCCCGTTTCCAAAGAAGGCCTCTAAGTGGTCAAAATTTCCACGTGCAGACTTTACAAACAGAGTGTTTCCAAACTGCTGAATGAAAAGAAAAGTTAAACTCTGAGAGTTGAACGCACACATCACGCAGCAGTTTCTGAGAATGATTCTGTCTAGTTTTGAAACGAAGATATTTCCTTTTCTGTCTTTGGCCTCAAAGCGCTTGAAATCTCCACTTGCAAATTCCACAAAAAGAGTGTTTCAAATCTGCTCTGGGTAAATGAAAGTTCAACTCTGTGAGTTGAACACACACAACACAAGGGAAGTTACTGGGAATTCTTCTGTCTAGCATAATATGAAGAAATCCCGTTTCCAACGAAGGCCTCAAAGAGGTCTGAATATCCACTTGCAGACTGTACAAACAGAGTGTTTCCTAACTGCTCTATGAGAAGAAAAGTTAAACTCTGTGAGTTCAACGCACACATCACAAAAGATTTTCTGAGAATCATTCTGTCTAGTTTTTATACGAAGATATTTCCTTTTCTACCATGGACCTCAAAGAGGCTGAAATCTCCACTTGCAAATTCCACAAAAAGAGTGTTTCAAGTCTGCTCTGTGTAAAGGATCGTTCAACTCTGTGAGTTGAATACACACAACACAAGGAAGATTCTGAGAATTCTTCTGTCTAGCAGAATATTAAGAAATCCCATTTCCAACGAAGGCCTCAAGGAGGTCTGAATATCCACTTGCAGACTTTACAAACAGAGTGTTTCCTAACTGCTCTATGAACAGAAAGGTTAAACTCTGTGAGTTGAACGAACACATCACAACGCAGTTTGTGGGAATGATTCTGTCTGGTTTTGAAACGAAGATATTTCCTTTTCTGCCATTGACCTTAAAGCGCTTGAAATCTACACTTGCAAATTGCACAAATAGAGTGTTTCAAATCTGCTCTGTCTAACGGAACGTTCAACTCTGTGAGTTGAATGCACACAACACAAGGAAGTTACTGGGAAATCTTTTGTCTAGCCTTACAGGAAAAAAACCCGTTTCCAACGAAAGCCTCTAAGTGGTCAAATTATCCACGTGCAGACTTTACAAACAGAGTGTTTCCAAACTGCTGAATGAAAAGAAAAGTTAAACTCTGAGAGTTGAACGCACACATCACAAAGGAGTTTCTGAGAATCATTCTGTCTAGTTTCTATAGGAAGATATTCCCTATTCTACCATTGACCTCAAAGCGGCTGAAATCTCCACTTGCAAATTCCCCAAAAAGAGTGTTTCAAGTCTGCTCTTTGTAAAGGATCGTTCAACTCTGTGAGTTGAATACACGCAACACAAGGGAAGTTACTGAGAATTCTTCTGTCTAGCATAATATGAAGAAATCACGTTTCCAACGAAGGCCTCAAGGAGGTCTGAATATCCACTTGCAGACTTTACAAACAGAGTGTTTCCTAACTGCTCTATGAAAAGAAAGGTTGAACTCTGTGAGTTGAACGCACACATCACAAAGGAGTTTCTGAGAATCATTCTGTCTAGTTTCTATAAGAAGATATTTCCTATTCTACCATTGACCTCAAAGCAGCTGAAATCTCCACTTGCAAATTCGACAAAAAGAGTGTTTCAAGCCTGCTCTCTGTAAAGGATCCTTCAACTCTTTGAGTTGAATACACACAACACAAGGAAGTTACTGAGAATTATTCTGTCTAGCAGAATATGAAGAAATCCCGTTTCCAACGAAGGCCACAAGATGTCAGAATATCCACTTACAGACTTTACAAACAGAGTGTTTCCTAACTGCTCTATGAACAGAAAGGTTAAACTCTGTGAGTTGAACGCACACATCACAACGCAGTTTGTGGGAATGATTCTGTCTAGTTTTGAAACGAAGATATTTCCTTTTCTGCCATTGACCTTAAAGCGCTTGAAATCTCCATTTGCCAATTGCACAAAAAGAGTGTTTCAAATCTGCTCTGTCTAAGGGAACGTTCAACTCTGTGAGTTGAATGTACACAACACAAGTAAGTTCCTGGGAATTCTTCTGTCTAGCCTTACATGAGAAAAAACCGTTTCCAAAGAAGGCCTCTAAGTGGTCAAAATATCCACGTGCAGACTTTACAAACAGAGTGTTTCCAAACTGCTGAATGAAAAGAAAAGTTAAACTCTGAGAGTTGAACGCACACATCACAGAGCAGTTACTGAGAATGATTCTGTCTAGTTTTTATACCAAGATAATTCCTTTTCTGCCTTTGGCCCCAAAGCGCTTGAAATCTCCACTTGCAAATTCCACAAAAACAGTGTTACAAATCTGCTCTCTCTAAATGAAAGTTCAACTCTGTCAGTTTAATACACACAACACAAGGAAGTTACTGAGAATTCTTCTGTCTAGCCTTACATGAAAAAAACCCGTTTCCAACGAAGACCACAAAGAAGTCCAAATATCCACGTTCAGACTTTACCAACAGAGTGTTTCCTAACTGCTCTATGAAAAGAAAGGTTAAACTCTGTGAGTTCAACGCCCACATCACAAAGGAGTTTGTGAGAATCATTCTGTCTAGTCTTTATATGAAGATAGTTTCCTTTTCTACCATTGACCTCAAAGCGGCTGAAATCTCCACTTGCAAATTCCACAAAATGAGTGTCTCAAGTCTGCTCTGTGTAAAGGATCGTTCAACTCTGTGAGTTGAATACACACACCACAAGGAAGTTACTGAGAATTCTTCTGTCTAGCAGAATATGAAGAAATCCCGTTTCCAACGAAGGCCACAAGATGTCAGAATATCCACTTACAGACTTTACAAACAGAGTGTTTCCTAACTGCTCTATGAACAGAAAGGTTAAACTCTGTGAGTTGAACGAACACATCACAACGCACTTTGTGGGAATGATTCTGTCTAGTTTTGAAACGAAGATATTTCCTTTTCTGCCATTGACCTTAAAGCGCTTGAAATCTCCACTTGCCAATTGCACAAAAAGAGTGTTTCAAATCTGCTCTGTATAAGGGAACGTTCAACTCTGTGAGTTGAATGTACACAACACAAGGAAGTTACTGGGAATTCTTCTGTCTAGCCTTACATGAAAAAAACCCGTTTCCAACGAAGGCCTCAAAGAGGTCTGAATATCCACGTGCAGACTTTACAAACAGAGTGTTTCCAAACCGCTGAATGAAAAGAAAAGTTAAACTCTCAGAGTTGAACGCACACATCACGCAGCAGTTTCTGAGAATGATTCTGTCTAGTTTTGAAACGAAGATATTTCCTTTTCTGCCTTTGGCCTCAAAGCGCTTGAAATCTCCATTTGCAAATTCCACAAAAAGAGTGTTTCAAATCTGCTCTGTGTAAATGAAAGTTCAACTCTGTGAGTTGAATACACACAACACAAGGAAGTTACTGAGAATTCTTCTGTCTAGCATAATATGAAGAAATCCCGTTTCCAACGAAGGCCTCAAAGGGGTCTGAATATCCACTTGCAGACTTTATAAACAGAGTGTTTACTAACTGCTCTATGAAAAGAAACGTTAAACTCTGTGAGTTGAACACACACATCACAAAGGAGTTTCTGAGAATCATTCTGTCTAGTTTTTATAGGAAGATATTTCCTTTTCTACCGTTGACCTCAAAGCGGCTGAAATCTCTACTTGCAAATTTCACAAAAAGAGTGTTTCAAGTCTACTCTGTGTAAAGCATCGTTCAACTCTGTGAGTTGAAAACACACAACACAAGGAAGTTTCTGAGAATTCTTCTGTCTAGCAGAATATGAAGAAATCCCGTTTCCAACGAAGGCCTCAAGGAGGTCTGAATATCCACTTGCAGACTTTACAAACAGAGTGTTTCCTAACTGCTCTATGAAAAGAAAGGTTAAACTCTGTGAGTTGAACGCACACATCACAAAGGAGCTTATGAGAATCATTCTGTCTAGTCTTTATACGAAGATATTTCCTTTTCTACAATTGACCTCAAAGCGGCTGAAAACTCCACTTGCAAATTCCACAAAAAGTGTGTTTCAAGTCTGCTCTCTGTAAAGGATCGTTCAACTCTGTGAGTTGAATACACACAACACAAGGAAGTTACTGAGAATTCTTCTGTCTAGCATAATATGAAGAAATCCCGTTTCCAACGAAGGCCTCAAAGAGGTCTGAATATCCACTTGCAAACTTTACAAACAGAGTGTTTCCTAACTGCTCTATGAGAAGAAAAGTTAATCTCTGTGAGTTGAACGCACACATCACAAAAGATTTTCTGAGAATCATTCTGTCTAGTTTTGAAACGAAGATATTTCCTTTTCTGCCGTTGACCTTAAAGCGCTTGAAATCTACACTTGCAAATTGGACAAATAGAGTGTTTCAAATCTGCTCTGTCTAAGGGAACGTTCAACTCTGTGAGTTGAATGCACACAACACAAGGAAGTTACTGGGAATTCTTCTGTCTAGCCTTACATGAAAAAAACCCGTTTCCAACGAAGGCCTCTAAGTGGTCAAAATATCCACGTGCAGACTTTACAAGCAGAGTGTTTCCAAACCGCTGAATGAAAAGAAAAGTTAAACTCTGAGAGTTGAACGCACACATCACGCAGCAGTTTCTGAGAATGATTCTGTCTAGTTTTTCTACGAAGATATTTCCTTTTCTACTATTGACCTCAAAGCGGCTGAAATATCCACTTGCAAATTCCACAAAAAGAGTGTTTCAAGTCTGCTCTGTGTAAAGGATCGTTCAACTCTGTGAGTTGAATACACACAACACAAGGAAGTTACTGAGAATTCTTCTGTCTAGCAGAATATGAAGAAATCCCGTTTCCAACGAAGGCCTCAAAGAGGTCTGAATATCCACTTGCAGACTTTACAAACAGAGTGTTTCCTAACTGCTCTATGAAAAGAAAAGTTAAACTCTGTGTGTTGAACGCACACATCACAAAGGAGTTTCTGAGAATCATTCTGTCTAGTTTTGAAACGAAGATATTTCCTTTTCTGCCATTGACCTTAAAGCGCTTGAAATCTACTCTTGCAAATTCCACAAAAAGAGTGTTTCAAGTCTGCTCTGTGTAAAGGATCGTTCAACTCTGTGAGTTGAATACACACAACACAAGGAAGTTACTGAGAATTCTTCTGTCTAGCAGAATATGAAGAAATCCCGTTTCCAACGAAGGCCACAAGATGTCAGAATATCCACTTACAGAATTGACAAACAGACTGTTTCCTAACTGCTCTATGAAAAGAAAGGTTAAACTGCTGTGAGTTGAACGAACACATCACAACGCAGTTTGTGGGAATGATTTCTGTCTAGTTTTGAAACGAAGATATTTCCTTTTCTGCCATTGACCTTAAAGCGCTTGAAATCTCCATTTGCCAATTGCACAAAAAGAGTGTTTCAAATCTGCTCTGTCTAACGGAACGTTCAACTCTGTGAGTTGAATGTACACAACACAAGGGAAGTTACTGGGAATTCTTCTGTCTAGCCTTACATGAAAAAAAACCCGTTTCCAACGAAGGCCTCTAAGTGGTCAAAATATCCACGTGCAGACTTTACAAACAGAGTGTTTCCAAACCGCTGAATGAAAAGAAAAGTTAAACTCTGAGAGTTGAACGCACACATCACGCAGCAGTTTCTGAGAATGATTCTGTCTAGTTTTTATACGAAGATATTTCCTTTTCTGCCTTTGGCCCCAAAGCGCTTGAAATCTCCACTTGCAAATTCCACAAAAACAGTGTTTCAAATCTGCTCTCTCTAAATGAAAGTTCAACTCTGTCAGTTGAATACACACAACACAAGGAAGTTACTGTGAATTCTTCTGTCTAGCCTTATATGAAAAAAACCCGTTTCCAACGAAGGCCTCAAAGAGGTCTGAATATCCTCTTGCAGACTTTACAAACAGAGTGTTTCCTAACTGCTCTATGAAAAAAAAGGTTAAACTCTGTGAGTTGAACACACACATCACAAAGGAGTTTCTGAGAATCATTCTGTCTAGTTTCTATAGGAAGATATTTCCCATTCTACCATTGACCTCAAAGCGGCTGAAATCTCCACTTGCAAATTCCACAAAAAGAGTGTTTCAAGCCTGCTCTCTGTAAAGGATCGTTCAACTCTGTGAGTTGAATACACACAACACAAGGAAGTTACTGAGAATTCTTCTGTCTAGCAGAATATGAAGAAATCCCGTTTCCAACGAAGGCCACAAGATGTCAGAATATCCACTTACAGAATTTACAAACAGACTGTTTCCTAACTGCTCTATGAAAAGAAAGGTTAAACTCTGTGATTTGAACGAACACATCACAACGCAGTTTGTGGGAATGATTCTGTCTAGTTTTGAAACGAAGATATTTCCTTTTCTGCCATTGACCTTAAAGCGCTTGAAATCTCCACTTGCCAATTGCACAAAAAGAGTGTTTCAAATCTGCTCTGTCTAAGGGAACGTTCAACTCTGTGAGTTGAATGTACACAACGCAAGGAAGTTACTGGGAATTCTTCTGTCTAGCCTTACATGAAAAAACCCGTTTCCAACGAAGGCCTCTAAGTGGCCAAATTATCCACGTGCAGACTTTACAAACAGAGTGTTTCCAAACTGCTGAATGAAAAGAAAAGTTAAACTCTGAGAGTTGAACGCACACATCGCAGAGCAGTTTCTGAGAATGATTCTGTCTTGTTTTTATACGAGGATATTTCCTTTTCTGCCTTTGGCCCCAAAGCGCTTGAAATCTCCACTTGCAAATACCACAAAAATAGTGTTTCAAATCTGCTCTCTCCAAATGAAAGTTCAACTCTGTCAGTTGAATACACACAACACAAGGAAGTTACTGAGAATTCTTCCGTCTAGCCTTACATGAAAAAAACCCGTTTCCAACGAAGGCCTCAAAGAAGTCCAAATATCCACGTGCAGACTTTACAAACAGAGTGTTTCCTAACTGCTCTATGAAAAGGAAGGTTAAACTCTGTGAGTTGAACGCCCACATCACAAAGGAGTTTCTGAGAATCATTCTGTCTAGTTTTTATTCGAAGATATTTCCTTTTCTACCATGGACCTCAAAGCGGCTGAAATCTCCACTTGCAAATTCCACAAAAAGAGTGTTTCATGTCTGCTCTGTGTAAAGGATCGTTCAACTCTGTGAGTTGAATACACACAACACAAGGAAGATTCTGAGAATTCTTCTGTCTAGCAGAATATGAAGAAATCCCGTTTCCAACGAAGGCCACAAGATGTCAGAATATCCACTTACAGAATTTACAAACAGACTGTTTCCTAACTGCTCTATGAAAAGAAAGGTTAAACTCTGTGAGTTGAACGAACACATCACAACGCAGTTTGAGGGAATGATTCTGTCTAGTTTTGAAACGAAGATATTTCCTTTTCTGCCATTGACCTTAAAGCGCTTGAAATCTACACTTGCAAGTTGCGCAAATAGAGTGTTTCAAATCTGCTCTGTCTAAGGGAACGTTCAACTCTGTGAGTTGAATGCACACAACACAAGGAAGTTACTGGGAATTCTTCTGTCTAGCCTTACATGAAAAAAACCCGTTTCCAACGAAGGCCTCTATGTGGTCAAATTATCCACGTGCAGACTTTACAAACAGAGTGTTTTCAAACTGCTGAATGAAAAGAAAAGTTAAACTCTGAGAGTTGAACGCACACATCGCAGAGCAGTTTCTGAGAATGATTCTGTCTAGTTTTTATACGAAGATATTTCCTTTTCTGCCTTTGGCCCCAAAGCGCTTGAAATCTCCACTTGCAAATTCCACAAAAACAGTGTTTCAAATCTGCTCTCTCAAAATGATAGTCCAACTCTGTCAGTTGAATACACACAACACAAGGAAGTTACTGAGAATTCTTCTGTCTAGCAGAATATGAAGAAATCCCGTTTCCAAGGAAGGCCTCAAGGAGGTCTGAATATCCACTTGCAGACTTTACAAACAGAGTGTTTCCTAACTGCTCTATGAAAAGAAAGGTTAAACTCTGTGAGATGAACGCACACATCACACAGGATTTTCTGAGAATCATTCTGTCTAGTTTTTATACGAAGAGATTTCCTTTTCTACCATGGACCTCAAAGCGGCTGAAATCTCCACTTGCAAATTCCACAAAAAGAGTGTTTCAAGTCTGCTCTGTGTAAAGGATCGTTCAACTCTGTGAGTTGAATACACACAACACAAGGAAGATTCTGAGAATTCTTCTGTCTAGCAGAATATGAAGAAATCCCGTTTCCAACGAAGGCCACAAGTATGTCAGAATATCCACTTACAGAATTTACAAACAGACTGTTTCCTAACTGCTCTACGAAAAGAAAGGTTAAACTCTGTGAGATGAACGAACACATCACAACGCAGTTTGTGGGAATGATTCTGTCTAGTTTTGCAACGAAGAAATTTCCTTTTCTGCCATTGACCTTAAAGCGCTTGAAATCTACACTTGCAAATTGCACAAATAGAGTGTTTCAAATCTGCTCTGTCTAAGGGAACGTTCAACTCTGTGAGTTGAATGCACACAACACAAGGAAGTTACTGGGAATTCTTCTGTCTAGCCTTACATGCAAAAAACCCGTTTCCAACGAAGGCCTCTAAGTGGTCAAAATATCCACGTGCAGACGTTACAAACAGAGTGTTTCCAAACCGCTGAATGAAAAGAAAAGCTAAACTCCTGAGAGTTGAACGCACACATCACGCAGCAGTTTCTGAGAATGATTCTGTCTAGTTTTTATACGAAGATATTTCCTTTTCTGCCTTTGGCCTCAAAGCGCTTGAAATCTCCACTTGCAAATTCCACAAAAAGAGTGTTTCAAATCTGCTCTTTGTAAATGAAAGTTCAACTCTGTGAGTTGAACACACACAACACAAGGAAGTTACTGGGAATTCTTCTGTCTAGCAGAATATGAAGAAATCCCGTTTCCAACGAAGGCCTCAAAGAGGTCTGAATATCCACTTGCAGACTTTACAAACAGAGTGTTTCCTAACTGCTCTATGAAAAGAAAGTTTAAACTCTGTGAGTTGAACGCACACATCACAAAGGAGTTTCTGAGAATCATCTGTCTAGTTTTTCTACGAAGATATTTCCTTTTCTACTATTGACCTCAAAGCGGCTGAAATCTCCACTTGCAAATTCCACAAAAAGAGTGATTCAAGTCTGCTCTGTGTAAAGGATCGTTCAACTCTGTGAGTTGAATACACACAACACAAGGAAGTTACTGAGAATTCTTTCTGTCTAGCAGAATACGAAGAAATCCCGTTTCCAACGAAGGCCACAAGATGTCAGAATATCCACTTACAGACTTTACAAACAGAGTGTTTCCTAACTGCTCTATGAACAGAAAGGTTAAACTCTGTGAATTGAACGAACACATCACAACGCAGTTTTGTGGGAATGATTCTGTCTAGTTTTTATACGAAGATATTTCCTTTTCTACCATTGACCTCAAAGCGGCTGAAATCACCACTTGCCAATTGCACAAAAAGATTGTTTCAAATCTGCTCTGTCTAAGGGAACGTTCAACTCTGTGAGTTGAATGTACACAACACAAGGAAGTTACTGGGAATTCTTCTGTCTAGCCTTACAGGAAAAAAACCCGTTTCCGACGAAGGCCTCTAAGTGGTCAAAATATCCACATGCAGAGTTTACAGAGTGTTTCCAAACTGCTGAATGAAAAGAAAAGTTAAACTCTGAGAGTTGAACGCACACATCGCAGAACAGTTTCTGAGAATTATTCTGTCTAGTTTTTATACGAAGATATTTCCTTTTCTGCCTTTGGCCTCAAAGCGCTTGAAATCTCCATTTGCAAATTCCACAAAAAGAGTGTTTCAAATCTGCTCTGACTAAATGAAAGTTCAACTCTGTGAGTTGAACACACACAACACAAGGAAGTTACTGGGAATTCTTCTCTCTAGCCTTATATGAAAAAATCCCGTTTCCAACGAAGGCCTCAAAGAGGTCTGAATATCCACTTGCAGACTTTACAAACAGAGTGTTTCCTAACTACTCTATGAAAAGAAAGGTTAAACTCTGTGAGTTGAACTCACACATCACAAAGGAGTTTCTGAGAATCATTCTGTCTAGTTTCTATAGGAAGATATTTCCTATTCTACCATTGACCTCAAAGCGGCTGAAATCTCCACTTGCAAATTCAACAAAAAGAGTGTTTCAAGTCTACTCTGTGTAAAGGGTCGTTCAACTACTGTGAGTTGAATACACACAACACAAGGAAGTTACTGAGAATTCTTCTGTCTAGCATAATATGAAGAAATCCCGTTTCCAAAGAAGGCCACAAAGGGGTCTGAATATCCACTTGCAGACTTTATAAACAGAGTGTTTACTAACTGCTCTATGAAAAGAAAGGTTAAACTCTGTGAGTTGAACACACACATCACAAAGGAGTTTCTGAGAATCGTTCTGTCTAGTCTTTATACGAAGACATTTCCTTTTCTACCATAGACCTCAAAGCGGCTGAAATCTCCACTTGCAAATTCCACAAAAAGAGTGTTTCAAGTCTGCTCTCTGTAAAGGATCGTTCAACTCTGTGAGTTGAATACACACAACACAAGGAAGTTACTGAGAATTCTTCTGTCTAGCAGAATATGAAGAAATCCCGTTTCCAACGAAGGCCACAAGATGTCAGAATATCCACTTACAGACTTTACAAACAGAGTGTTTCCTAACTGCTCTACGAACAGAAAGGTTAAACTCTGTGAGTTGAACGAACACATCACAACGCAGTTTGTGGGAATGATTCTGTCTAGTTTTGAAACGAAGATATTTCCTTTTCTGCCATTGACCTTAAAGCGCTTGAAGTCTCCACTTGCCAATTGCACAAAAAGAGTGTTTCAAATCTGCTCTGTCTAAGGGATCGTTCAACTCTGTGAGTTGAATGTACACAACACAAGGAAGTTACTGGGAATTCTTCTGTATAGCCTTACAGGAAAAAAACCCGTTTCCAACGAAGGCCTCTAAGTGGTCAAAATATCCACGTGCAGACTTTACAAACAGAGTGTTTCCAAACTGCTGAATGAAAAGAAAAGTTAAACTCAGAATTGAACGCACACATCGCAGAGCAGTTTCTGAGAATGATTCTGTCTAGTTTTTATACGAAGATATTTCCTTTTCTGCCTTTGGCCCCAAAGCGCTTGAAATCTCCACTTGCAAATTCCACAAAAAGAGTGTTTCAAATCTGCTCTGTGTAAATCAAAGTTCAACTCTGTGAGTTGAACACACACAACACAAGGAAGTTACTGGGGATTCTTCTGTCTAGCATAATATGAAGAAATCCCGTTTCCAAAGAAGGCCTCAAGGAGGTCTGAATATCCACTTGCAGACTTTACAAACAGAGTGTTTCCTAACTGCTGTATGAAAAGAAAAGTTAAACTGTGTGAGTTGAACGCACACATCACAAAGGAGTTTCTGAGAATCATTCTGTCTAATTTTTATAGGAAGATATTTCCTTTTCTACCTTTGACTTCAAAGCGGCTGAAATCTCCACTTGCAAATTCCACAAAAAGAGTGTTACAAGTCTGCTCTGTGTAAAGGATCGTTCAACTCTGTGAGTTGAATACACACAACACAAGGAAGTTACGGAGAATTCTTCCGTCTAGCACAATATGAAGAAATCCCGTTTCCAAAGAAGGCCACAAGATGTCAGAATATCCACTTACAGACTTTACAAACAGAGTGTTTCCTAACTGCTCTATGAAAAGAAAGGTTAAACTCTGTGAGTTCAACGCACACATCACAAAGGAGTTTATGAGAATCATTCTGTCTAGTTTTTATAGGAAGTTATTTCCTTTTCTACCTTTGACTTCAAAGCGGCTGAAATCTCCACTTGCAAATTCCACAAAAAGAGTGTTACAAGTGTGCTCTGTGCAAAGGATCGTTCAACTCTGTGAGTTGAATACACACAATACAAGGAAGTTACTGAGAATTCTTCTGTCTAGCCTTACATGAAAAAAACCCGTTTCCAACGAAGGCCTCTAAGTGTTCAAGTTATCCACGTGCAGACTTTACAAACAGAGTGTTTCCAAACTTCTGAATGAAAAGAAAAGTTAAACTCTGAGAGTTGAACGCACACATCGCAGAGCAGTTTCTGAGAATGATTCTGTCTAGTTTTTATACGAAGATATTTCCTTTTCTGCCTTTGGCCCCAAAGCGCTTGAAATCTCCACTTGCAAATTCCACAAAAACAGTGTTTCAAATCTGCTCTCTCTAAATGAAAGTTCGACTCTGTCAGTTGAATACACACAACACAGGGAAGTTACTGAGAATTCTTCTGTCTAGCATAATATGAAGAAATCCCGTTTCCAAAGAAGGCCTCAAAGAGGTCTGAATATCCACTTGCAGACTTTACAAACAGAGTGTTTCCTAACTGCTCTATGAAAAGAAAAGTTAAACTTTGAGAGTTGAACGCACACATCACAAAGGAGTTTATGAGAATCATTCTGTCTAGTCTTTATATGAAGATAGTTTCCTTTTCTACCATTGACCTCAAAGCGGCTGAAATCTCCACTTGCAAATTCCACAAAAAGAGTGTTTCAAGTCTGCTCTGTGTAAAGGATCGTTCAACTCTGTGAGTTGAATACACACAACACAAGGAAGTTACTTAGAATTCTTCTGTCTAGCAGAATATGAAGAAATCCCGTTTCCAACGAAGGCCTCAAGGAGGTCTGAATATCCACTTGCAGACTTTACAAACAGAGTGTTTCCTAACTGCTCTATGAACAGAAAGGTTAAACACTGTGAGTTGAACGAACACATCACAACGCAGTTTGTGGGAATGATTCTGTCTAGTTTTGAAACCAAGATATTTCCTTTTCTGCCGTTGACCTTAAAGAGCTTGAAAACTACACTTGCAAATTGCACAAATAGAGTGTTTCAAATCTGCTCTGTCTAAGGGAACGTTCAACTCTGTGAGTTGAATGCACACAACACAAGGAAGTTACTGGGAATTCTTCTGTCTAGCCTTACATGAAAAAAACCCGTTTCCAACGAAGGCCTCTAAGTGGTCAAAATTTCCACGTGCAGACTTTACAAACAGAGTGTTTCCAAACCGCTGAATGAAAAGAAAAGTTAAACTCTGAGAGTTGAACGCACACATCATGCAGCAGTTTCTGAGAATGATTCTGTCTAGTTTTTATACGAAGATATTTCCTTTTCTGCCTTTGGCCTCAAAGCGCTTGAAATCTCCATTTGCAAATTCCACAAAAAGAGTGTTTCAAATCTGCTCTGTGTAAATGAAAGTTCAACTCTGTCAGTTGAATACACACAACACAAGGAAGTTACTGAGAATTCTTCTGTCTAGCATAATATGAAGAAATCCCGTTTCCAACGAAGGCCTCAAAGAGGTCTGAATATCCACTTGCAGACTTTACAAACAGAGTGTTTCCTAACTGCTCTATGAAAAGAAAAGTTAAACTCTGTGAGTTGATCGCACACATCACAAAGGAGTTTCTGAGAATCATTCTGTCTAGTTTCTATAGGAAGATATTTCCTATTCTACCATTGACCTCAAAGCGGCTGAAATCTCCACTTGCAAATTCCACAAAAAGAGTGTTTCAAGTCTGCTCTGTGTAAAGGATCGTTCAACTCTGTGAGTTGAATACACACAACACAAAGAAGTTTCTGAGAATTCTTCTGTCTAGCATAATATGAAGAAAGCCTGTTTCCAAAGAAGGCCTCTAGGAGGTCTGAATATCCACTTGCAGACTTTACAAACAGAGTGTTTCCTAACTGCTCAATGGAGAGAAAGGTTAAACTCTGTGAGTTGAACGCACACATCACAAAGGAGTTTCTGAGAATCATTCTGTCTAGTTTCTATAGGAAGATATTTCCTATTCTACCATTGACCTCAAAGCGGCTGAAATCTCCACTTGAAATTCCACAAAAAGAGTGTTTCAAGTCTGCTCTGTGTAAAGGATCGTTCACCTCTGTGAGTTGAATACACACAACACAAAGAAGTTACTGAGAATTCTTCTGTCTAGCAGAATATGAAGAAATCCCGTTTCCAACGAAGGTCTCAACGAGGTCTGAATATCCACTTGCAGACTTTACAAACAGAGCGTTTCCTAACTGCTCTATGAAAAGAAAGGTTAAACTCTGTGAGTTGAACACACACATCACAAAGAGTTTCTGAGAATCATTCTGTCTAGTTTTTATACGAAGATATTTCCTTTTCTACCACTGACCTCAAAGCGGCTGAAATCTCCACTTACAAATTCCACAAAAAGAGTGTCTCAAATCTGCTCTGTGTAAAGAACCGTTCAACTCTGTGAGTTGAATACACACAACACAAGGAAGTTACTGAGAATTCTTCTGTCTAGCAGAATATGAAGAAATCCCGTTTCCAACGAAGGCCTCAAGGAGGTCTGTATATCCACTTGCATACTTTACAAACAGAGTGTTTCCTAACTGCTCTATGAACAGAAAGGTTAAACTCTGTGAGTTGAACGCACACATCACTAAGGAGTTTCTGAGAATCATTCTGTCTAGTCTTTATACGAAGATATTTCCTTTTCTACCATTGACCTCAAAGCGGCTGAAATCTCCACTTGCAAATTCCACAAAAAGAGTGTTTCAAGTCTGCTCTGTGTGAAGGATCGTTCAACTCTGTGAGTTGAATACACACAACACAAGGAAGTTACTGAGAATTCTTCTGTCTAGCATAATATGTAGAAATCCCGTTTCCAACGAAGGCCTCAAGGAGGTCTGAATATCCACTTGCAGACTTTACAAACAGAGTGTTTCCTAACTGCTCTATTAAAAGAAAGGTTAAACTCTGTGAGTTGAACGCAGACATCACAAAGGAGTTTCTGAGAATCACTCTGTCTAGTCTTTATACGAAGATATTTCCTTTTCTACCATTGACCTCAAAGCGGCTGAAATCTCCACTTGCAAATTCCACAAAAAGAGTGTTTCAAATCTGCTCTGTGTAAAGGATCGTTCAACTCTGTGAGTTGAATACACACAACACAAGGAAGTTACTGAGAATTCTTCTGTCTAGCATAATATGAAGAAATCCCGTTTCCAACGAAGGCCTCAAGGAGGTCGGAATATCCACTTGCAGACTTTACAAACAGAGTGTTTCCTAACTGCTCTATGATAAGAAAGGTTAAACTGTGTGAGTTGAACGCACACATCACAAAGGAGTTTCTGAGAATCATTCTGTCTAGTCTTTATACGAAGATATTTCCTTTCCTACCATTGACCTCAAAGCGGCTGAAATCTCCACTTGCAAATTCCACAAAAAGAGTGTTTCAAGTCTGCTCTGTGTAAAGGATCATTCAACTCTGTGAGTTGAATAAACACAACACAAGGAAGTTACTGAGAATTCTTCTGTCTAGCAGAATATGAAGAAATCCCGTTTCCAACGAAGGCCACAAGATGTCAGAATATCCACTTACAGACTTTACAAACAGAGTGTTTCCTAACTGCTCTATGAACAGAAAGGTTAAACTCTGTGAGTTGTACGAACACATCACAACGCAGTTTGTGGGAATGATTCTGTCTAGCTTTGAAACGAAGATATTTCCTTTTCTGCCATTGACCTTAAAGCGCTTGAAATCTACACTTGCAAATTGCACAAATAGAGTGTTTCAAATCTGCTGTGTCTAAGGGAACGTTCAACTCTGTGAGTTGAATGCACACAACACAAGGAAGTTACTGAGAATTCTTCTGTCTAGCCTTACATGCAAAAAACCCGTTTCCAACGAAGGCCTCTAAGTGGTCAAAATATCCACGTGCAGACTTCACAAACAGAGTGTTTCCAAACCGCTGAATGAAAAGAAAAGTTAAACTCTGAGAGTTGAACGCACACATCAGTCAGCAGCTTCGGAGAATGATTCTGTCTAGTTTTTATACGAAGATATTTCCTTTTCTGCCTTTGGCCTCAAAGCGCTTCAAATCTCCATTTGCAAATTCCACAAAAAGAGTGTTCCAAATCTGCTCTGTGTAAATGAAAGTTCAACTCTGTGAGTTGAACACACACAACACAAGGAAGTTACTGGGAAATCTTCTGTCTAGCATAATATGAAGAAATCCCGTTTCCAACGAAGGCCTCAAAGGGGTCTGAATATCCACTTGCAGACTTTATAAACAGAGTGTTTCCTAACTGCTCTATGAAAAGAAAGGTTAAACTCTGTGAGTTGAACGCACACATCACAAAGGAGTTTCTGAGAATCGTTCTGTCTAGTTTTTATACGAAGATATTTCCTTTTCTACCATTGACCTCAAAGCGGCTGAAATCTCCACTTACAAATTCCACAAAAAGAGTGTCTCAAGTCTGCTCTGTGTAAACGATCGTTCAACTCTGTGAGTTGAATACACACAACACAAGGAAGTTTCTGAGAATTCTTCTGTCTAGCAGAATATGAAGAAATCCCGTTTCCAACGATGGCCACAAGATGTCAGAATATCCACTTACAGACTTTACAAACAGAGTGTTTCCTAACTGCTCTATGAACAGAAAGGTTAAACTCTGTGAGTTGAACGAACACATCACAACGCAGTTTGTGGGAATGATTCTGTCTAGTTTTGAAACGAAGATATTTCCTTTTCTTCCATTGACCTTAAAGCGCTTGAAATCTACACTTGCAAATTGCACAAATAGAGTGTTTCAAATCTGCTCTGTCTAAGGGAACGTTCAACTCTGTGAGTTGAATGCACCCAACACAAGGAAGTTACTGGGAATTCTTCTGTCTAGCCTTACATGAAAAAAACCCGTTTCCAACGAATGCCTCTAAGTGGTCAAAATATCCACGTGCAGACTTTACAAACAGAGTGTTTCCAAACTGCTGAATGAAAACAAAAGTTAAACTCTGAGAGTTGAACGCACACATCACAGAGCAGTTTCTGAGAATGATTCTGTCTAGTTTTTATACGAAGATATTTCCTTTTCTGCCTTTGGCCTCAAAGCGCTTGAAATCTCCATTTGCAAATTCCACAAAAAGAGTGTTTCAAATCTGCTCTGTGTAAATGAAAGTTCAACTCTGTGAGTTGAACACACACAACACAAGGAAGTTACTGAGAATTCTTCTGTCTAGCCTTATATGAAAAAAACCCGTTTCCAACGAAGGTCTCAAAGAGGTCTGAATATCCACTTGCAGACTTTACAAACAGAGTGTTTCCTAACTGCTCTATGAAAAGAAAGGTTAAACTCTGTGAGTTGAACGCACCCATCACAAAGGAGTTTCTGAGAATCATTCTGTCTAGTTTTTATAGGAAGATATTTCCTTTTCTACCTTTGACTTCAAAGCGGCTGAAATCTCCACTTACAAATTCCACAAAAAGAGTGTTACAAGTCTGCTCTGTGTAAAGGATCGTTCAACTCTGTGAGTTGAATACACACAACACGCGGAAGTTACTGAGAATTCTTCTGTCTAGCCTTACATGAAAAAAACCCGTTTCCAACGAAGGCCTCAAAGAGGTCAAAATATCCACTTGCAGACTTTACAAACAGAGTGTTTCCTAACTACTCTATGAATAGAAAAGTTAAACTCTGTAAGTTGAACATACACATCACAAAGGAGTTTCTGAGAATCATTCTGTCTAGTTTTTATACGAAGATATTTCCTTTTCTGCCTTTGGCCTCAAAGCGCTTGAAATCTCCACTTGCAAATTACACAAAAAGACTGTTGCAAATCTGCTCTGTCTGAAGGAAGGTTCAACTCTGTCAGTTGAATACACACAACACAAGGAAGTTATTGAGAATTCTTCTGTCTAGCCTTACATGAAAAAAAACCCGTTTCCAACGAAGGCCTCTAAGTGGTCAAAATATCCACGTGCAGACTTTACAAACAGAGTGTTTCCAAACCGCTGAATGAAAAGAAAAGTTAAACTCTGAGAGTTGAACGCACACATCACGCAGCAGTTTCTGAGAATAATTCTGTCTAGTTTTTATACGAAGATATTTCCTTTTCTGCCTTTGGCCTCAAAGCGCTTGAAATCTCCACTTGCAAATTCCACAAAAAGAGTGTTTCCAATCTGCTCTGTGTAAATGAAAGTTCAACTCACAGAGTTGAACACACACAACACAAGGAAGTTACTGGGAATTCTTCTGTCTAGCCTTATATGAAAAAATCCCGTTTCCAAAGAAGGCCTCAAAGAGGTCTGAATATCCTCTTGCAGACTTTACAAACAGAGTGTTTCCTAACTGCTCTATGAAAAGAAAGGTTAAACTCTGTGAGTTGGACACACACATCACAAAGGAGTTTCTGAGAATCATTCTGTCTAGTTTTTATACGAAGATATTTCCTTTTCTACCATTGACCTCAAAGCGGCTGAAATCTCCACTTGCAAATTCCAGAAAAAGAGTGTTTCAAGTCTGCTCTGTGTAAAGGATCGTTCAAATCTGTGAGTTGAATACACAAAACACAAGGAAGTTTCTGAGAATTCTTCTGTATAGCAGAATATGAAGAAATCCCGTTTCCAACGAAGGCCTCAAGGAGGTCTGAATATCCACTTGCAGAATTTACAAACAGAGTGTTTCCTAACTGCTCTATGAAAAGAAAGGTTAAACTCTGTGAGTTGAACGCACACATCACAAAGGAGTTTCTGAGAATCATTCTGTCTAGTTTTTATACGAAGATATTTCCTTTTCTACCATTGACCTCAAAGCGGCTGAAATCACCACTTGCCAATTGCACAAAAACAGTGTTTCAAATCTGCTCTGTCTAAGGGAACGTTCAACTCTGTGAGTTGAATGTACACAACACAAGGAAGTTCCTGGGAATTCTTCTGTCTAGCCTTACATGAAAAAAACCCGTTTCCAACGAAGGCCTCTAAGTGGTCAAAATATCTACGTGCAGACTTTACAAACAGAGTGTTTCCAAACCGCTGAATGAAAAGAAAAGTTAAACTCTGAGAGTTGAACGCACACATCACGCAGCAGTTTCTGAGAATGATTCTGTCTAGTTTTTATAGGAAGATATTTCCTTTTCTACCTTTGACTTCAAAGCGGCTGAAATCTCCACTTGCAAATTCCACAAAAAGAGTGTTACAAGTCTGCTCTGTGTAAAGGATCGTTCAACTCTGTGAGTTGAATACACACAACACAGGGAAGTTACTGAGAATTCTTCTATCTAGCCTTATATGAAAAAAACCCGTTTCCAACGAAGGCCTCAAAGAGGTCCGAATATCCACTTGCAGACTTTACAAACAGAGTGTTTCCTAACTGCTCTATGAAAAGAAAGGTTAAACTCTGTGAGTTGAACGCACACATCACAAAGGAGTTTCTGAGAATCATTCTGTCTAGTTTTTATACGAAGATATTTCCTTTTCTACCATGGACCTCAAAGCGGCTGAAATCTCCACTTGCAAATTCCACAAAAAGAGTGTTTCAAGTCTGCTCTGTGTAAAGTATCGTTCAACTCTGTGAGTTGAATACACACAACACAAGGAAGATTCTGAGAATTCTTCTGTGTAGCAGAATATGAAGAAATCCCGTTTCCAACGAAGGCCACAAGATGTCCGAATATCCACTTACAGACTTTACAAACAGAGTGTTTCCTAACTGCTCTATGAACAGAAAGGTTAAACTCTGTGAGTTGAACGAACACATCACAACGCAGTTTGTGGGAATGATTCTGTCTAGTTTTGAAACGAAGATATTTCCTTTTCTGCCATTGAACTTAAAGCGCTTGAAATCTCCATTTGCCAATTGCACAAAAAGAGTGTTTCAAATCTGCTCTGTCTAAGGGAACGTTCAACTCTGTGAGTTGAATGTACACAACACAAGGAAGTTACTGGGAATTCTTCTGTCTAGCCTTACAGGAAAAAAACCCATTTCCAACGAAGGCCTCTAAGTGGTCAAAATATCCACGTGCAGACTTTACAAACAGAGTGTTTCCAAACTGCTGAATGAAAAGAAAAGTTAAACTCCTGAGAGTTGAACGCACACATCGCAGAGCAGTTTCTGAGAATGATTCTGTCTAGTTTTTATACGAAGATATATCTTTTTCTGCCTTTGGCCCCAAAGCGCTTGAAATCTCCACGTGCAAATTCCACAAAAACAGTGTTTCAAATCTGCTCTCTCTAAATGAAAGTTCAACTCTGTCACTTGAATACACACAACACAAGGGAAGTTACTGAGAATTCTTCTGTCTAGCACAGTATGGAGAAATCCCGTTTCCAACGAAGGCCTCAAAGAGGTCTGAATATCCACTTGCAGAGTTTACAAACAGAGTGTTTCCTAACTGCTCTATGAAAAGAAAGGATAAACTCTGTGAGTTGAACGCACACATCACAAAGAAGTTTCTGAGAATCATTCTGTCTAGTTTTTCTACGAAGATATTTCCTTTTCTACTATTGACCTCAAAGCGGCTGAAATCTCCACTTGCAAATTCCACAAAAGGAGTGTTTCAAGTGTGCTCTGTGTAAAGGATCGTTCAACTCTGTGAGTTGAATACACACAACACAAGGAAGTTACTGAGAATTCTTCTGTCTAGCAGAATATGAAGAAATCCCGTTTCCAACGAAGGCCTCAAGGATGTCTGAATATCCACTTGCAGAGTTTAGAAACAGAGTGTTTCCTAACTGCACTATGAAAAGAAAGGTTAAACTCTGTGAGTTGAACGCACACATCACAAAGGAGTTTATGAGAATCATTCTGTCTAGTTTCTATAGGAAGATATTTCCTATTCTACCATTGTCCTCAAAGCGGCTGAAATCTCCAATTGCAAATTCCACAGAAAGAGTGTTTCAAGTCTGCTCTTTGTAAAGGATCGTTCAACTCTGTGAGTTGAATACACACAACACAAGGAAGTTACTGAGAATTCTTCTGTCTAGCAGAATATTAAGAAATCCCGTTTCCAACGAAGGCCTCAAAGAGGTCTGAATATCCACTTGCAGACTTTACAAACAGAGTGTTTCCTAACTGCTCTATGAAAAGAAAGGTTAAACTCTGTGAGTTGAACGCACACATTACAACGCAGTTTGTGGGAATGATTCTGTCTAATTTTGAAACGAAGATATTTCCTTTTCTGCCATTGACCTTAATGCGCTTGAAATCTACACTTGCAAATTGCACAAATAGAGTGTTTCAAATCTGCTCTGTCTAAGGGAACGTTCAACTCTGTGAGTTGAATGCACACAACACAAGGAAGTTACTGGGAATTCTTCTGTCTAGCCTTGCATGAAAAAAACCCGTTTCCAAAGAAGGCCTCTAAGTGGTCAAAATGTCCACGTGCAGACTTTACAAACAGAGTATTTCCAAACCGCTGAATGAAAAGAAAAGTTAAACTCTGAGAGTTGAACGCACACATCACGCAGCAGTTTCTGAGAATGATTCTGTCTAGTTTTTATACGAAGAAATTTCCTTTTCTGCCTTTGGCCCCAAAGCGCTTGAAATCTCCACTTGCAAATTCCACAAAAACAGTGTTTCAAATCTGCTCTCTCTAAATGAAAGTTCAACTCTGTCAGTTGAATACACACAACACAAGGAAGTTACTGAGAATTCTTCTGTCTAGCATAATATGAAGAAATCCCGTTTCCAACGAAGGCCTCAAAGGGGTCTGAATATCCACTTGCAGACTTTATAAACAGAGTGTTTACTAACTGCTCTATGAAAAGAAAGGTTAAACTCTGTGAGTTGAACACACGCATCACAAAGGAGTTTCTGAGAATCATTCTGTCTAGTTTCCATAGGAAGATATTTCCTATTCTACCATTGACCTCAAATCGGATGAAATCTCCACTTGCAAATTCCACAAAAAGAGTGTTTCAAGTCTGCTCTGTGTAAAGGATCGTTCAACTCTGTGAGTTGAATACACACAATACAAAGAAGTTACTGAGAATTCTTCTGTCTAGCAGAATATGAAGAAATCCCGTTTCCAATGAAGGCCTCAAAGAGGTCCGAATATCCACTTGCAGACTTTACAAACAGAGTGTCTCCTAACTGCTCTATGAAAAGAAAGGTTAAACTCTGTGAGTTGAACGCACACATCACAAGGGAGTTTCTGAGAATCATTCTGTCTATTTTCTATAGGAAGATATTTCCTATTCTACCATTGACCTCAAAGCGGCTGAAATCTTCACTTGCAAATTCCACAAAAAGAGTGTTTCAAGTCTGCTCTGTGTAAAGGATCGTTCAACTCTGTGAGTTGAATACACACAACACAAGGAAGTTACTGAGAATTCTTTCTGTCTAGCAGAATATGAAGAAATCACGTTTCCAACGAAGGCCTCAAAGAGGTCTGAATATCCACTTGCAGACTTTACAAACAGAGTGTTTCCTAACTGCTCTATGAAAAGAAAGGTTAAACTCTGTGAGTTGAACGCACACATCACAAAGGAGTTTCTGAGAATAATTCTGTCTAGTTTCTATAGGAAGATATTTCCTATTCTACCATTGACCTCAAAGCGGCTGAAATCTCCACTTGCAAATTCCACAAAAAGAGTGTTTCAAGTCTGCTCTGGGTAAAGGATCGTTCAACTCTGTGAGTTGAATACACACAACACAAGGAAGTTACTGAGAATTCCTCTGTCTAGCAGAATATGAAGAAATCCCGTTTCCAACGAAAGCCTCAAGGAGGTCTGAATATCCACTTACAGACTTTACAAACAGAGTGTTTCCTAACTGCTCTATGAACAGAAAGGTTAAACTCTGTGAGTTGAACGAACACATCACAACGCAGTTTGTGGGAATGATTCTGTCTAGTTTTGAAACGAAGATATTTCCTTTTCTGCCATTGACCTTAAAGCGCTTGAAATCTACACTTGCAAATTGCACAAATAGAGTGTTTCAAATCTGCTGTGTCTAAGGGAACGTTCAACTCTGTGAGTTGAATGCACACAACACAAGGAAGTTACTGGGAATTCTTCTGTCTAGCCTTACATGACAAAAACCCGTTTCCAACGAAGACCTCTAAGTGGTCAAAATATCCACGTGCAGACTTTACAAACAGAGTGTTTCCAAACTGCTGAATGAAAAGAAAAGTTAAACTCTGAGAGCTGAAGGCACACATCGCAGAGCAGTTTCTGAGAATGATTCTGTCTAGTTTTTATACGAAGATATTTCCTTTTCTGCCTTTGGCCCCAAAGCGCTTGAAATCTCCACTGGCAAATTCCACAAAAACAGTGTTTCAAATCTGCTCTCTCTAAATGAAAGTTCAACTCTGTCAGTTGAATACACACAACACAAGGAAAGTTACTGAGAATTCTTCTGTCTAGCAGAATATGAAGAAATCCCGTTTCCAACGAAGGTCTCAAAGAGGTCTGAATATCCACTTGCAGACTTTACAAACAGAGTGTTTCCTAACTGCTCTATGAAAAGAAAGGTTAAACTCTGTGAGTTGAACGCACACATCACAAAGGAGTTTCTGAGAATCGTTCTGTCTAGTTTTTCTACGAAGATATTTCCTTTTCTACTATTGACCTCAAAGCGGCTGAAATCTCCACTTGCAAATTCTACAAATAGAGTGTTTCAAGTCTGCTCTGTGTAAAGGATCGTTCAACTCTGTGAGTTGAATACACACAACACAAAGAAGTTACTGAGAATTCTTCTGTCTATCATAGTATGAAGAAATCCCGTTTCCAACGAAGGCCTCAAAGAGGTCTGAATATCCACTTGCAGAGTTTACAAACAGAGTGTTTCCTAACTGCTCTATGAAAAGAAAGGTTAAACTCTGTGAGTTGAACGCACACATCACAAAGAAGTTTCTGAGAATCATTTTGTCTAGGTTCTATAAGAAGATATTTCCTATTCTACCATTGACCTCAAAGCGGCTGAAATCTCCACTTGCAAATTCGACAAAAAGAGTGTTTCAAGCCTGCTCTCTGTAAAGGATCCTTCAACTCTGTGAGTTGAATACACACAACAGAAGGAAGTTACTGAGAATTATTCTGTCTAGCAGAATATGAAGAAATCCCGTTTCCAACGAAGGCCTCAAGAGGCCTGAATATCCACTTGCAGACTTTACAAACAGAGTGTTTCCTAACTGCTCTATGAAAAGAAAGGTGAAACTCTGTGAGTTGAATGCACACATCACAAAGGAGTTTATGAGAATCATTCTGTCTAGTTTCTATAGGAAGATATTTCCTATTCTACCATTGACCTCAAAGCGGCTGAAATCTCCACTTGCAAATTCCACAAAAAGAATGTTTCAAGTCTGCTCTGTGTAAAAGATCGTTCAACTCTGTGAGTTGAATACACACAACACAAGGAAGTTACTGAGAATTCTTCTGTCTAGCAGAATATGAAGAAATCCCGTTTCCAACGAAGACCACAAGATGTCAGAATATCCACTTACAGAATTGACAAACAGACTGTTTCCTAACTGCTCTATGAAAAGAAAGGTTAAACTTCTGTGAGTTGAACGAACACATCACAACGCAGTTTGTGGGAATGATTCTGTCTAGTTTTGAAACGAAGATATTTCCTTTTCTGCCATTGACCTTAAAGCGCTTGAAATCTACACTTGCAAATTGCACAAATAGAGTGTTTCAAATCTGCTCTGTCTAAGGGAACGTTCAACTCTGTGAGTTGAATGCACACAACACAAGGAAGTTACTGGGAAATTCTTCTGTCTAGCCTTACATGAAAAAAAAACCGTTTCCAACGAAGGCCTCTAAGTGGTCAAATTATCCACGTGCAGACTTTACAAACAGAGTGTTTCCAAACTGCTGAATGAAAAGAAAAGTTGAACTCTGAGAGTTGAACGCACACATCGCAGAGCAGTTTCTGAGAATGATTCAGTCTAGTTTTGAAACGAAGATATTTCCTTTTCTGCCTTTGGCCTCAAAGCGCTTGAAATCTCCACTTGCAAATTCCACAAAAAGAGTGTTTCAAATCTGCTCTGTGTAAATGAAAGTTCAACTCTGTGAGTTGAACACACACAACACAAGGAAGTTACTGGGAATTCTTCTGTCTAGCAGAATATGAAGAAATCCCGTTTCCAACGAAGGCCTCAAAGAGGTCTGAATATCCACTTGCAGACTTTACAAACAGAGTGTTTCCTAACTGCTCTATGAAAAGAAAAGTTAAACTCTGTGAGTTGAACACACACATCACAAAGGAGTTTCTGAGAATCATTCTGTCTAGTGTTTATCCGAAGATATTTACTTTTCTACCATTGACCTCAAAGCGGCTGAAATCTCCACTTGCAAATTCCACAAAAAGAGTGTTTCAAGTCTGCTCTGTGTAAAGGATCATTCAACTCTGTGAGTTGAATAAACACAACACAAGGAAGTTACTGAGAATTCTTCTGTCTAGCAGAATATGAAGAAATCCCGTTTCCAACGAAGGCCACATGATGTCAGAATATCCACTTACAGACTTTACAAACAGAGTGTTTCCTAACTGCTCTATGAACAGAAAGGTTAAACTCTGTGAGTTGAACGAACACATCACAACGCAGTTTGTGGGAATGATTCTGTCTAGTTTTGAAACGAAGATATTTCCTTTTCTGCCATTGACCTTAAAGCGCTTGAAATTTCCACTTGCCAATTGCATAAAAAGAGTATTTCAAATCTGCTCTGTCTAAGGGAACGTTCAACTCTGTGAGTTGAATGTACACAACACAAGGAAGTTACTGGGAATTCTTCTGTCTAGCCTTACAGGAAAAAAACCCGTTTCCAACGAAGGCCTCTAAGTGGTCAAGTTATCCACGTGCAGACTTTACAACCAGAGTGTTTCCAAACTGCTGAATGAAAAGAAAAGTTAAACTCTGAGAGTTGAACGCACACATCGCAGAGCAGTTTCTGAGAATGATTCTGTCTAGTTTTGAAAAGAAGATATTTCCTTTTCTGCCTTTGGCCTCAAAGCGCTTGAAATCTCCACTTGCAAATTCCACAAAAAGAGTGTTTCAAATCTGCTCTGTGTAAATGAAAGTTCAACTCTGTGAGTTGAACACACACAACACAAGGAAGTTACTGGGAATTCTTCTGTCTAGCCTTATATGAAAAAAACCCGTTTCCAACGAAGGCCTCAAAGAGGTCTGAATATCCTCTTGCAGACTTTACAAACAGAGTGTTTCCTAACTGCTCTATGAAAAGAAAGGTTAAACTCTGTGAGTTGAACACACACATCACAAAGGAGTTTCTGAGAATCATTCTGTCTAGTTTTTATACGAAGATATTTCCTTTTCTACCATTGACCTCAACGTGGCTGAAATCTCCACTTGCAAATTCCACAAAAAGTGTGTTTCAAGTCCGCTCTGTGTAAAGGATCGTTCAACTCTGTGAGTTGAATACACACAACACAAGGAAGTTACTGAGAATTCTTCTGTCTAGCAGAATACGAAGAAATCCCGTTTCCAACGAAGGCCACAAGATGTCAGAATATCCACTTACAGACTTTACAAACAGAGTGTTTCCTAACTGCTCTATGAACAGAAAGGTTAAACTACTGTGAGTTGAACGAACACATCACAACGCAGTTTGTGGGAATGATTTCTGTCTAGTTTTGAAACGAAGAGATTTCCTTTTCTGCCATTGACCTTAAAGCGCTTGAAATCTCCACTTGCCAATTGCACAAAAAGAGTGTTTCAAATCTGCTCTGTCTAAGGGAACGTTCAACTCTGTGAGTTGAATGTACACAACACAAGGAAGTTATTGGGAATTCTTCTGTCTAGCCTTACATGAAAAAAACCCGTTTCCAACGAAGGCCTCTAAGTGGTCAAAATATCCACGTGCAGACTTTACAAACAGAGTGTTTCCAAACCGCTGAATAAAAAGAAAAGTTAAACTCTGAGAGTTGAACGCACACATCACGCAGCAGTTTATGAGAATGATTCTGTCTAGTTTTGAAACGAAGATATTTCCTTTTCTGCCTTTGGCCTCAAAGCGCTTGAAATCTCCACTTGCAAATTCCACAAAAAGAGTGTTTCAAATCTGCTCTGGGTAAATGAAAGTTCAACTCTGTGAGTTGAACACACACAACACAAGGGAAGTTACTGGGAATTCTTCTGTCTAGCCTTATATGAAAAAAACCCGTTTCCAACGAAGGCCTCAAAGAGGTCTGAATATCCACTTGCAGACTTTACAAACAGAGTGTTTCCTAACTGCTCTATGAAAAGAAAGGTTAAACTCTGTGAGTTGAACACACACATCACAAAGAAGTTTCTGAGAATCATTCTGTCTAGTTTCTATAGGAAGATATTTCCATTTCTACCATTGAACTCAAAGCGGCTGAAATCTCCACTTGCAAATTCCACAAAAAGAGTGTTTCAAGCCTGCTCTGTGTAAAGGATCGTTCAACTCTGTGAGTTGAATACACACAACACAAGGAAGTTACTGAGAATTCTTCTGTCTAGCAGAATATGAAGAAATCCCGTTTCCAACGAAAGCCTCAAAGATGTCTGAATATCCACTTGCAGACTTTACAAACAGAGTGTTTCCTAACTGCTCTATGAAAAGAAAGGTTTAAACTCTGTGAGTTGAACGCACACATCACAAAGGAGTTTCTGAGAATCATTCTGTCTAGTTTTTATACGAAGATATTTCCTTTTCTACCATTGACCTCAAAGCGGCTGAAATCTCCACTTGCAAATTCTACAAAAAGAGTGTTTCAAGTCTGCTCTGTGTAAAGGATCGTTCAACTCTGTGAGTTGAATACACACAACACAAGGAAGATTCTGAGAATTCTTCTGTGTAGCAGAATATGAAGAAATCCCGTTTCCAACGAAGGCCACAAGATGTCAGAATATCCACTTACAGAATTTACCAACAGAGTGTTTCCTAACTGCTCTATGAAAAGAAAGGTTAAACTCTGTGAGTTGAACGAACACATCACAACGCAGTTTGTGGGAATGATTCTGTCTAGTTTTGAAACGAAGATATTTCCTTTTCTGCCATTGACCTTAAACACTTGAAATCTACACTTGCAAATTGCACAAATAGAGTGTTTCAAATCTGCTCTGTCTAAGGGAACGTTCAACTCTGTGAGTTGAATGCACACAACACAAGGAAGTTACTGGGAATTCTTCTGTCTAGCCTTACAGGAAAAAAACCCGTTTCCAACGAAGGCCTCTAAGTGGTCAAAATATCCACGTGCAGACTTTACAAACAGAGTGTTTCCAAACTGGTGAATGAAAAGAAAAGTTAAACTCTGAGAGTTGAACGCACAGATCGCAGAGGAGTTTCTGAGAATGATTCTGTCTAGTTTTTATACGAAGATATTTCCTTTTCTGCCTTTGGCCTGAAAGCGCTTGAAATCTCCACTTGCAAATTCCACAAAAAGAGTGTTTCAAATCTGCTCTGTGTAAATCAAAGTTCAACTCTGTGAGTTGAACACACACAACACAAGGAAGTTACTGGGAATTCTTCTGTCTAGCAGAATATGAAGAAATCCCGTTTCCAACGCAGGCCTCAAAGGGGTCTGAATATCCACTTGCAGACTTTACAAACAGAGTGTTTCCTAACTGCTCTATGAAAAGAAAGGTTAAACTCTGTGAGTTGAACGCACACATCACAAAGGAGTTTCTGAGAATCGTTCTGTCTAGTTTCTATAGGAAGATAGTTCCTATTCTACCATTGACCTCAAAGCGGCTGAAATCTCCACTTGCAAATTCCACAAAAAGAGTGTTTCAAGTCTGCTCTGTGTAAAGGATCGTTCAACTCTGTGAGTTGAATACACACAACACAAGGAAGTTACTGAGAATTCTTCTGTCTAGCATAATATGAAGAAATCCCGTTTCCAACGATGGCCTCAAAGAGGTCTGAATATCCACTTGCAGACTTTACAAATAGAGTGTTTCCTAACTGCTCTATGAAAAGAAAAGTTAAACTCTGTGAGTTGAACGCACACATCACAAAGGAGTTTCTGAGAATCATTCTGTCTAGTCTTTATACGAAGATATTTACTTTTCTACCATTGACCTCAAAGCGGCTGAAATCTCCACTTGCAAATTCCACAAAAAGAGTGTTTCAAGTCTGCTCTGTGTAAAGGATCATTCACCTCTGTGAGTTGAATAAACACAACACAAGGAAGTTACTGAGAATTCTTCTGTCTAGCAGAATATGAAGAAATCCCGTTTCCAACGAAGGCCACAAGATGTCAGAATATCCACTTACAGACTTTACAAACAGAGTGTTTCCTGACTGCTCTATGAACAGAAAGGTTAAACTCTGTGAGTTGAACGAACACATCACAACGCAGTTTGTGGGAATGATTCTGTCTAGTTTTGAAACGAAGATATTTCCTTTTCTGCCATTGACCTTAAAGCGCTTGAAATCTCCACTTGCCAATTGCACAAAAAGAGTGTTTCAAATCTGCTCTGTCTAAGGGAACGTTCAACTCTGTGAGTTGAATGTACACAACACAAGGTAAGTTACTGGGAATTCTTCTGTCTAGCAGAATATGAAGAAATCCCGTTTCCAACGAAGGCATCAAAGAGGTCTGAATATCCACTTGCAGACTTTACAAACAGAGTGTTTCCTAACTGCTCTATGAAAAGAAAGGTTAAACTCTGTGAGTTGAATGCACACATCACAAAGGAGTTTCTGAGAATCATTCTGTCTAGTTTTTATACGAAGATATTTCCTTTTCTACAATTGACCTCAAAGCGGCTGAAATCTCCACTTGCAAATTCCACAAAAAGAGTGTTTCAAGTCTGCTCTGTGTAAAGGATCGTTCAACTCTGTGAGTTGAAAACACACAACACAAGGAAGTTTCTGAGAAATCTTCTTTCTAGCAGAATATGAAGAAATCCCGTTTCCAACGAAAGCCTCAAGGAGGTCTGAATATCCACTTGCAGACTTTACAAACAGAGTGTTTCCCAACTGCTCTATGAAAAGAAAGGTTAAACTCTGTGAGTTGAACGCACACATCACAACGGAGTTTCTGAGAATCATTCTGTCTATTTTCTATAGGAAGATATTTCCTATTCTACCATTGACCTCAAAGCGGATGAAATCTCCACTTGCAAATTCCACAAAAAGAGTGTTTCAAGTCTGCTCTGTGTAAAGGATCGTTCAACTCTGTGAGTTGAATACACACAACACAAGGAAGTTACTGAGAATTCTTCTGTCTAGCAGAATATGAAGAAATCCCGTTTCCAACGAAGGCCTCAAGGAGGTCTGAATATCCACTTGCAGACTTTACAAACAGAGTGTTTCCTAACTGCTCTATGAAAAGGAAGGTTAAACTCTGTGAGTTGAACGAACACATCACAACGCAGTTTGTGGGAATGATTCTGTCTAGTTTTGAAACGAAGATATTTCCTTTTCTGCCATTGACCTTAAAGCGCTTGAAATCTACACTTGCAAATTGCACAAATAGAGTGTTTCAAATCTGCTCTGTCTAAGGGAACGTTCAACTCTGTGAGATGAATGCACACAACACAAGGAAGTTACTGGGAATTCTTCTGTCTAGCCTTACAGGGAAAAAAACCCGTTTCCAACGAAGGCCTCTAAGTGGTCAAAATATCCACGTGCAGACTTTACAAACAGAGTGTTTCCACACTGCTGAATGAAAAGAAAAGTTAAACTCTGAGAGTTGAACGCACACATCGCAGAGCAGTTTCTGAGAATGATTCTGTCTAGTTTCTATAAGAAGATATTTCCTATTCTACCATTGACCTCAAAGCAGCTGAAATCTCCACTTGCAAATTCGAGAAAAAGAGTGTTTCAAGCCTGCTCTCTGTAAAGGATCCTTCAACTCTGTGAGTTGAATACACACAACACAAGGAAGTTACTGAGAATTATTCTGTCTAGCATAATATGAAGAAATCCAGTTTCCAACGAAGGCCTCAAGGAGGTCTGAATATCCACTTGCAGACTTTACAAACAGAGTGTTTCCTAACTGCTCTATGAAAAGAAAGGTTAAACTCTGTGAGTTGAACGCACACATCGCAAAGTAGTTTCTGAGAATCATTCTGTCTAGTCTTTATACGAATATATTTCCTTTTCTACCATTGAACTCAAAGCTGCTGAAATCTCCACTTGAAAATACCAAAAAAAGTGTGTTTCAAGTCTGCTCTGTGTAAAGGATCGTTCAACTCTGTGAGTTGAATACACACAACACAAGGAAGTTTCTGAGAATTCTTCTCTCTAGCAGAATATGAAGAAATCCCGTTTCCAACGAAGGCCTCAAGATGTCAGAATATCCACTTACAGACTTTACAAACAGAGTGTTTCCTAACTGCTCTATGAACAGAAAGGTTAAACTCTGTGAGTTGAACGAACACATCACAACGCAGTTTGTGGGAATGATTCTGTCTAGTTTTTATAGGAAGATATTTCCTTTTCTACCTTTGACTTCAAAGCGGCTGAAATCTCCACTTGCAAATTCCACAAAAAGAGTGTTACAAGTCTGCTCTGTGTAAAGGATCGTTCAACTGTGTGAGTTGAATACACACAACACAAGGAAGTTACTGAGAAATCTTCTGTCTAGCCTTACATGAAAAAAACCCGTTTCCAACGAAGGCCTCTAAGTGGTCAAATTATCCACGTGCAGACTTTACAAACAGAGTGTTTCCAAACTGCTGAATGAAAAGAAAAGTTAAACTCTGAGAGTTGAACGCACACATCACAGAGCAGTTTCTGAGAATGATTCGGTCTAGTTTTTATACGAAGATATTTCCTTTTCTGCCTTTGGCCTCAAAGCGCTTGAAATCTCCACTTGCAAATTCCACAAAAAGAGTGTTTCCAATCTGCTCTGTGTAAATGAAAGTTCAACTCTGTGAGTTGAACACACACAACACAAGGAAGTTACTGGGAATTCTTCTGTCTAGCCTTATATGAAAAAAACCCGTTTCCAACGAAGGCCTCAAAGAGGTCTGAATATCCACTTGCAGACTTTACAAACAGAGTGTTTCCTAACTGCTCTATGAAAAGAAAGGTTAAACTCTGTGAGTTGAACAGACACATCACAAAGGAGTTTCTGAGAATCATTCTGTCTAGTTTTTTTATGAAGATATTTCCTTTTCTACCATTGACCTCAAAGCGGCTGAAATCTCCACTTGCAAATTCCACAAAAAGAGTGTTTCTAATCTGCTCCTGTGTAAAGGATCGTTCAACTCTGTGAGTTGAAAGTACACAACACAAGGAAGCTACTGAGAATTCTTCTGTCTAGCAGAATATGAAGAAATCCCGTTTCCAACGAAGGCCACAAGATGTCAGAATATCCACTTACAGAATTTACAAACAGAGTGTTTCCTAACTGCTCTATGAAAAGAAAGGTTAAACTCTGTGAGTTGAACGTACACATCACAAAGGAGTTTCTGAGAATCATTCTGTCTAGTTTTGAAACGAAGATATTTCCTTTTCTGCCATTGACCTTAAGCGCTTGAAATCTCCACTTGCCAATTGCACAAAAAGAGTGTTTCAAATCTGCTCTGTCTAAGGGAACGTTCAACTCTGTGAGTTGAATGTACACAACACAAGGAAGTTACTGGGAATTCTTCTGTCTAGCCTTACATGAAAAAACCCGTTTCCAACGAAGGCCTCTAAGTGGTCAAGTTATCCACGTGCAGACTTTACAAACAGAGTGTTTCCAAACTGCTGAATGAAAAGAAAAGTTAAACTCTGAGAGTTGAACGCACACATCGCAGAGCAGTTTCTGAGAATGATTCTGTCTAGTTTTCAAACGAAGATATTTCCTTTTCTGCCTTTGGCCTCAAAGCGCTTGAAATCTCCACTTGCAAATTCCACAAAAAGAGTGTTTCAAATCTGCTCTGTGTAAATGAAAGTTCAACTCTGTGAGTTGAACACACACAACACAAGGAAAGTTACTGGGAATTCTTCTGTCTAGCCTTATATGAAAAAATCCCGTTTCCAACGAAGGCCTCAAAGAGGTCTGAATATCCACTTGCAGACTTTACAAACAGAGTGTTTCCTAACTGCTCTATGAAAAGAAAGGTTAAACTCTGTGAGTTGAACACACACATCACAAAGGAGTTTCTGAGAATCATTCTGTCTAGTTTTTATACGAAGATATTTCCTTTTCTACCATTGACCTCAACGCGGCTGAAATCTCCACTTGCAAATTCCACAAAAAGAGTGTTTCAAGTCCAATCTGTGTAAAGGATCGTTCAACTCTGTGAGTTGAATACACACAACACAAGGAAGTTACTGAGAATTCTTTTGTCTAGCATAATATGAAGAAATCCCGTTTCCAACAAAGGCCTCAAGGAGGTCTGAATATCCACTTGCACACATTACAAACAGAGTGTTTCCTAACTGCTCTATGAAAAGAAAGGTTAAACTCTGTGAGTTGAACGCACACATCACAAAGGAGTTTCTCAGAATCATTCTGTCTAGTTTTTATACGAAGATATTTCCTTTTCTACCATTGACCTCAACGCGGCTGAAATCTCCACTTGCAAATTCCACAAAAAGTGTGTTTCAAGTCCGCTCTGTGTAAAGGATCGTTCAACTCTGTGAGTTGAATACACACAACACAAGGAAGTTACTGAGATTTCTTCTGTCTAGCAGAATATGAAGAAATCCCGTTTCCAACGAAGGCCACAAGATGTCAGAATATCTACTTACAGACTTTACAAACAGAGTGTTTCCTAACTGCTCTATGAACAGAAAGGTTAAACTCTGTGAGTTGAACGAACACATCACAACGCAGTTTTTGGGAATGATTCTGTCTAGTTTTGAAACGAAGATAATTCCTTTTATGCCATTGACCTTAAAGCGCTTGAAATCTCCACTTGCCAATTGCACAAAAAGAGTGTTTCAAATCTGCTCTGTCTAAGGGAACGTTCAACTCTGTGAGTTGAATGTACACAACACAAGGAAGTTACTGGGAATTCTTCTGTCTAGCCTTACATGAAAAAAACCCGATTCCAACGAAGGCCTCTAAGTGGTCAAAATTTCCACGTGCAGACTTTACAAACAGAGTGTTTCCAAACCGCTGAATGAAAAGAAAAGTTAAACTCTGAGAGTTGAACGCACACATCACGCAGCAGTTTGCTGAGAATGATTCTGTCTAGTTTTTATACGAAGATATTTCCTTTTGTGCCTTTGGCCCCAAAGCGCTTGAAATCTCCACTTGCAAATTCCACAAAAACAGTGTTTCAAATCTGCTCTCTCTAAATGAAAGTTCAACTCTGTCAGTTGAATACACACAACACAAGGAAGTTACTGAGAATTCTTCTGTCTAGCATAATATGTAGAAATCCCGTTTCCAACGAAGGCCTCAAAGAGGTCTGAATATCCACATGCAGACTTTACAAACAGAGTGTTTCCTAACTGCTCTATGAGAAGAAAAGTTAAACTCTGTGAGTTGAACGCACACATCACAAAAGATTTTCTGAGAATCATTCTGTCTAGTTTTTCTACGAAGATACTTCCTTTTCTACTATTGGCCTCAAAGCGGCTGAAATCTCCAGTTGCAAATTACACAAAAAGAGTGTTTCAAGTCTGCTGTGTGTAAAGGATCGTTCAACTCTGTGAGTTGAATACACACAACACAAGGAAGTTACTGAGAATTCTTCTGTCTAGCATAATTTGAAGAAATCCCGTTTCCAACGAAGGCCTCAAAGAGGTCTGAATATCCACTTGCAGACTTTGCAAACAGAGTGTTTCCTAACTGCTCTATGAGAAGAAAAGTTAAACTCTGTGAGTTGAACGCACACATCACAAAAGATTTTCTGAGAATCATTCTGTCTAGTTTTTATAGGAAGATATTTCCTTTTCTACTTTGACTTCAAAGCGGCTGAAATCTCCACTTGCAAATTCCACAAAAAGAGTGTTACAAGTCTGCTCTCTGTAAAGGATCGTTCAACTGTGTGAGTTGAATACATACAACACAAGGAAGTTACTGAGAACTCTTCTGTCTAGCCTTACATGAAAAAAACCCGTTTCCAACGAAGGCCTCTAAGTGGTCAAATTATCCACGTGCAGACTTTACAAACAGAGTGTTTCCAAACTGCTGAATGAAAAGAAAAGTTAAACTCTGAGAGTTGAACGCACACATCACAGAGCAGTTTCTGAGAATGATTCTGTCTAGTTTTTATACGAAGATACTTCCTTTTCTGCCTTTGGCCTCACAGCGCTTGAAATCTCCACTTGCAAATTCCACAAAAAGAGTGTTTCAAATCTGCTCTGTGTAAATGAAAGTTCAACTCTGTGAGTTGAACACACACAACACAAGGAAGTTAGTGGGAATTCTTCTGTCTAGCATAGTATGAAGAAATCCCGTTTCCAACGAAGGCCTCAAAGAGGTCTGAATATCCACTTGCAGAGTTTACAAACAGAGTGTTTCCTAACTGCTCTATGAAAAGAAAGGTTAAACTCTGTGAGCTGAACGCACACATCACAAAGAAGTTTCTGAGAATCATTCTGTCTAGTCTTTATACGAAGATATTTCCTTTTCTACCATTGACCACAAAGCGGCTGAAATCTCCACTTGCAAATTCCACAAAAAGAGTGTTTCAAGTCTGCTCTGTGTAAAGGATCCTTCAACTCTGTGAGTTGAATACACACAACACAAGGAAGTTTCTGAGAATTCTTCTGTCTAGCAGAATATGAAGAAATCCCGTTTCCAACGAAGGCCTCAAGGAGGTCTGAATATCCACTTGCAGACTTTACAAACAGAGTGTTTCCTAACTGCTCTATGAACAGAAAGGTTAAACTCTGTGAGTTGAACGCACACATCACAAAGGAGTTTCTGAGAATAATTCTGTCTAGTTTCTATACGAAGATATTTCCCTTTCTACCATTGACTTCAAATCGGCTGAAATCTCCACTTGCAAATTCCACAAAAAGAGTGTTTCAAGTCTGCTCTGTGTAAAGGATCGTTCTACTCTGTGAGTTGAATACACACAACACAAGGAAAGTTTCTGAGAATTCTTCTGTCTAGCCTTATATGAAAAAAACCCGTTTCCAACGAAGGCCTCAAAGAGGTCTGAATATCCACTTGCAGACTTTACAAACAGAGTGTTTCCTAACTGCTCTATGAAAAGAAAGGTTAAACTCTGTGAGTTGAAGGCACACATCACAAAGGAGTTTCTGAGAATCATTCTGTCTAGTCTTTATAGGAAGGTATTTACTTTTCTACCATTGACCTCAAAGCGGCTGAAATCTCCACTTGCAAATTCCACAAAAAGAGTGTTTCAAGTCTGCTCTGTGTAAAGGATCATTCAACTCTGTGAGTTGAATAAACACAACACAAGGAAGTTACTGAGAATTCTTCTGTCTAGCAGAATATGAAGAAATCCCGTTTCCAACGAAGGCCTCAAAGAGGTCTGAATATCCACTTGCAGACTTTACAAACAGAGTGTTTCGTAACTGCTCTATGAAAAGAAAGGTTAAACTCTGTGAGTTGAACGCACACATCACAAAGGAGTTTCTGAGAATCGTTCTGTCTAGTTTCTATAAGAAGATATTTCCTATTCTACCATTGACCTCAAAGCGGCTGAAATCTCCACTTGCAAATTCGACAAAAAGAGTGTTTCAAGCCTGCCCTCTGTAAAGGATCCTTCAACTCTGTGAGTTGAATACACACAACACAAGGAAGTTACTGAGAATTGCTTCTGTCTAGCAGAATATGAAGAAATCCCGTTTCCAACGAAGGCCACAAGATATCAGAATATCCACTTACAGACTTTACAAACAGAGTGTTTCCTAACTGCTCTATGAACAGAAAGGTTAAACTCTGTGAGTTGAACGAACACATCACAACGCAGTTTGTGGGAATGATTTCTGTCTAGTTTTGAAAGTAAGATATTTCCTTTTCTGCCATTGACCTTAAAGCGCTTGAAATCTCCACTTGCTAATTGCACAAAAAGAGTGTTTCAAATCTGCTCTGTCTAAGGGAACGTTCAACTCTGTGAGTTGAATGTACACAACACAAGGAAGTTACTGGGAATTCTTCTGTCTAGCCTTACAGGAAAAAAACCCGTTTCCAACGAAGGCCTCTAAGTGGTCAAAATATCCACGTGCAGACTTTACAAACAGAGTGTTTCCAAACTGCTGAACGAAAAGAAAAGTTAAACTCTGAGAGTTGAACGCACACATCGCAGAGAAGTTTCTGAGAATGATTCTGTCTAGTTTTTATACGAAGATATTTCCTTTTCTGCCTTTGGCCTCAAAGCGCTTGAAATCTCCACTTGCAAATTCCACAAAAAGAGTGTTTCAAATCTGCTCTGTGTAAATGAAAGTTCAACTCTCTGAGTTGAACACACACAACACAAGGAAGTTACTGGGAATTCTTCTGTCTAGCAGAATATGAAGAAATCCCGTTTCCAACGAAAGTCTCAAAGATGTCTGAATATCCACTTGCAGACTTTACAAACAGAGTGTTTCCTAACTGCTCTATGAAAAGAAAGGTTAAACTCTGTGAGTAGAACGCACACATCACAAAGGAGTTTCTGAGAATCATTCTGTCTAGTTTTTATACGAAGATATTTCCTTTTCTACCATTGACCTCAAAGCGGCTGAAATCTCCACTTGTAAATTCCACAAAAAGAGTGTTTCAGGTCTGCTCTGTGTAAAGGATCGTTCAACTCTGTGAGTTGAATACACACAACACAAGGAAGATTCTGAGAATTCTTCTTTCTAGCAGAATATGAAGAAATCCCGTTTCCAACGAAAGCCTCAAGGATGTCTGAATATCCACTTGCAGACTTTACAAACAGAGTGTTTCCCAACTGCTCTATGAAAAGAAAGGTTAAACTCTGTGAGTTGAACACACACATCACAAAGGAGTTTCTGAGAATCATTCTGTCTAGTTTCTATAGGAAGATATTTCCTATTCTACCATTGAACTCAAAGCGGCTGAAATCTCCACTTGCAAATGCCACAAAAAGAGTGTTTCAAGTCTGCTCTGTGTAAAGGATCGTTCAACTCTGTGAGTTGAATACACACAACACAAGGAAAGTTACTGAGAATTCTTCTGTGTAGCATAATATGAAGAAATCCCCTTTCCAACGAAGGCCTCAAGGAGGTCTGAATATCCACTTGCAGACTTTACTAACAGAGTGCTTCCTAACTGCTCTATGAAAAGAAAGGTTAAACTCTGTGAGTTGAACGCACACATCACAAAGGAGTTTCTGAGAATCATTCTGTCTAGTTTTGAAACGAAGATATTTCCTTTTCTGCCATTGACCTTAAAGCGCTTGAAATCTACACTTGCAAATTGCACAAATAGAGTGTTTCAAATCTGCTCTGTCTAAGGGAACGTTCATCTGTGTGAATTGAATGCACACAACACAAGGAAGTTACTGGGAATTCTTCTGTCTAGCCTTACATGAAGAAAACCCGTTTCCAACGAAGGCCTCTAAGTGGTCAAAATATCCACGTGCAGACTTTACAAACAGAGTGTTTCCAAACTGCTGAATGAAAAGAAAAGTTAAACTCTGAGAGTTGAACGCACACATCACAGAGCAGTTTCTGAGAATGATTCTGTCTAGTTTTTATACGAAGATATTTCCTTTCTGCCTTTGGCCCCAAAGCGCTTGAAATCTCCACTTGCAAATTCCACAAAAACAGTGTTTCAAATCTGCTCTCTCTAAATGAAAGTTCAACTCTGTCAGTTGAATACACACAACAGAAGGAAGTTACTGAGAATTCTTCTGTCTAGCAGAATATGAAGAAACCCCGTTTCCAACGAAGGCCTCAAGGAGGTCTGAATATCCACTTGCAGACTATATAAACAGAGTGTTTCCTAACTGCTCTATGAAAAGAAATGTTAAACTCTGTGAGTTGAACGCAAACATCACAAAGGAGTTTCTGAGAATCATTCTGTCTAGTTTCTATAGGAAGATATTTCCTATTCTACCATTGACCTCAAAGCGGCTGAAATCTCCACTTGCAAATTCCACAAAAAGAGTGTTTCAAGTCTGCTCTGTGTAAAGGATCGTTCAACTCTGTGAGTTGAATACACACAACACAAAGAAGTTACTGAGAATTCTTCTGTCTAGCAGAATATGAAGAAATCCCGTTTCCAACGAAGGCCACAAGATGTCAGAATATCCACTTACAGACTTTACAAACAGAGTGTTTCCTCACTGCTCTATGAACAGAAAGGTTAATACTCTGTGAGTTGAACGAACACATCACAACGCAGTTTGTGGGAATGATTCTGTCTAGTTTTGAAACGAAGATATTTCCTTTTCTGCCATTGACCTTAAAGCGCTTGAAATCTACACTTGCAAATTGCACAAATAGAGTGTTTCAAATCTGCTCTGTCTAAAGGAAAGTTCAACTCTGTGAGTTGAATGCACACAACACAAGGAAGTTACTGGGAATTCTTCTGTCTAGCCTTACATGAAAAAAACCCGTTTCCAACTAAGGCCTCTAAGTGGTCAAATTATCCACGTGCAGACTTTACAAACAGAGTGTTTCCAAACTGCTGAATGAAAAGAAAAGTTAAACTCTGAGAGTTGAACGCACACTTCGCAGAGCAGTTTCTGAGAATGATTGTGTCTAGTTTTTATACGAAGATATTTCCTTTTCTGCCTTTGGCCCCAAAGCGCTTGAAATCTCCACTTGCAAATTCCACAAAAACAGTGTTTCAAATCTGCTCTCTCTAAATGATAGTTCAACTCTGTCAGTTGAATACACACAACACAAGGAAGTTACTGAGAATTCTTCTGTCTAGCCTTACATGAAAAAACCCGTTTCCAACGAAGGCCTCAAAGAGGTCAAAATATCCACTTGCAGACTTTACAAACAGAGTGTTTCCTAACTGCTCTATGAAAAGAAAGGTTAAACTCTGTGAGTTGAACACACACATCACAAAGGAGTTTCTGAGAATCATTCTGTCTAGTTTTTATACGAAGATATTTCCTTTTCTACCATTGACCTCAAAGCGGCTGAAATCTCCACTTGCAAATTCCACAAAAAGAGTGTTTCAAGTCTGCTCTGTGTAAAGGATCGTTCACCTCTGTAAGTTGAATACACACAACACAAGGAAGTTACTGAGAATTCTTCTCTCTAGCAGAATATGAAGAAATCCGGTTTCCAACGAAGGCCTCAAAGAGGTCTGTATATCCACTTGCAGACTTTACAAACAGAGTGTTTCCTAACTGCTCTATGAAAAGAAAGGTTAAACTCTGTGAGTTGAACGCACACATCACAAAGGAGTTTCTGAGAATCATTCTGTCTAGTTTCTATAGGAAGATATTTCCTATTCTACCATTGACCTCAAAGCGGCTGAAATCTCCACTTGCAAATTACACAACAAGAGTGTTTCAAGTCTGCTCTGTGTAAAGGATCGTTCAACTCTGTGAGTTGAATACACACAACACAAGGAAGTTACTGAGAATTCTTCTGTCTAGCAGAATATGAAGAAATCCCGTTCCCAACGAAGGCCACAAGGATGTCAGAATATCCACTTTCAGACTTTACAAACAGAGTGTTTCCTAACTGCTCTATGAACAGAAAGGTTAAACTCTGTGAGTTGAACGAACACATCACAACGCAGTTTGTGGGAATGATTCTGTCTAGTTTTGAAACGATGATATTTCCTTTTCTGCCATTGACCTTAAAGCGCTTGAAATCTCCATTTGCCAATTGCACAAAAAGAGTGTTTCAAATCTGCTCTGTCTAAGGGAACGTTCAACTCTGTGAGTTGAATGTACACAACACAAGGAAGTTACTGGGAATTCTTCTGTCTAGCCTTACATGAAAAAAACCCGTTTCCAACGAAGGCCTCTAAGTGGTCAAAATTTCCACGTGCAGAATTTACAAACAGAGTGTTTCCAAACCGCTGAATGAAAAGAAAAGTTAAACTCTGAGAGTTGAACGCACACATCACGCAGCAGTTTCTGAGAATGATTCTGTCTAGTTTTCATACGAAGATATTTCCTTTTCTGCCTTTGGCCTCAAAGCGCTTGAAATCTCCACTTGCAAATTCCACAAAAAGAGTGTTTCAAATCTGCTCTGTGTAAATCAAAGTTCAACTCTGTGAGTTGAACACACACAACACAAGGAAGTTACTGGGAATTCTTCTGTCTAGCCTTATATGAAAAAATCCCGTTTCCAACGAAGGTCTCAAAAAGGTCTGAATATCCACTTGCAGACTTTACAAACAGAGTGTTTCCTAACTGCTCTATGAAAAGAAAGGTTAAACTCTGTGAGTTGAACACACACATCACAAAGGAGTTTCTGAGAATCATTCTGTCTAGTTTCTATAGGAAGATATTTCCTATTCTACCATTGACATCAAAGCGGCTGAAATCTCCACTAGCAAATTCCACAAAAAGAGTGTTTCAAGACTGTTCTGTGTAAAGGATCATTCAACTCTGTGAGTTGAATACACACAACACAAGGTAAGTTACTGAGAATTCTTCTGTCTAGCAGAACATGAAGAAATCCCGCTTCCAACGAAGGCCTCAAAGAAGTCTGAATATCCACTTGCAGACTTTACAAACAGAGTGTTTCCCAAGTGCTCTATGAAAAGAAAGGTTGAACTCTATGAGTTGAAAGCACATATCACAAAGGAGTTTCTGAGAATCATTCGGTCTAGTTTCTATAGGATGATATTTCCTATTCTACCATTGACCTCAAAGCGGCTGAAATCTCCACTTGCAAATTCCACAAAAAGAGTGTTTCAAGTCTGCTCTGTGTAAAGGATCGTTCAACTCTGTGAGTAGAATACACACAACACAAGGAAGTTACTGAGAATTATTCTGTCTGGCAGAACATGAAGAAATCCCGTTTCCAACGAAGGCCTCAAAGAGGTCTGAATATCCACTTGCAGACTTTACAAACAGAGTGTTTCCTAACTACTCTATGAAAAGAAAGGTTAAACTCTGTGAGTTGAACGAACACATCACAACGCAGTTTGTGGGAATGATTCTGTCTAGTTTTTATACGAAGATATTTCCTTTTCTACCATTGACCTCAAAGCGGCTGAAATCACCACTTGCCAATTGCACAAAAAGAGTGTTTCAAATCTGCTCTGTCTAAGGGAACGTTCAACTCTGTGAGTTGAATGTACACAACACAAGGAAGTTCCTGGGAATTCTTCTGTCTAGCCTTACAAGAAAAAAACCCGTTTCCAACGAAGGCCTCTAAATGGTCAAAATATCCACGTGCAGACTTTACAAACAGAGTGTTTCCAAACTGCTGAATGAAAAGAAAAGTTAAACTCTGAGAGTTGAACGCACACATCGCAGAGCAGTTTCTGAGAATGATTATCTGTCTAGTTTTTATACGAAGATATTTCCTTTTCTGCCCTTGGCCCCAAAGCGCTTGAAATCTCCACTTGCAACTTCCACAAAAACAGTGTTTCAAATCTGCTCTCTCTAAATGAAAGTTCAACTCTGTCAGTTGAATACACACAACACAAGGAAGTTACTGAGAATTCTTCTGTCTAGCAGAATATGAAGAAATCCCGTTTCCAACGAAGGCCTCAAGGAGGTCTGAATATCTACTTGCAGACTTTACAAACAGAGTGTTTCCCAACTGCTCTATGAAAAGAAAGGTGAAACTCTGTGAGTTGAATGCACACATCACAAAGGAGTTTATGAGAATCATTCTGTCTAATTTTTATACGAAGATATTTCCTTTTCTACCATTGACCTCAACGCGGCTGAAATCTCCACTTGCAAATTCCACAAAAAGAGTGTTTCAAGTCCGCTCTGTGTAAAGGATCGTTCAACTCTGTGAGTTGAATACACACAACAGAAGGAAGTTACTGAGAATTCTTCTGTCTAGCACAGTATGAATAAATCCCGTTTCCAACGAAGGCAGCAAAGAGGTCTGAATATCCACTTGCAGAGTTTACAAACAGAGTGTTTCCTAACTGCTCTATGAAAAGAAAGGTTAAACTCTGTGAGTTGAACGCACACATCACAATGAAGTTTCTGAGAATCATTCTGTCTAGTTTTTATACGAAGATATTTCCTTTTCTACCATTGACCTCAAAGCGGCTGAAATCACCACTTGCCAATTGCACAAAAAGAGTGTTTCAAATCTGCTCTGTCTAAGGGAACGTTCAACTCTGTGAGTTGAATGTACACAACACAAGGAAGTTACTGGGAATTCTTCTGTCAAGCCTTACAGGAAAAAAACCCGTTTCCAACGAAGGCCTCTAAGTGGTCAAAATATCCACGTGCAGACTTTAGAAACAGAGTGTTTCCAAACTGCTGAATGAAAAGAAAAGTTAAACTCTGAGAGTTGAACGCACACATCGCAGAGCAGGTTCTGAGAATGATTCTGTCTAGTTTTTATACGAAGATATTTCCTTTTCTGCTTTTGGTCTCAAAGCGCTTGAAATCTCCACTTGCAAATTCCACAAAAAGAGTGTTTCCAATCTGCTCTGTGTAAATGAAAGTTCAACTCTGTGAGTTGAACACACACAACACAAGGAAGTTACTGGGAATTCTTCTGTTTGGCACAGTATGAAGAAATCCCGTTTCCAACGAAGGCCTCAGAGAGGTCTGAATATCCACTTGCAGACTTTACAAACAGAGTGTTTCCTAACTGCTCTATGAAAAGAAATGTTAAACTCTGTGAGTTGAACGCACACGTCACAATGAAGTTTCTGAGAATCATTCTGTCTAGTTTTTATACGAAGATATTTCCTTTTCTACCATTGACCTCAAAGCGGCTGAAATCTCCAATTGCAAATTCCACAAAAAGAGTGTTTCAAGTCCGCCCTGTGTAAAGGATCGTTCAACTCTGTGAGTTGAATACACACAACACAAGGAAGTTACTGAGAATTCTTCTGTCTAGCAGAATATGAAGAAATCCCGTTTCCAACGAAGGCCACAAGATGTCAGAATATCCACTTACAGAATTTACAAACAGACTGTTTCCTAACTGCTGTATGAAAAGAAAGGTTAAACTCTGTGAGATGAACGAACACATCACAACGCAGTTTTTGGGAATGATTCTCTCTAGTTTTGAAACGAAGATATTTCCTTTTCTGCCATTGACCTTAAAGCGCTTGAAATCTCCACTTGCCAATTGCACAAAAAGAGTGTTTCAAATCTGCTCTGTCTAAGGGAACGTTCAACTCTGTGAGTTGAATGTACACAAGACAAGGAAGTTACTGGGAATTCTTCTGTCTAGCCTTACAGGAAAAAAACCCGTTTCCAACGAAGGCCTCTAACTGGTCAAAATATCCACGTGCAGACTTTACAAACAGAGTGTTTCCAAACTGCTGAATGAAAAGAAAAGTTAAACTCTGAGAGTTGAACGCACACATCGCAGAGCAGTTTCTGAGAATGATTCTGTCTACTTTTTATACGAAGATATTTCGTTTTCTGCCTTTGGCCCCAAAGCGCTTGAAATCTCCACTTGCAAATTCCACAAAAACAGTGTTTCAAATCTGCTCTCTCTAACTGAAAGTTCAACTCTGTCAGTTGAATACACACAACACAAGGGAAGTTACTGAGAATTCTTCTGTCTAGCAGAATATGAAGAAATCCCGTTTCCAACGAATGCCTGAAGGAGGTTCTGAGTATCCACTTGCAGACTTTACAAACAGAGTGTTTCCTAACTGCTCTATGAACAGAAAGGTTAAACTCTGTGAGTTGAACGCACACATCACAAAGGAGTTTCTGAGAATCATTTCTGTCTAGTTTTTATACGAAGATATCTCCTTTTCTACCATTGACCTCAAAGCGGCTGAAATCTGCACTTGCAAATTCCACAAAAAGAGTGTTTCAAGTCTGCTCTGTGTAAAGGATCGTTCAACTCTGTGAGTTGAATACACACAACACAAGGAAGTTACTGAGAATCCTTCTGTCTAGCAGAATATGAAGAAATCCCGTTTCCAACGAAGGCCACAAGATGTCAGAATATCCACTTACAGAATTTACAAACAGACTGTTTCCTAACTGCTCTATGAAAAGAATGGTTAAACTCTGTGAGTTGAACGAACACATCACAACGCAGTTTGTGGGAATGATTCTGTCTAGTTTTTCTACGAAGATATTTCCTTTTCTACCATTGACCTCAAATCGGCTGAAATCACCACTTGCCAATTGCACAAAAAGAGTGTTTCAAATCTGCTCTGTCTAAGGGAACGTTCAACTCTGTGAGTTGAATGTACACAACACAAGGAAGTTACTGAGAATTCTTCTATCTAGCCTTACAGGAAAGAAACCCGTTTCCAACGAAGGCCTCTAAGTGGTCAAAATATCCACGTGCAGACTTTACAAACAGAGTGTTTCCAAACTGCTGAATGAAAAGCAAAGTTAAACTCTGAGAGTTGAACGCACACATCGCAGAGCAGTTTCTGAGAATGATTCTGTCTAGTTTTTATATGAAGATATTTCCTTTTCTACCATTGACCTCAAAGCGGCTGAAATCTCCACTTACAAATTCCACAAAAAGAGTGTCTCAAGTCTGCTGTGTGTAAAGGATCGTTCAACTCTGTGAGTTGAATACACACAACACAAGGAAGTTTCTGAGAATTCTTCTGTCTAGCATAATATGAAGAAATCCCGTTTCCAACGAAGGCCTCAAAGGGGTCTGAATATACACTTGCAGACTTTATAAACAGAGTGTTTACTAACTGCTCTATGAAAAGAAAGGTTAAACTCTGTGAGTTGAACACACACATCACAAAGGAGTTTCTGAGAATCATTCTGTCTAGTTTTTCTACGAAGATATTTCCTTTTCTACTATTGACCTGAAAGCGGCTGAAATCTCCACTTGCAAATTCCACAAAAAGAGTGTTTCAAGTCTGCTATGTGTAAAGGATCGTTCAACTCTGTGAGTTGAATACACACAACACAAGGAAGTTACTGAGAATTTTTCTGTCTAGCAGAATATGAAGAAATCCCGTTTCCAACGAAGGCCTCAAAGAGGTCTGAATATCCACTTGCAGACTTTACAAACAGAGTGTTTACTAACTGCTCTATGAAAAGAAAAGTTAAACTCTGTGAGGTGAACGCACACATCACAAAGGAGTTTCTGAGAATCGTTCTCTCTAGTTTTGAAACGAAGATATTTCCTTTTCTGCCGTTGACCTTAAAGAGCTTGAAAACTACACTTGCAAATTGCACAAATAGAGTGTTTCAAATCTGCTCTGTCTAAGGGAACGTTCAACTCTGTGAGTTGAATGCACACAACACAAGGAAGTTACTGGGAATTCTTCTGTCTAGCCTTACATGAAAAAAACCCGTTTCCAACGAAGGCCTCTAAGTGGTCAAAATTTCCACGTGCAGACTTTACAAACAGAGTGTTTCCAAACCGCTGAATGAAAAGAAAAGTTAAACTCTGAGAGTTGAACGCACACATCACGCAGCAGATTCTGAGAATGATTCTGTCTAGTTTTGAAACGAAGATATTTCCTTTTCTGCCTTTGGCCTCAAAGCGCTTGAAATCTCCACTTGCAAATTCCACAAAAAGAGTGTTTCAAATCTGCTCTGTGTAAATGAAAGTTCAACTCTGTGAGTTGAACACACACAACACAAGGATGTTACTGGGAATTCTTCTGTCTAGCAGAATATGAAGAAATCCCGTTTCCAACGAAAGCCTCAAAGATGTCTGAATATCCACTTGCAGACTTTACAAACAGAGTGTTTCCTAACTGCTCTATGAAAAGAAAGGTTAAACTCTGTGAGTTGAACGCACACAGCACAAAGGAGTTTCTGAGAATCATTCTGTCTAGTCTTTATATGAAGATAGTTTCCTTTTCTACCATTGACCTCAAAGCGGCTGAAATCTCCACTTGCAAATTCCACAAAAAGAGTGTTTCAAGTCTGCTCTGTGTAAAGGATCGTTCAACTCTGTGCGTTGAATACACACAACACAAGGAAGTTACTGAGAATTCTTCTGTGTAGCAGAATATGAAGAAATCCCGTTTCCAACGAAGGCCACAAGATGTCAGAATATCCACTTACAGACTTTACAAACAGAGTGTTTCCTAACTGCTCTATGAACAGAAAGGTTAAACTCTGTGAGTTGAACGAACACATCACAACGCAGTTTGTGGGAATGATTCTGTCTAGTTTTTATACGAAGATATTTCCTTTTCTACCATTGACCTCAAAGCGGCTGAAATCACCACTTGCCAATTGCACAAAAAGAGTGTTTCAAATCTGCTCTATCTAAGGGAACGTTCAACTCTGTGAGTTGAATGTACACAAAACAAGGAAGTTACTGGGAATTCTTCTGTCTAGCCGTACATGAAAAAAACCCGTTTCCAACGAAGGCCTCTAAGTGGTCAAAATATCCACGTGCAGACTTTACAAACAGAGTGTTTCCAAACCGCTGAATGAAAAGAAAAGTTAAACTCTGAGAGTTGAACGCACACATCACGCAGCAGTTTCTGAGAATGATTCTGTCTAGTTTTTATACGAAGATATTTCCTTTTCTACCATTGACCTCAACGCGGCTGAAATCTCCACTTGCAAATTTCACAAAAAGAGTGTTTCAAGTCCGCTCTGTGTAAAGGATCGTTCAACTCTGTGAGTTGAATACACACAACACAAGGGAAGTTACTGAGAATTCTTCTGTCTAGCACAGTATGAAGAAATCCCGTTTCCAACGAAGGCCTCAAAGAGGTCTGAATATCCACTTGCAGAGTTTACAAACCGAGTGTTTCCTAACTGCTCTATGAAAAGAAAGGTTAAACTCTATGAGTTGAACGCACACATCACAAAGAAGTTTCTGAGAATCATTCTGTCTAGTTTTTATACGAAGATATTTCCTTTTCTACCATTGACCTCAAAGCGGCTGAAATCTCCACTTGCAAATTCCACAAAAAGAGTGTTTCAAGTCTACTCTGTGTAAAGGATCGTTCAACTCTGTGAGTTGAATACACACAACACAAGGAAGTTACTGAGAATTCTTCTGTCTAGCAGAATATGAAGAAATCCCGTTTCCAACGAAGGCCACAAGATGTCAGAATATCCACTTACAGAATTGACAAACAGACTGTTTCCTAACTGCTCTATGAAAAGAAAGGTGAAACTCTGTGAGTTGAACACACACATCACAACGCAGTTTGTGGGAATGATTCTGTCTAGTTTTGAAACGAAGATATTTCCTTTTCTGCCGTTGACCTTAAAGCGCTTGAAATCTACACTTGCAAATTGCACAAATAGAGTGTTTCAAATCTGCTCTGTCTTAGGGAACGTTCAACTCTGTGAGTTGAATGCACACAACACAAGGAAGTTACTGGGAATTCTTCTGTCTAGCCTTACATGAAAAAAACCCGTTTCCAACGAAGGCCTCTAAGTGGTCAAAATTTCCACGTGCAGACTTTACAAACAGAGTGTTTCCAAACCGCTGAATGAAAAGAAAAGTTAAACTCTCAGAATTGAACGCACACATCACGCAGCAGTTTCTGAGAATGATTCTGTCTAGTTTTTATACGAAGATATTTCCTTTTCTGCCCTTGGCCCCAAAGCGCTTGAAATCTCCAATTGCAAATTCCACAAAAACAGTGTTTCAAATCTGCTCTCTCTAAATGAAAGTTCAACTCTGTCAGTTGAATACACACAACACAAGGAAGTTACTGAGAATTCTTCTGTCTAGCAGAATATGAAGAAATCCCGTTTCCAACGAAGGCCTCAAAGAGGTCTGAATATCCACTTGCAGACTTTACAAACAGAGTGTTTCCTAACTGCTCTATGAACAGAATGGTTGAACTCTGTGAGTTGAACGCATACATCACAAAGCAGTTTCTGAGAATCATTCTGTCTAGTTTCTATAGGAAGATATTTCCTATTCTACCATTGACCTCAAAGCGGCTGAAATCTCCACTTGCAAATTCCACAAAAAGAGTGTTTCAAGTCTGCTCTGTGTAAAGGATCGTTCAACTCTGTGAGTTGAATACACACAACACAACGAAGTTACTGAGAATTCTTCTGTCTAGCAGAATATGAAGAAATCCCGTTTCCAACGAAGGCCACAAGATGTCAGAATATCCACTTACAGAATTTACAAACAGACTGTTTCCTAACTGCTCTATGAAAAGAAAGGTTAAACTCTGTGAGTTGAACGAACACATCACAACGCAGTTTGTGGGAATGATTATCTGTCTAGTTTTGAAACGAAGATATTTCCTTTTCTGCCATTGACCTTAAAGCGCTTGAAATCTACACTTGCAAATTGCACAAATAGAGTGTTTCAAATCTGCTCTGTCTAAGGGAACGTTCAACTCTGTGAGTTAAATGCACACAACACAAGGAAGTTACTGGGAATTCTTCCGTCTAGCCTTACATGAAAAAAACCCGTTTCCAACGAAGGCCTCTAAGTGGTCAAAAATATCCACGTGCAGACTTTACAAACAGAGTGTTTCCAAACCGCTGAATGAAAAGAAAAGTTAAACTCTGAGAGTTGAAGGCACACATCACGCAGCAGTTTATGAGAATGATTCTGTCTAGTTTTTATACGAAGATATTTCCTTTTCTGCCTTTGGCCTCAAAGCGCTTGAAATCTCCACTTGCAAATTCCACAAAAAGAGTGTTTAAAGTCTGCTCTGTGTAAATGAAAGTTCAACTCTGTGAGTTGAACACACACAACACAAGGAAGTTACTGAGAATTCTTCTGTCTAGCATAATATGAAGAAATCCCGTTTCCACCGAAGGCCTCAAAGAGGTCTGAATATCCACTTGCAGACTTTACAAACAGAGTGTTTCCTAACTGCTCTATGAGAAGAAAAGTTAAACTCTGTGAGTTGAACGCACACATCACAAAAGATTTTCTGAGAATCATTCTGTCTAGTTTTTCTACGAAGATATTTCCTTTTCTACTATTGACCTCAAAGCGGCTGAAATCTCCACTTGCAAATTCCACAAAAAGAGTGTTTCAAGACTGCTCTGTGTAAAGGATCGTTCAAATCTGTGAGTTGAATACACACAACACAAGGAAGTTACTGAGAATTCTTCTGTCTAGCAGAATATGAAGAAATCCCGTTTCCAACGAAGGCCACAAGATGTCAGAATATCCACTTACAGACTTTACAAACAGAGTGTTTCCTAACTGCTTTATGAACAGAAAGGTTAAACTCTGTGAGTTGAACGAACACATCACAACGCAGTTTGTGGGAATGATTCTCTCTAGTTTTGAAACGAAGATATTTCCTTTTCTGCCATTGACCTTAAAGCGCTTGAAATCTCCACTTGCCAATTGCACAAAAAGAGTGTTTCAAATCTGCTCTGTCTAAGGGAACGTTCAACTCTGTGAGTTGAATGTACACAACACAAGGAAGTTACTGGGAATTCTTCTGTCTAGCCTTACATGAAAAAATCCCGTTTCCAACGAAGGCCTCTAAGTGGTCAAAATATCCACGTGCAGACATTACAAACAGAGTGTTTCCAAACCGCTGAATGAAAAGAAAAGTTAAACTCTGTGAGTTGAACGCACACATCACGCAGCAGTTTCTGAGAATGATTCTGTCTAGTTTCTATACGAAGATATTTCCTTTTCTGCCTTTGGCCTCACAGCGCTTGAAATCTCCACTTGCAAATTCCACAAAAAGAGTGTTTCAAATCTGCTCTGTGTAAATGAAAGTTCAACTCTGTGAGTTGAACACACACAACACAAGGAAGTTACTGGGAATTCTTCTGTCTAGCAGAATATGAAGAAATCCCGTTTCCAACGAAGCCCTCAAGGAGGTCTGAATATCCACTTGCAGACTTTACAAACAGAGTGTTTCCTAACTGCTCTATGAAAAGAAAGGTGAAACTCTGTGAGTTGAACGCACACATCACAAAGGAGTTTCTGAGAATCATTCTGTCTAGTTTTTATACGAAGATATTTCCTTTTCTACCATTGACCTCAAAGCGGCTGAAATCTCCACTTGCAAATTCCACAAAAAGATTTTTTCAAGTCTGCTCTGTGTAAAGGATCGTTGAACTCTGTGAGTTGAATACACACAACACAAGGAAGTTACTGAGAATTCTTCTGTCTAGCAGAATATGAAGAAATCCCGTTTCCAACGAAGGCCTCAAAGAGGTCTGAATATCCACTTGCACACTTTACAAACAGAGTGTTTCCTAACTGCTCTATGAAAAGAAAGGTTAAACTCTGCGACTTGAACGCACACATCACAAAGGAGTTTCTGAGAATCATTCTGTCTAGTATTGAAACGAAGATATTTCCTTTTCTGCCATTGACCTTAAAGCGCTTGAAATCTACACTTGCAAATTGCACAAATAGAGTGTTTCAAATCTGCTCTGTCTAAGGGAACGTTCAACTCTGTGAGTTGAATGCACACAACACAAGGAAGTTACTGGGAATTCTTCTGTCTAGCCTTACATTAAAAAAAACCGTTTCCAACGAAGGCCTCTAAGTGGTCAAATTATCCACGTGCAGACTTTACAAACAGAGTGTTTCCAAACTGCTGAATGAAAAGAAAAGTTTAACTCTGAGAGTTGAACGCACACATCGCAGAGCAGTTTCTGAGAATGATTCTGTCTAGTTTTTATACGAAGATATTTCCTTTTCTGCCTTTGGCCCCAAAGCGCTTGAAATTTCCACTTACAAATTCCACAAAAACAGTGTTTCAAATCTGCTCTCTCTAAATGAAAGTTCAACTCTGTCAGTTGAATACACACAACACAAGGAAGTTACTGAGAATTCTTCTGTCTAGCATAATATGAAGAAATCCCGTTTCCAACGAAGGCCTCAAGGAGGTCTGAATATCCACTTGCAGACTTTACAAACAGAGTGTTTCCTAAGTGCTCTATGAAAAGAAAGGTTAAACTCTGTGAGTTGAACGCACACATCACAAAGGAGTTTCTGAGAATGATTCTGTCTAGTTTCTATAGGAAGATATTTCCTATTCTACCATTGACCTCAAAGCGGCTGAAATCTCCACTTGCAAATTCCACAAAAAGAGTGTTTCAAGTCTGGTCTGTGTAAAAGATCGTTCAACTCTGTGAGTTGAATACACACAACACAAGGAAGTTACTGAGAATTCTTCTGTCTAGCCTTATATGAAAAAAACCCGTTTCCAACGAAGGCCTCAAAGAGGTCTGAATATCCACTTGCAGACTTTACAAACGGAGTGTTTCCTAACTGCTCTATGAAAAGAAAGGTTAAACTCTGTGAGTTGAACGCACACATCACAAAGGAGTTTCTGAGAATCATTCTGTCTAGTTTCTATAAGAAGATATTTCCTATTCTACCATTGACCTCAAAGCGGCTGAAATCTCCACTTGCAAATTCCACAAAAAGAGTGTTTCAAGTCTGCTCTGTGTAAAGGATCGTTCAACTCTGTGAGTTGAATACACACAACACAAGGAAGTTACTGAGAATTCTTCTGTCTAGCAGAATATGAAGAAATCCCGTTTCCAACGAAGGCCTCTAGGAGGTCTGAATATCCACTTGCAGACTTTACAAACAGAGTGTTTCCTAACTGCTCTATGAACAGAAAGGTAAAACTCTGTGAGTTGAACGAACACATCACAACGCAGTTTGTGGGAATGATTCTGTCTAGTTTTGAAACGAAGATATTTCCTTTTCTGCCGTTGACCTTAAAGCGCTTGAAATCTACACTTTCAAATTGCACAAATAGAGTGTTTCAAATCTGCTCTGTCTAAGGGAACGTTCAACTCTGTGAGTTGAATGCACACAACACAAGGAAGTTACTGGGAATTCTTCTGTCTAGCCTTACATGAAAAAAAACCCGTTTCCAACGAAGGCCTCTAAGTGGTCAAAATATCCACGTGCAGACTTTACAAACAGAGTGTTTCCAAACCGCTGAATGAAAAGAAAAGTTAAACTCTGAGAGTTGAACGCACACATCACGCAGCAGTTTCTGAGAATGATTCTGTCTAGTTTTTATACGAAGATATTTCCTTTTCTACCATTGACCTCAAAGCGGCTGAAATCTCTACTTGCAAATTACACAAAAAGAGTGTTTCAAGTCTACTCTGTGTAAAGCATCGTTCAACTCTGTGAGTTGAAAACACACAACACAAGGAAGTTTCTGAGAATTCTTCTGTATAGCAGAATATGAAGAAATCACGTTTCCAACGAAGGCCTCAAAGATGTCTGAATATCCACTTGCAGACTATAAAAACAGAGTGTTTCCTAACTGCTCTATGAAAAGAAAGGTTAAACTCTGTGAGTTGAACGCACACATCACAAAGGAGTTTCTGAGAATCATTCTGTCTAGTTTCTATAGGAAGATATTTCCTATTCTACCATTGACCTCAAAGCGGCTGAAATCTCCACTTGCAAATTCCACAAAAAGAGTGTTTCAAGTCTGCTCTGTGTAAAGGATCGTTCAACTCTGTGAGTTGAAAACACACAACACAAGGAAGTTACTGAGAATTATTCTGTCTAGCAGAATATGAAGAAATCCCGTTTCCAACGAAGGCCTCAAGGAGGTCTGAATATCCACTTGCAGACTTTACAAACAGAGTGTTTCCTAACTGCTCTATGAACAGAAAGGTTAAACTCTGTGAGTTGAACGAACACATCACAAGGCAGTTTGTGGGAAAGATTCTGTCTAGTTTTTATACGAAGATATTTCCTTTTCTACCATTGACCTCAAAGCGGATGAAATCACCACTTGCCAATTGCACAAACAGAGTGTTTCAAATCTGCTCTGTCTAAGGGAACGTTCAATTCTGTGAGTTGAATGTACACAACACAAGAAAGTTACTGGGAATTCTTCTCTCTAGCCTTACAGGAAAAAAACCCGTTTCCAACGAAGGCCTCTAAGTAGTCAAATTATCCACGTGCAGACTTTACAAACAGAGTGTTTCCAAACTGCTGAATGGAAAGAAAAGTTAAACTCTGAGAGTTGAACGCACACATCGCAGAGCAGTTTCTGAGAATGATTCTGTCTAGTTTTTATACGAAGATATTTCCTTTTCTGCCTTTGGCCCCAAAGCGCTTGACATCTCCACTTGCAAATTCCACAAAAACAGTGTTTCAAATCTGCTCTGTCTAAATGAAATTTCAACCCTGTCAGTTGAATGCACGCAACACAAGGAGGTTACTGAGAATTCTTCTGTCTAGCAGAATATGAAGAAATCCCGCTTCCAACGAAGGCCTCAAAGAAGTCTGAATATCCACTTGCAGACTTTACAAACAGAGTTTTTCCCAACTGCTCTATGAAAAGAAAGTTTGAACTCTGTGTGTTGAACGCACACATCACAAAGGAGTTTCTGAGAATCATTCTGTCTAGTTTCTATAAGAAGATATTTCCTATTCTACCATTGACCTCAAAGCGGCTGAATTCTCCACTTGCAAATTCGACAAAAAGAGTGTTTCAAGCCTGCTCTCTGTAAAGGATCCTTCAACTCTGTGAGTTGAATACACACAACACAAGGAAGTTACTGAGAATTATTCTGTCTAGCATAATATGAAGAAATCCCGTTTCCAACGAAGGCCTCAAAGAGGTCTGAATATCCACTTGCAGACTTTACAAACAGAGTGTTTCCTAACTGCTCTATGAGAAGAAAAGTTAAACTCTGTGAGTTGAACGCACGCATCACAAAAGATTTTCTGAGAATCATTCTGTCTAGTTTTGAAACGAAGATATTTCCTTTTCTGCCATTGACCTTAAAGCGCTTGAAATCTACACTTGCAAATTGCACAAATAGAGTGTTTCAAATCTGCTCTGTCTACGGAACGTTCAACTCTGTGAGTTGAATGCACACAACACAAGGAAGTTACTGGGAATTCTTCTGTCTAGCCTTACATGAAAAAAACCCGTTTCCAACGAAGGCGTCTAAGTGGTCAAAATAACCACGTGCAGACTTTACAAACAGAGTGTTTCCAAACCGCTGAATGAAAAGAAAAGTTAAACTCTGAGAGTTGAACGCACACATCACGCAGCAGTTTCTGAGAATGATTCTGTCTAATTTTGAAACGAAGATATTTCCTTTTCTGCCTTTGGCCTCAAAGCGCTTGAAATCTCCACTTGCAAATTCCACTAAAAGAGTGTTTCAAATCTGCTCTGGGTAAATGAAAGTTCAACTCTGTGAGTTGAACACACACAACACAAGGAAGTTACTGGGAATTCTTCTGTGTAGCAGAATATGAAGAAATCCCGTTTCCAACGAAGGCCTCTAGGAGGTCTGAATATCCACTTGCAGACTTTACAAACAGAGTGTTTCCTAACTGCCCTATGAAAAGAAAGGTTAAACTCTGTGAGTTGAACACACACATCACAAAGGAGTTTCTGAGAATCATTCTGTCTAGTTTTTCTACGAAGATATTTCCTTTTCTACCATTGACCTCAAAGCGGCTGAAATCTCCACTTGCAAATTCCACAAAAAGAGTGTTTCAAGTCTGCTCTGTGTAAAGGATCGTTCAACTCTGTGAGTTGAATACACACAACACAAGGAAGTTACTGGGAATTCTTCTGTCTAGCAGAATATGAAGAAATCCCGTTTCCAACGAAGGGCCACAAGATGTCAGAATATCCACTTACAGACTTTACAAACAGAGTGTTTCCTAACTGCTCTATGAACAGAAAGGTTAAACTCTGTGAGTTGAACGAATACATCACAACGCAGTTTGTGGGAATGATTCTGTCTAGTTTTGAAACGAAGATATTTCCTTTTCTGCCATTGACCTTAAAGCGCTTGAAATCTACACTTGCAAATTGCACAAATAGAGTGTTTCAAATCTGCTCTGTCTAAGCGAACGTTCATCTCTGTGAGTTGAATGCACACAACACAAGGAAGTTACTGGGAATTCTTCTGTCTAGCCTTATATGAAAAAAACCCGTTTCCAACGAAGGCCTCAAAGAGGTCTGAATATCCACTTGCAGACTTTACAAACAGAGTGTTTCCTAACTGCTCTATAAAAAGAAAGGTTAAACTCTGTGAGTTGAGCGCACACATCTCAAAGGAGTTTCTGAGAATCATTCTGTCTAGTTTTTATACGAAGAGATCTCCTTTTCTACCATTGACCTCAACGCGGCTGAAATCTCCACTTGCAAATTACACAAAAAGAGTGTTTCAAGTCCGCTCTGTGTAAAGGATCGTTCAACTCTGTGAGTTGAATACACACAACACAAGGAAGTTAATGAGAATTCTTCTGTCTAGCAGAATATGATGAAATCCCGTTTCCAACGAAGGCCTCAAAGAGGTCTGAATATCCACTTGCAGACTTTACAAACAGAGTGTTTCCTAACTGCTCTATGAAAAGAAAGGTTAAACTCTGTGAGTTGAACGCACACATCACAAAGGAGTTTCTCAGAATCATTCTGTCTAGTTTTTATACAAAGATATTTCCTTTTCTACCATGGACCTCAAAGCGGGTGAAATCTCCACTTGCAAATTCCACAAAAAGAGTGTTTCAAGTCTGCTCTGTGTAAAGGATCGTTCAACTCTTTGAGTTGAATACACACAACACAAGGAAGATTCTGAGAATTCTTCTGTCTAGCAGAATATGAAGAAATCCCGTTTCCAACGAAGGCCACAAGATGTCAGAATATCCACTTACAGACTTTCCAAACAGAGTGTTTCCTAACTGCTCTATGAACAGAAAGGTTAAACTCTGTGAGTTTAACGAACACATCACATCGCAGTTTGTGGGAATGATTCTGTCTAGTTTTGAAACGAAGATATTTCCTTTTCTGCCGTTGACCTTAAAGAGCTTGAAAACTACACTTGCAAATTGCACAAATAGAGTGTTTCAAATCTGCTCTGTCTAAGGGAACGTTCAACTCTGTGAGTTGAATGCACACAACACAAGGAAGTTACTGGGAATTCTTCTGTCTAGCCTTACATGAAAAAAACCCGTTTCCAACGAAGGCCTCTAAGTGGTCAAAATTTCCACGTGCAGACTTTACAAACAGAGTGTTTCCAAACCGCTGAATGAAAAGAAAAGTTAAACTCTGAGGAGTTGAACGCACACATCACGCAGCAGTTTCTGAGAATGATTCTGTCTAGTTTTTATACGAAGATATTTCCTTTTCTGCCTTTGGCCCCAAAGCGCTTGAAATCTCCATTGGAAATTCGACAAAAACAGTGTTTCAAATCTGCTCTCTCTAAATGAAAGTTCAACTCTGTCAGTTGAATACACACAACGCAAGGAAGTTACTGAGAATTCTTCTGTCTAGCATAATATGAAGAAATCCCGTTTCCAACGAAGGCCTGAAAGAGGTCTCAATATCCACTTGCAGACTTTAAAAACAGAGTGTTTCCTAACTGCTCTATGAAAAGAAAGGTTAAACTCTGTGAGTTGAACACACACATCACAAAGGTTTTTCTGAGAATCATTCTGTCTAGTTTCTATAGGAAGATATTTCCTATTCTACCATTGACCTCAAAGCGGCTGAAATCTCCACTTGCAAATTCCACAAAAAGAGTGTTTCAAGTCTGCTCTGTGTAAAGGATCGTTCAACTCTGTGAGCTGAATACACACAACACAAGGAAGTTACTGAGAATTCTTCTTTCTAGCAGAATATGAAGAAATCCCGTTTCCAACGAAAGCCTCAAGGATGTCTGAATATCCACTTGCAGACTTTACAAACAGAGTGTTTCCTAACTGCTCTATGAAAAGAAAGGTTAAACTCTGTGAGTTGAACGAACACATCACAAAGGAGTTTCTGAGAATCATTCTGTCTAGTTTTGAAACGAAGATATTTCCTTTTCTGCCATTGATCTTAAAGCGCTTGAAATCTCCACTTGCCAATTGCGCAAAAAGAGTGTTTCAAATCTGCTCTGTCTAAGGGAACGTTCAACTCTGTGAGTTGAATGTACACAACACAAGGAAGTTACTGGGAATTCTTCTGTCTAGCCTTACTTGAAAAAAACCCGTTTCCAACGAAGGCCTCTAAGTGGTCAAAATATCCACTGTGCAGACTTTACAAACAGAGTGTTTCCAAACCGCTGAATGAAAAGAAAAGTTAAACTCTGAGAGTTGAACGCACACATCACGCAGCAGTTTCTGAGAATGATTCTGTCTAGTTTCTATAGGAAGATATTTCCTATTCTACCATTGACCTCAACGCGGCTGAAATCTCCACTTGCAAATTCCACAAAAAGAGTGTTTCAAGTCTGCTCTGTGTAAAGGATCGTTCAACTCTGTGAGTTGAATACACACAACACAAGGAAGTTACTGAGAATTATTCTGTCTAGCAGAATATGAAGAAATCCCGTTTCCAACGAAAGCCTCAAAGATGTCTGAATATCCACTTGCAGACTTTACAAACAGAGTGTTTACTATCTGTTCTATGAAAAGAAAGGTTAAACTCTGTGAGTTGAACGCACACAGCACAAAGGAGTTTCTGAGAATCATTCTGTCTAGTCTTTATACGAAGATATTTCCTTTTCTACCATTGACCTCAAAGCGGCTGAAATCTCCACTTGCAAATTCCACAAAAAGAGTGTTTCAAGTCTGCTCTGTGTAAAGAATCGTTCAACTCTGTAAGTTGAATACACACAACACAAGGAAGTTACTGAGAATTCTTCTATCTAGCAGAATATGAAGAAATCCCGTTTCCAACGAAGGCCTCAAGGAGGTCTGAATATCCACTTGCAGACTTTACAAACAGAGTGTTTCCTAACTGCTCTATGAAAAGAAAGGTTAAACTCTGTGAGTTGAACGCACACATCACAAAGGAGTTTCTGAGAATCATTCTGTCTAGTTTTTCTACGAAGATATTTCCTTTTCTACCATTGACCTCAAAGCGGCTGAAATCACCACTTGCCAATTGCACAAAAAGAGTGTTTCAAATCTGCTCTGTCTAAGGGAACGTTCAACTCTGTGAGTTGAATGTACACAACACAAGGAAGTTCCTGGGAATTCTTCTGTCTACCCTTACATGAAAAAACCCGTTTCCAACGAAGGCCTGTAAGTGGTCAAAATATCCACGTGCAGACTTTACAAACAGAGTGTTTCCAAACTGCTGAATGAAAAGAAAAGTTAAACTCTGAGAGTTGAACGCACACATCACAGAGGATTTTCTGAGAATGATTCTGTCTAGTTTTGAAACGAAGATATTTCCTTTTCTGCCTTTGGCCTCAAAGCGCTTGAAATCTCCACTTGCAAATTCCACAAAAAGAGTGTTTCAAATCTGCTCTGTGTAAATGAAAGTTCAACTCTGTGAGTTGAACACACACAGCACAAGGAAGTTACTGGGAATTCTTCTGTCTAGCCTTATATGAAAAAAACCCGTTTCCAACGAAGGCCTCAAGGAGGTCTGAATATCCACTTGCAGACTTTACAAACAGAGTGTTTCCTAACTGCTCTAAGAAAAGAAAGGTTAAACTCTTGTGAGTTGAACGCACACATCACAAAGGAGTTTCTGAGAATCATTCGGTCTAGTTTCTATAGGAAGATATTTCCTATTCTACCATTGACCTCAAAGCGGCTGAAATATCCACTTGCAAATTCCACAAAAAGAGTGTTTCAAGTCTGCTCTGTGTAAAGGATCGTTCAACTCTGTGAGTAGAATACACACAACACAAGGAAGTTACTGAGAATTATTCTGTCTACCCTTACATGAAAAAAACCCGTTTCCAACGAAGGCCTCTAAGTGGTCAAAATATCCACGTGCAGACTTTACAAACAGAGTGTTTCCAAACCGCTGAATGAAAAGAAAAGTTAAACTCTGAGAGTTGAAAGCACACATCACGCAGCAGTTTCTGAGAATGATTCTGTCTAGTTTTGAAACGAAGATATTTCCTTTTCTGCCTTTGGCCTCAAAGCGCTTGAAATCTCCACTTACAAATTCCACAAAAAGAGTGTTTCAAATCTGCTCTGTGTAAATGAAAGTTCAACTCTGTGAGTTGAACACACACAACACAAGGAAGTTACTGGGAATTCTTCTGTCTAGCAGAATGTGAAGAAATCCCGTTTCCAACGATTTCCTCAAAGAGGTCTGAATATCCACTTGCAGACTTTACAAACAGAGTGTTTCCTAACTGCTCTATGAAAAGAAAGGTTAAACTCTGTGAGTTGAACGCACACATCACAAAGGAGTTTCTGAGAATCATTCTGTCTAGTCTTTATACGAAGATATTTCCTTTTCTACCAGTGACATCAAAGCGGCTGAAATCTCCACTTGCAAATTCCACAAAAAGAGTGTTTCAAGTCTGCTCTGTGTAAAGGATCTTTCAACTCTGTGAGTTGAATACACACAACACAAGGAAGTTACTGAGAATTCTTCTGTCTAGGAGAATATGAAGAAATCCCGTTTCCAACGAAGGCCACAAGATGTCAGAATATCCACTTACAGAATTGACAAACAGACTGTTTCCTAACTGCTCTATGAAAAGAAAGGTTAAACTACTGTGAGTTGAACGAACACATCACAACGCAGTTTGTGGGAATGATTCTGTCTAGTTTTGAAACGAAGGATATTTCCTTTTCTGCCGTTGACCTTAAAGCGCTTGAAATCTACACTTGGAAATTGCACAAATAGAGTGTTTCAAATCTGCTCTGTCTAAGGGAACGTTCAACTCTGTGAGTTGAATGCGCACAACACAAGGAAGTTACTGGGAATTCTTCTGTCTAGCCTTACATGAAAAAAACCCGTTTCCAACGAAGGCCTCTAAGTGGTCAAATTATCCACGTGCAGACTTTACAAACAGAGTGTTTCCAAACTGCTGAATGAAAAGAAAAGTTAAACTCTGAGAGTTGAATGCACACATCTCAGAGCAGTTTCTGAGAATGATTCTGTCTACTTTTTATACGAAGATATTTCCTTTTCTGCCTTTGGCCTCAAATCGCTTGAAATCTCCACTTGCAAATTCCACAAAAAGAGTGTTTCAAATCTGCTCTGTGTAAATGAAAGTTCAACTCTGTGAGTTGAACACACACAACACAAGGAAGTTACTGGGAATTCTTCTGTCTAGCAGAATATGAAGAAATCCCGTTTCCAACGAAGGCCTCAAAGAGGTCTGAATATCCACTTGCAGACTTTACAAACAGAGTGTTTCCTAACTGCTCTCTGAAAAGAAAGGTTAAACTCTGTGAGTTGAACGCACACATCACGAAGGAGTTTCTGAGAATCTTTCTGTCTAGTTTCTATAGGAAGATATTTCCTATTCTACCATTGAACTCAAAGCGGCTGAAATCTCCACTTGCAAATTCCACAAAAAGAGTGTTTCAAGTCGGCTCTGTGTAAAGGATCGTTCAACTCTGTGAGTTGAATACACACAACACAAGGAAGTTACTGAGAATTCTTCTGTCTAGCAGAATATGAAGAAATCCCGTTGCCAACGAAGGCCTCAAGGAGGTCTGAATATCCACTTGCAGACTTTACAAACAGAGTGTTTCCCAACTGCTCTATGAAAAGAAAGGTTGAACTCTGTGAGTTGAACGCACACATCACAAAGGAGTTTCTGAGAATCATTCTGTCTAGTTTCTATAGGAAGATATTTCCTTTTCTACCATTGACCTCAAATCGGCTGAAATCTCCACTTGTAAATTCCACAAAAAGAGTGTTTCAAGTCTGCTCTGTGTAAAGGATCGTTCAACTCTGTGAGTTGAATACACACAACACAAGGAAGTTACTGAGAATTCTTCTTTCTAGCAGAATATGAAGAAATCCCGTTTCCAACGAAAGCCTCAAGGATGTCTGAATATCCACTTGCAGACTTTACAAACAGAGTGTTTCCCAACTGCGCTATGAAAAGAAAGGTTAAACTCTGTGAGTTGAACGCACACATCACAAAGGAGTTTCTGAGAATCATTCTGTCTAGTTTCTATAAGAAGCTATTTCCTATTCAACCATTGACCTCAAAGCGGCTGAAATCTCCACTTGCAAATTCGACAAAAAGAGTGTTTCAAGCCTGCTCTCTGTAAAGGATCCTTCAACTCTGTGAGTTGAATACACACAACACAAAGAAGTTACTGAGAATTATTCTGTCTAGCAGAATATGAAGAAATCCCGTTTCCAAAGAAGGCCACAAGATGTCAGAATATCCACTTACAGACTTTACAAACAGAGTGTTTCCTAACTGCTCTATGAACAGAAAGGTTAAACTCTGTGAGTTGAACGAACACATCACAACGCAGTTTGTGGGAATGATTCTGTCTAGTTTTTATAGGAAGTTATTTCCTTTTCTACCTTTGACTTCAAAGTGGCTGAAATCTCCACTTGCAAATTCCACAAAATGAGTGTTACAAGTCTGCTCTGTGTAAAGGATCGTTCAACTCTGTGAGTTGAATACACACAACACAAGGAAGTTACTGAGAATTCTTCTGTCTAGCCTTACAGGAAAAAAACCCGTTTCCAACGAAGGCCTCTAAGTGGTCAAAATATCCACGTGCAGACTTTACAAACAGAGTGATTCCAAACTGCTGAATGAAAAGAAAAGTTAAACTCTGAGAGTTGAACGCACACATCGCAGAGCAGTTTCTGAGAATGATTCTGTCTAGTTTTTATACGAAGATATTTCGTTTTCTGCCTTTGGCCCCAAAGCGCTTGAAATCTCCACTTGCAAATGCCACAAAAACAGTGTTTCAAATCTGCTCTCTCTAAATGAAAGTTCAACTCTGTCAGTTGAATACACACAACACAAGGAAGTTACTGAGAATTCTTCTGTCTAGCATAATATGAAGAAATCCCGTTTCCAACGAAGGCCTCAAAGAGGTCTGAATATCCACTTGCAGACTTTACAAACAGAGTGTTTCCTAACTGCTCTATGAAAAGAAAGGTTAAACTCTGTGAGTTGAACGCACGCATCACAAAGGAGTTTCTGAGAATCATTCTGTCTAGTTTCTATAGGAAGATATTTCCTATTCTACCATTGACCTCAAAGCGGCTGAAATCTCCACTTGCAAATTCCACAAAAAGAGTGTTTCAAGTCTGCTCTCTGTAAAGGATCGTTCCACTCTGTGAGTTGAATACACACAACACAAAGATGTTACTGAGAATTCTTCTGTCTACCAGAACATGAAGAAATCCCGCTTCCAACGAAGGCCTCAAGGAGGTCTGAATATCCACTTGCAGACTTTACAAACAGAGTGTTTCCTAACTGCTCTATGAAAAGAAAGGTTAAACTCTGTGAGTTGAACGCAAACATCACAAAGAAGTTTCTGAGAATCATTCTGTCTAGTCTTTATAGGAAGATATTTACTTTTCTACCATTGACCTCAAAGCGGCTGAAATCTCCACTTGCAAATTCCACAAAAAGAATGTTTCAAGTCTGCTCTGTGTAAAGGATCGTTCAACTCTGTGAGTTGAATACACACAACACAAGGAAGTTACTGAGAATTCTTCTGTCTAGCCTTATATGAAAAAAACCCGTTTCCAACGAAGGTCTCAAAGAGGTCTGAATATCCACTTGCAGACTTTACAAACAGAGTGTTTCCTAACTACTCTATGAAAAGAAAGGTTAAACTCTGTGAGTTGAACGCACACATCACAAAGGAGTTTCTGAGAATCATTCTGTCTAGTTTCTATTGGAAGATATTTCCTATTCAACCATTGACCTCAAAGCGGCTGAAATCTCCACTTGCAAATTCCACAAAAAGAGTGTTTCAAGTCTGCTCTGTGTAAAGGATCGTTCAACTCTGTGAGTTGAATACACACAACACAAGGGAAGTTACTGAGAATTCTTCTGTGAAGCAGAATATGAAGAAATCCCGTTTCCAACGAAGGCCTCAGAGAGGTCTGAATATCCCCTTGCAGACTTTACAAACAGAGTGTTTCCTAACTGCTCTATGAAAAGAAACGTTAAACTCTGTGAGTTGAACGCACACATCACAAAGGAGTTTCTGAGAATCATTCTGTCTAGTTTTAAAACGAAGAAATTTCCTTTTCTGCCATTGACCTTAAAGCGCTTGAAATCTACACTTGCAAATTGCACAAATAGAGTGTTTCAAATCTGCTCTGTCTAAGGGAACGTTCAACTCTGTGAGTTGAATGCACACAACACAAGGAAGTTACTGGGAATTCTTCTGTCTAGCCTTACATGAAAAAACCCGTTTCCAACAAAGACCTCTAAGTGGTCAAATTATCCACATGCAGACTTTACAAACCAGAGTGTTTCCTAACTGCTCTATGAAAAGAAAAGTTAAACTCTGAGAGTTGAACGCACACATCGCAGAGCAGTTTCTGAGAATGATTCTGTCTAGTTTTTATACGAAGATATTTCCTTTTCTACCTTTGGCCACAAAGCGCTTGAAATCTCCACTTGCAAATTCCACAAAAACAGTGTTTCAAATCTGCTCTCTCTAAATGAAAGTTTAACTCTGTCAGTTGAAAACACACAACACAAGGAAGTTACTGAGAATTCTTCTGTCTAGCATAATATGAAGAAATCCCGTTTCGAAAGAAGGCCTCAAAGGGGTCTGAATAGCCACTTGCAGACTTTACAAACAGAGTGTTTCCTAACTGCTCTATGAAAAGAAAGCTTAAACTCTGTGAGTTGAACGCACACATCACAAAGGAGTTTCTGAGAATCATTCTGTCTAGTTTCTATAGGAAGATATTTCCTATTCTACCATTGACCTCAAAGCGCCTGAAATCTCCACTTGCAAATTCCACAAAAAGAGTGTTTCAAGTCTGCTCTCTGTAAAGGATCGTTCAACTCTGTGAGTTGAATACACACAAAAGAAGGAAGTTACTGAGAATTATTCTGTCTAGCATAATATGAAGAAATCCCGTTTCCAACGAAGGCCTCAAAGGGTTCTGAATATCCACTTGCAGACATTACAAACAGAGTGTTTCCTAACTGCTCTGTGAAAAGAAACGTTAAACTCTGTGAGTTGAACGCACACATCACAAAGGAGTTTCTGAGAATCATTCTGTCTAGTTTCTATAGGAAGATATTTCCTATTCTACCATTGACCTCAAAGCGGCTGAAATCTCCACTTGCAAATTCCAGAAAAAGAGTGTTTCAAGTCTGCTCTGTGTAAAGGATCGTTGAAATCTGTGAGTTGAATACACACAACACAAGGAAGTTACTGAGAATTCTTCTGTCTAGCCTTATATGAAAAAAACCCGTTTCCAACGAAGGCCTCAAAGAGGTCTGAATATCCACTTGCAGACTTTACAAACAGAGTGTTTCCTAACTGCTCTAAGAAAAGAAAGGTTAAACTCCTGTGAGTTGAACGTACACATCACAAAGAAGTTTCTGAGAATCATTCTGTCTATTTTCTATAGGAAGATATTTCCTATTCTACCATTGACCTCAAAGCGGCAGAAATCTCCACTTGCAAATTCCACAAAAAGAGTGTTTCATGTCTGCTCTGTGTAAAGGATCGTTCAACTCTGTGAGTTGAATACACACAACACAAAGAAGTTACTGAGAATTCTTCTGTCTAGCAGAATATGAAGAAATCCCATTTCCAACGAAGGAATCAAGGAGGTCTGAATATCCACTGGCAGACTTTACAAACAGAGTGTTTCCTAACTGCTCTATGAACAGAAAGGTTAAACTCTGTGATTTGAACGCACACATCACAAAGGAGTTTCTGAGAATCATTCTGTCTAGTTTCTATAGGAAGATATTTCCTATTCTACCATTGACCTCAAAGCAGCTGAAATCTCCACTTGCAAATTCCACAAAAAGAGTGTTTCAACTCTGCTCTGTGTAAAGGATTGTTCAACTCTGTGAGTTGAATACACACAACACAAGGAAGTTACTGAGAATTCTTCTGTCTAGCAGAATATGAAGAAATCCCGTTTCCAACGAAGGCCTCAAAGAGGTCTGAATATCCACTTGCAGACTTTACAAACAGAGTGTTTCCTAACTGCTCTATGAACAGAAAGGTTAAACTCTGTGAGTTGAACGAACACATCACAACGCAGTTTGTGGGAATGATTCTGTCTTGTTTTGAAACGAAGATATTTCCTTTTCTGCCATTGACCGTAAAGCGCTTGAAATCTCCACTTGCCAATTGCACAAAAAGAGTGTTTCAAATCTGCTCTGTCTAAGGGAACGTTCAACTCTGTGAGTTGAATGTACACAACACAAGGAAGTTACTGGGAATTCTTCTGTCTAGCCTTACAGGAAAAAAACCCGTTTCCAACGAAGGCCTCAAAGAGGTCTGAATATCCACTTGCAGTCTTTACAAACAGAGTGTTTCCTAACTGCTCTATGAAAAGAAAGGTTAAACTCTGTGAGTTGAACGCACACATCACAAAGGAGTTTCTGAGAATAATTCTGTCTAGTTTTGAAACGAAGATATTTCCTTTTCTGCCTTTGGCCTCAAAGTGCTTGAAATCTCCACTTGCAAATTCCACAAAAAGAGTGTTTCAAATCTGCTCTGTGTAAATGAAAGTTCAACTCTGTGAGTCGAACACACACAACACAAGGAAGTTACTGGGAATTCTTCTGTCTAGCATAATATGTAGAAATCCCGTTTCCAACGAATGCCTCAAAGAGGTCTGAATATCCACTTGCAGACTTTACAAACAGAGTGTTTCCTAACTGCTCTATGAAAAGAAAGGTTAAACTGTGTGAGTTGAACGCACACATCACAAAGGAGTTTCTGAGAATCATTCTGTCTAGTTTCTATAGGAAGATATTTCCTATTCTACCATTGACCTCAAAGCGGCTGAAATATCCACTTGCAAATTCCACAAAAAGAGTGTTTCAAGTCTGCTCTGTGTAAAGGATCGTTCAACTCTGTGAGTTGAATACACACAACACAAGGAAGTTACTGAGAATTCTTCTGTCTAGCAGAATATGAAGAAATCCCGTTTCCAACGAAGGCCTCAAGGAGGTCTGAATATCCACTTCCAGACTTTACAAACAGAGTGTTTCCTAACTGCTCTATGAACAGAAAGGTTAAACTCTGTGAGTTGAACGAACACATCACAACGCAGTTTGTGGGAATGATTCTGTCTAGTTATTATACGAAGATATTTCCTTTTCTACCATTGACCTCAAAGCGGCTGAAATCACCACTTGCCAATTGCACAAAAAGAGTGTTTCAAATCTGCTCTGTCTAAGGGAACGTTCAACTCTGTGAGTTGAATGTACACAACACAAGGAAGTTACTGGGAATTCTTCTGTCTAGCCTTACATGAAAAAAAACCGTTTCCAACGAAGGCCTCTAAGTGGTCAAAATATCCACGTGCAGACTTTACAAACAGAGTGTTTCCAAACCGCTGAATGAAAAGAAAAGTTAAACTCTGAGAGTTGAACGCACACATCACACAGCAGTTTCTGAGAATGATTCTGTCTAGTTTTTATACGAAGATATTTCCTTTTCTGCCTTTGGCCTCAAAGCGCTTGAAATCTCCACTTGCAAATTCCACAAAAAGAGTGTTTCAAATCTGCTCTTTGTATATGAAAGTTCAACTCTGTGAGTTGAACACACACAACACAAGGGAAGTTACTGGGAATCCTTCTGTCTAGCCTTATATGAAAAAAACCCGTTTCCAACGAAGGCCTCAAAGAGATCGGAATATCCACTTGCAGACTTTACAAACAGAGTGTTTCCTAACTGCTCTATGAAAAGAAAGGTTAAACTCTGTGGGTTGAACACACACATCACAAAGGAGTTTCTGAGAATCATTCTGTCTACTTTTTATACGAAGAGATTTCCTTTTCTACCATTGACCTCAACGCGGCTGAAATCTCCACTTGCAAATTCCACAAAAAGAGTGTTTCAAGTCCGCTCTGTGTAAAGGATCCTTCAACTCTGTGAGTTGAATACACACAACACAAGGAAGTTAATGAGAATTCTTCTTTCTAGCAGAATATGAAGAAATCCCGTTTCCAACGAAAGCCTCAAGGATGTCTGAATATCCACTTGCAGACTTTACAAACAGAGTGTTTCCTAACTTCTCTATGAAAAGAAAGGTTAAACTCTGTGAGTTGCACGCACACATCACAAAGGAGTTTCTGAGAATCATTCTGTCTAGTTTCTATAGGAAGATATTTCCTATTCTACCATTGACCTCAAAGCGGCTGAAATCTCCACTTGCAAATTACACAAAAAGAGTGTTTCAAGTCTGCTCTCTGTAAAGGATCGTTCAACTCTGTGAGTTGAATACACACAACACAAGGAAGTTACTGAGAATTATTCTGTCTAGCAGAATATGAAGAAATCCCGCTTCCAACGAAGGCCTCAAAGAAGTCTGAATATCCACTTGCAGACTTTACAAACAGAGTGTTTCCCAACTGCTCTATGAAAAGAAAGGTTGAACTCTGTGAGTTGAACGCACACATCACAAAGCAGTTTCTGAGAATCATTCTGTGTACTTTCTATAGGAAGATATTTCCTATTCTACCTTTGAACTCAAAGCGGCTGAAATCTCCACTTGCAAATTCCACAAAAAGTGTGTTTCAAGTCTGCTCTGTGTAAAGGATCGTTCAACTCTGTGAGTTGAATACACACAACACAAGGAAGTTCCTGAGAATTCCTCTGTCCAGCAGAATATGAAGAAATCCCGTTTCCAACGAAGGCCACAAGATGTCAGAATATCCACTTACAGACTTTACAAACAGAGTGTTTCCTAACTGCTCTATGAACAGAAAGGTTAAACTCTGTGAGTTGAACGAACACATCACAACGCAGTTTGTGGGAATGATTCTGTCTAGTTTTGAAACGAAGATATTTCCTTTTCTGCCATTGACCTTAAAGCGCTTGAAATCTACACTTGCAAATTGCACAAATAGAGTGTTTCAAATCGGCTCTGTCTAAGGGAACGTTCAACTCTGTGAGTTGAATGCACACAACACAAGGAAGTTACTGGGAATTCTTCTGTCTAGCCTTATATGAAAAAAACCCGTTTCCAACGAAGGCCTCTAAGTGGTCAAAATATCCACGTGCAGACTTTACAAACAGAGTGTTTCCAAACTGCTGAATGAAAAGAAAAGTTAAACTCTGAGAGTTGAACGCACACATCACAGAGGATTTTCTGAGAATGATTCTGTCTAGTTTTTATACGAAGATATTTCCTTTTCTTCCTTTGGCCCCAAAGCGCTTGAAATCTCCACTTGCAAATTCCACAAAAACAGTGTTTCAAATCTGCTCTCTCTAAATGAAAGTTCAACTCTGTCAGTTGAATACACACAACACAAGGAAGTTACTGAGAATTCTTCTGTCTAGCACAGTATGAAGAAATCCCGTTTCCAACGAAGGCCTCAAGGAGGTCTGAATATCCACTTGCAGAGTTTACAAACAGAGTGTTTCCTAACTGCTCTATGAAAAGAAAGGTTAAACTCTGTGAGTTGAACGCACACATCACAAAGAAGTTTCTGAGAATCATTCTGTCTAGTTTTTATAGGAAGATATTTCCTTTTCTACCTTTGACTTCAAAGCGGCTGAAATCTCCACTTGCAAATTCCACAAAAAGAGTCTTACAAGTCTGCTCTGTGTAAAGGATCGTTCAACTCTGTGAGTTGAATACACACAACACAAGGAAGTTACTGAGAATTCTTCTGTCTAGCCTTACAGGAAAAAAACCCGTTTCCAACGAAGGCCTCTAAGAGGTCAAATTATCCACGTGCAGACTTTACAAACAGAGTGTTTCCAAACTGCTGAATGAAAAGAAAAGTTAAACTCTGAGAGTTGAACGCACACATCGCAGAGCAGTTTCTGAGAATGATTCTGTCTAGGTTTTATACGAAGATATTTCCTTTTCTGCCTTTGGCCTCAAAGCGCTTGAAATCTCCATTTGCAAATTCCACAAAAAGAGTGTTTCAAATCTGCTCTGTGTAAATGAAAGTTCAACTCTGTGAGTTGAACACACACAACACAAGGAAGTTACTGGGAATTCTTCTGTCTAGCCTTATATGAAAAAAACCCGTTTCCAACGAAGGCCTCAAGAGGTCTGAATATCCACTTGCAGACTTTACAAACAGAGTGTTTCCTAACTGCTCTATGAAAAGAAAGGTTAAACTCTGTGAGTTGAACACACACATCACAAAGGAGTTTCTGAGAATCATTCTGTCTACTTTTTATACGAAGATATTTCCTATTCTACCATTGACCTCAAAGCGGCTGAAATCTCCACTTGCAAATTCAACAAAAAGTGTGTTTCAAGTCTACTCTGTGTAAAGCATCGTTGAACTCTGTGAGTTGAATACACACAACACAAGGAAGTTACTGAGAATTCTTCTGTCTAGCAGAATATGAAGAAATCCCATTTCCAACGAAGGACACAAAATGTCAGAATATCCACTTACAGACTTTACAAACAGAGTGTTTCCTAACTGCTCTATGAACAGAAAGGTTAAACTCTGTGAGTTGAACGAACACATCACAACGCAGTTTGTGGGAATGATTCTGTCTAGTTTTGAAACGAAGATATTTTCTTTTCTGCCATTGACCTTAAAGCGCTTGAAATCTCCATTTGCCAATTGCACAAAAAGAGTGTTTCAAATCTGCTCTGTCTAAGGGAACGTTCAACTCTGTGAGTTGAATGTACACAACACAAGGAAGTTACTGGGAAATCTTCTGTCTAGCATAATATGAAGAAATCCCGCTTCCAACGAAGGCCTCAAAGAAGTCTGAATATCCACTTGCAGACTTTACAAACAGAGTGTTTCCCAACTGCTCTATGAAAAGAAAGGTTGAACTCTGTGAGTTGTACGCACACATCACAAAGGAGTTTCTGAGAATCATTCTGTCTAGTTTCTATAGGAAGATATTTCCTATTCTACCATTGAACTCAAATCGGCTGAAATCTCCACTTGCAAATTCCACAACAAGAGTGTTTCAAGTATGCTCTGTGTAAAGGATCGTTCAACTCTGTGAGTTGAATACACACAACACAAGGAAGTTACTGAGAATTCTTCTGTCTAGCATAATATGAAGAAATCCCGTTTCCAATGAAGGCCTCAAGGAGGTCTGAATATCCACTTGCAGACTTTACAAACAGAGTGTTTCCTAACTGCTCTATGAAAAGAAAGGTTAAACTCTGTGAGTTGAACGCACACATCACAAAGGAGTTTCTGAGAATCATTCTGTCTAGTCTTTATACGAAGATATTTACTTTTCTACCGTTGACCTCAAAGCGGCTGAAATCTCCACTTGCAAATTCCACAAAAAGAGTGTTTCAAGTCTGCTCTGTGTAAAGGATCATTCAACTCTGTGAGTTGAATAAACACAACACAAGGAAGTTACTGAGAATTCTTCTGTCTAGCAAAGTATGGAGAAATCCCGTTTCCAACGAAGGCCTCAAAGAGGTCTGAATATCCACTTGCAGAGTTTACAAACAGAGTGTTTCCTAACTGCTCTATGAAAAGAAAGGTTAAACTCTGTGAGTTGAACGCACACATCACAATGAAGTTTCTGAGAATCATTCTGTCTAGTTTCTATTAGAAGATATTTCCTATTCTACCATTGACCTCAAAGCGGCTGAAATCTCCACTTGCAAATTCGACAAAAAGAGTGTTTCAAGCCTGCTCTCTGTAAAGGATCCTTCAACTCTGTGAGTTGAATACACACAACACAAGGAAGTTACTGAGAATTCTTCTGTCTAGCATAATATGAAGAAATCCCGTTTCCAACGAAGGCCTCAAGGAGGTCTGTATATCCACTTGCAGACTTTACAAACAGAGTGTTTCCTAACTGCTCTATGAAAAGAAAGGTTAAACTGTGTGAGTTGAACGCACACATCACAAAGGAGTTTCTGAGAATCATTCTGTCTAGTTTTTATACGAAGATATTTCCTTTTCTACCATTGACCTCAACGCGGCAGAAACCTCCACTTGCAAATTCCACAAAACGAGTGTTTCAAGTCCGCTCTGTGTAAAGGATCGTTCAACTCTGTGAGTTGAATACACACAACACAAGGAAGTTACTTGAGAATTCTTCTGTCTAGCAGAATATGAAGAAATCCCGTTTCCAACGAAGGCCACAAGATGTCAGAATATCCACTTACAGAATTTACAAACAGACTGTTTCCCAACTGCTCTATGAAAAGAAAGGTTAAACTCTGTGAGTTGAACACACACATCAGAATGAAGTTTCTGAGAATCATTCTGTCTAGTTTTTATACGAAGATATTTCCTTTTCTACCATTGACCTCAAAGAGGCTGAAATCGCCACTTGCCAATTGCACAAAAAGAGTGTTTCAAATCTGCTCTGTCTAAGGGAACGTTCAACTCTGTGAGTTGAATGTACACAACACAAGGAAGTTACTGGGAATTCTTCTCTCTAGCCTTACATGAAAAAAACCCGTTTCCAACGAAGGCCTCTAAGTGGTCAAGTTATCCACGTGCAGACTTTACAAACAGAGTGTTTCCAAACTTCTGAATGAAAAGAAAAGTTAAACTCTGAGAGTTGAACGCACACATCGCAGAGCAGTTTCTGAGAATGATTCTGTCTAGTTTTTATACGAAGATATTTCCTTTTCTGCCTTTGGCCCCAAAGCGCTTGAAATCTCCACGTGCAAATTCCACAAAAACAGTGTTTCAAATCTGCTCTCTCTAAATGAAAGTTCAACTCTGTCAGTTGAATACACACAACACAAGGAAGTTACTGAGAATTCTTCTGTCTAGCAGAATATGAAGAAATCCCGTTTCCAACGAAAGCCTCAAAGAGGTCTGAATATCCACTTGCAGACTTTACAAACAGAGTGTTTCCTAACTGCTCTATGAAAAGAAAGGTTAAACTCTGTGAGTTGAACGCACACATCACAAAGGAGTTTCTGAGAATCATTCCGTCTAGTTTTTATACGAAGATATTTCCTTTTCTACCGTGGACCTCAAAGCGGCTGAAATCTCCACTTGCAAATTCCACAAAAAGAGTGTTTCAAGTCTGCTCTGTGTAAAGGATCGTTCAACTCTGTGAGTTGAATACACACAACACAAGGAAGATTCTGAGAATTCTTCTGTCTAGCAGAATATGAAGAAATCCCGTTTCCAACGAAGGCCAGAAGATGTCAGAATATCCACTTACAGACTTTACAAACAGAGTGTTTCCTAACTGCTCTATGAACAGAAAGGTTAAACTCTGTGAGTTGAACGAACACATCACAACGCAGTTTGTGGGAATGATTCTGTCTAGTTTTGAAACGGAGATATATCCTTTTCTGCCATTGACCTTAAAGCGCTTGAAATCTACACTTGCAAATTACACAAATAGAGTGTTTCAAATCTGCTCTGTCTAAGGGAACGTTCATCTCTGTGAGTTGAATGCACACAACACAAGGAAGTTACTGGGAATTCCTCTGTCTAGCCTTACAGGAAAAAAACCCGTTTACAACGAAGGCCTCTAAGTGGTCAAATTATCCACGTGCAGACTTTACAAACAGAGTGTTTCCAAACTGCTGAATGAAAACAAAAGTTAAACTCTGAGAGTTGAACGCACACATCGCAGAGCAGTTTCTGAGAATGATTCTGTCTAGTTTTTATACGAAGATATTTCCTTTTCTGCCTTTGGCCTCAAAGCGCTTGAAATCTCCACCTGCAAATTCCACAAAAAGAGTGTTTCAAATCTGCTCTGTGTAAATGAAAGTTCAACTCTGTGAGTTGAACACACACAACCCAAGGAAGTTACTGGGAATTCTTCTGTCTAGCAGAATATGAAGAAATCCCGTTTCCAACGAAGGCCTCAAAGAGGTCTGAATATCCACTTGCAGACTTTACAAACAGAGTGTTTCCTAACTGCTCTATGAAAAGAAAGTTTAAACTCTGTCAGTTGAACGCAAACATCACAAAGGAGTTTCTGAGAATCATTCTGTCTAGTATTTATACGAAGATATTTCCTTTTCTACCGTTGACCTCAACGCGGCTGAAATCTCCACTTGCAAATTCCACAAAAAGAGTGTTTCAAGTCTGCTCTGTGTAAAGGATCGTTCAACTCTGTGAGTTGAATACACACAACACAAGGAAGTTACTGAGAATTCTTCTGTCTAGCAGAATATGAAGAAATCCCGTTTCCAACGAAGGCCACAAGATGTCAGAATATCCACTTACGGACTTTACAAACAGAGTGTTTCCTAACTGCTCTATGAACAGAAAGGTTAAACTCTGTGAGTTGAACGAACACATCACAACGCAGTTTTTGGGAATGATTCTGTCTAGTTTTGAAACGAAGACATTTCCTTTTCTGCCATTCACCTTAAAGCGCTTGAATTCTACACTTGCAAATTGCACAAATAGAGTGTTTCAAATCTGCTCTGTCTAAGGGAACGTTCAACTCTGTGAGTTGAATGCACACAACACAAGGAAGTTACTGGGAATTCTTCTGTCTAGCCTTACATGAAAAAAACCCGTTTCCAACGAAGGCCTCTAAGTGGTCAAATTATGTACGTGCAGACTTTACAAACAGAGTGTTTCCAAACTGCTGAAGGAAAAGAAAAGTTAAACTCTGAGAGTTGAACACACACATCGCAGAGCAGTTTCTTAGAATGATTCTGTCTAGTTTTTATACGAAGATATTTCCTTTTCTGCCTTTGGCCTCAAAGCGCTTGAAATCTCCACTTGCAAATTCCACAAAAAGAGTGTTTCAAATCTGCTCTGTGTAAATGAAAGTTCAACTCTGTGAGTTGAACACACACAACACAAGGAAGTTACTGGGAATTGTTCTGTCTAGCACAGTATGAAGAAATCCCGTTTCCAACGAAGGCCTCAAAGAGGTCTGAATATCCACTTGCAGAGTTTACAAACAGAGTGTTTCCTAACTGCTCCATGAAAAGAAATGTTAAACTCTGTGAGTTGAACGCACACATCACAAAGAAGTTTCTGAGAATCATTCTGTCTAGTTTCTATAGGAAGATATTTCCTATTCTACCATTGACCTCAAAGCGGCTGAAATCTCCACTTGCAAATTCCACAAAAAGAGTGTTTCAAGTCTGCTCTGTGTAAAGGATCGTTCAACTCTGTGAGTTGAATACACACAACACAAGGAATTTACTGAGAATTCTTCTGTCTAGCCTTACAGGAAAAAAACCCGTTTCCAACGAAGGCCTCTAAGTGGTCAAGTTATCCACGTGCAGACTTTACAAACAGAGTGTTTCCAAACTTCTGAATGAAAAGAAAAGTTAAACTCTGAGAGTTGAACGCACACATCGCAGAGCAGTTTCTGAGAATGATTCTGTCTAGTTTTTATACGAAGATATTTCCTTTTCTGCCTTTGGCCTCAAAGCGCTTGAAATCTCCACTTGCAAATTCCACAAAAAGAGTGTTTCAAATCTGCTCTGTGTAAATGAAAGTTCAACTCTGTGAGTTGAACACACACAACACGAGGAAGTTACTGGGAATTCTTCTGTATAGCAGAATATGAAGAAATCCCGTTTCCAACGAAAGCCTCAAAGATGTCTGAATATCCACTTGCAGACTTTACAAACAGAGTGTTTCCTAACTGCTCTATGAAAAGAAAGGTTAAACTCTGTTAGTTGAACGCACACATCACAAAGGATTTTCTGAGAATCATTCTGTCTAGTCTTTATACGAAGATAATTCCTTTTCTACCATTGACCACAAAGCGGCTGAAATCTCCACTTGCAAATTCCACAAAAAGAGTGTTTCAAGTCTGCTCTGTGTAAAGGATCGTTCAACTCTGTGAGTTGAATACACACAACACAAGGAAGTTACTGAGAATTCTTCTGTCTAGCAGAATATGAAGAAATCCCGTTTCCAACGAAGGCCTCAAGGAGGTCTGAATATCCACTTGCAGACTTTACAAACAGAGTGTTTCCCAACTGCTCTATGAAAAGAAAGGTTAAACTGTGTGAGTTGAACGCACACATCACAAAGGAGTTTCTGAGAATCATTCTGTCTAGTCTTTATACGAAGATATTTCCTTTTCTACCATTGACCTCAAAGCGGCTGAAATCTCCACTTGCAAATTCCACAAAAAGAGTGTTTCAAGTCTGCTCTGTGTAAAGGATCGTTCAACTCTGTGAGTTGAATACACACAACACAAGGAAGTTACTGAGAATTGCTTTCTGTCTAGCATAATATGAAGAAATCCCGTTTCCAACGAAGGCCTCAAGGAGGTCTGAATATCCACTTGCAGACTTTACAACCAGAGTGTTTCCTAACTGCTCTATGAAAAGAAAGGTTAAACTCTGCGAGTTGAACGCACACATCACAAAGGAGTTTCTGAGAATCATTCTGTCTAGTTTCTATAGGAAGTTATTTCCTATTCTACCATTGACCTCAAAGCGGCTGAAATCTCCACTTGCAAATTCCACAAAAAGAGTGTTTCAAGTCTGCTCTGTGTAAAGGATCATTCAACTCTGTGAGTTGAATACACACAACACAAGGAAGTTACTGAGAATTCTTCTGTCTAGCAGAATATGAAGAAATCCCGTTTCCAAAGAAGGCCTCAAAGAGGTCTGAATATCCCCTTGCAGACTTTACCAACAGAGTGTTTCCTAACTGCTCTATGAAAAGAAAGGTTAAACTCTGTGAGTTGAACGCACACATCACAAAGGAGTTTCTGAGAATCATTCTGTCTAGTTTTTATACGAAGATATTTCCTTTTCTACCATTGACCTCAAAGCGGCTGAAATCTCCACTTGCAAATTCCACAAAAAGAGTGTTTCAAGTCTGCTCTGTGTAAAGGATCGTTCAACTCTGTGAGTTGAATACACAAAACACAAGGAAGTTTCTGAGAATTCTTCTGTATAGCAGAATATGAAGAAATCCCGTTTCCAACGAAGGCCTCAAGGAGGTCTGAATATGCACTTGCAGACTTTACAACCAGAGTGTTTCCTAACTGCTCTATGAAAAGAAAGGTTAAACTCTGTGAGTTGAACGCAGACATCACAAAGGAGTTTCTGAGAATCACTCTGTCTAGTTTTTATACGAAGATATTTCCTTTTCTACCATTGACCTCAAAGCGGCTGAAATCTCCACTTGCCAATTCCACAAAAAGAGTGTTTCAAGTCTACTCTGTGTAATGGATCGTTGAACTCTGTGAGTTGAAAACACACAACACAAGGAAGTTTCTGAGAATTCTTCTGTCTAGCAGAATATGAAGAAATCCCGTTTCCAACGAAAGCCTCAAAGATGTCTGAATATCCACTTGCAGACTTTACAAACAGAGTGTTTCCTAACTGCTCTATGAAAAGAAAGTTTAAACTCTGTGAGCTGAACGCACACAGCACAAAGGAGTTTCTGAGAATCATTCTGTCTAGTTTCCATAGGAAGATATTTCCTATTCTACCATTGACCTCAAAGCGGCTGAAATCTCCACTTGCAAATTCCACAAATGGAGTGTTTCAAGTCTGCTCTGAGTAAAGGATCGTTCGACTCTGTGAGTTGAATAAACACAACACAAGGAAGTTTCTGAGAATTCTTCTGTCTAGCAGAATATGAAGAAATCCCGTTTCCTACGAAAACCTCAAAGATGTCTGAATATCCACTTGCAGACTTTACAAACAGAATGTTTCCTAACTGCTCTATGAAAAGAAAGGTTAAACTCTGTGAGTTGAACGCACACATCACAAAGGAGTTTCTGAGAATCATCTGTCTAGTTTTGAAACGAAGATATTTCCTTTTCTGCCGTTGACCTTAAAGCGCTTGAAATCTACACTTTCAAATTGCACAAATAGAGTGTTTCAAATCTGCTCTGTCTAAGGGAACGTTCAACTCTGTGAGTTGAATGCACACAACACAAGGAAGTTACTGGGAATTCTTTCTGTCTAGCCTTACAGGAAAAAAACCCGTTTCCAACGAAGGCCTCTGAGTGGTCAAAATATCCACGTGCAGACTTTACAAACAGAGTGTTTCCAAACTGCTGAATGAAAACAAAAGTTAAACTCTGAGAGTTGAACGCACACATCGCAGAGCAGTTTCTGAGAGTGATTCTGTCAAGTTTTTATACGAAGATATTTCTTTTTCTGCCTTTGGCCCCAAAGCACTTGAAATTTCCACTTGCAAATTCCACAAAAACAGTGTTTCAAATCTGCTCTCTCTAAATGAAAGTTCAACTCTGTCAGTTGAATACACACAACACAAGGAAGTTACTGAGAATTCTTCTGTCTAGCCTTATATGAAAAAAACCCGTTTCCAACGAAGGCCTCAAAGAGGTCTGAATATCCACTTGCAGACTTTACAAACAGAGTGTTTCCTAACTGCTCTATGAAAAGAAATGTTAAACTCTGTGAGTTGAACACACACATCACAAAGCAGTTTCTGAGAATCATTCTGTCTAGTGTCTATAGGAAGATATTTCCTATTCTACCATTGACCTCAAAGCGGCTGAAATCTCCACTTGCAAATTCCACAAAAAGAGTGTTTCAAGTCTGCTCTGTGTAAAGGATCGTGCAACTCTGTGAGTTGAATACACACAACACAAGGAAGTTACTGAGAATTCTTCTGTCTAGCCTTACATGAAAAAAACCCGTTTCCAACGAAGGCCTCTAAGTGGTCAAATTATCCACGTGCAGACTTTACAAACAGAGTGTTTCCAAACTGCTGTATGAAAAGCAAAGTTAAACTCTGAGAGTTGAACGCACACATCGCAGAGCAGTTTCTGAGAATGATTCTGTCTAGTTTTTATACGAAGATATTTCCTTTTCTGCCTTTGGCCTCACAGCGCTTGAAATTTCCACTTGCAAATTCCACAAAAAGAGTGTTTCAAATCTGCTCTGTGTAAATGAAAGTTCAACTCTGTGAGTTGAACACACACAACACAAGGAAGTTACTGGGAATTCTTCTCTCTAGCCTTATATGAAAAAAACCCGTTTCCAACGAAGGCCTCAAAGAGGTCTGAATATCCACTTGCAGACTTTAGAAACAGAGTGTTTCCTAACTGCTCTATGAAAAGAAAGGTTAAACTCTGTGAGTTGAACGCACACATCACAAAGGAGTTTCTGAGAATCATTCTGTCTAGTTTTTATACGAAGATATTTCCTTTTCTACCATGGACCTCAAAGCGGCTGAAATCTCCACTTGCAAATTCCACAAAAAGAGTGTTTCAAGTCTGCTCTGTGTAAAGGATCGTTCAATTCTGTGAGTTGAATACACACAACACAAGGAAGATTCTGAGAACTCTTCGGTCTAGCAGAATATGAAGAAATCCCGTTTCCAACGAAGGCCTCAAGGAGGTCTGAATATCCACTTGCAGACTTTACAAACAGAGTGTTTCCTAACTGTTCTATGAACAGAAAGGTTAAACTCTGTGAGTTGAACGAACACATCACAACGCAGTTTGTGGGAATGATTCTGTCTAGTTTTTATACCGAAGATATTCCCTTTTCTACCATAGACCTCAAAGCAGCTGAAATCACCACTTGCCAATTGCACAAAAAGAGTGTTTCAAATCTGCTCTGTCTAAGGGAACGTTCAACTCTGTGAGTTGAATGTACACAACACAAGTAAGTTACTGGGAATTCTTCTGTCTAGCCTTACAGGAAAGAAACCCGTTTCCAACGAAGGCCTCTAAGTGGTCAAAATATCCACGTGCAGATTTTACAAACAGAGTGTTTCCAAACTGCTGAATGAAAAGAAAAGTTAAACTCTGAGAGTTGAACGCACACATCGCAGAGCAGTTTCTTGAGAATGAGTCTGTCTAGTTTTGAAACGAAGATATTTCCTTTTCTGCCTTTGGCCTCAAAGCGCTTGAAATCTCCACTTGCAAATTCCACAAAAAGAGTGTTTCAAATCTGCTCTGTGTAAATGGAAGTTCAACTCACAGAGTTGAACACACACAACACAAGGAAGTTACTGGGAATTCTTCTGTCTAGCCTTATATGAAAAAAACCCGTTTCCAACGAAGGCCTCAAAGAGGTCTGAATATCCACTTGCAGACTTTACAAACAGAGTGTTTCCTAACTGCTCTATGAAAAGAAAGGTTAAACTCTGTGAGTTGAACGCACACATCACAAAGGAGTTTCTGAGAATCATTATCTGTCTAGTTTCTATAGGAAGATATTTCCTATTCTACCATTGACCTCAAAGCGGCTGAAATCTCCACTTGCAAATTCGACAAAAAGAATGTTTCAAGTCTGCTCTGTGTAAAGGATCGTTCAACTCTGTGAGTTGAATACACACAACACAAGGAAGTTACTGAGAATTCTTCTGTCTAGCAGAATATGAAGAAACCCCGTTTCCAACGAAGGCCTCAAGGAGGTCTGAATATCCACTTGCAGACTTTACAAACAGAGTGTTTCCTAACTGCTCTATGAACAGAAAGGTTAAACTCTGTGAGTTGAACGAACACATCACAACGCAGTTTGTGGGAATGATTCTGTCTAGTTTTTATACGAAGATATTTCCTTTTCTACCATTGACCTCAAAGCGGCTGAAATCACCACTTGCCAATTTCACAAAAAGAGTGTTTCAAATCTGCTCTGTCTAAGGGAACGTTCAACTCTGTGAGTTGAATGTACACAACACAAGGAAGTTACTGGGAATTCTTCTGTCTAGCCTTACAGGAAAAAAACGCGTTTCCAACGAAGGCCTCTAAGTGGTCAAAATATCCACGTGCAGACTTTTCAAACAGAGTGTTTCCAAACTGCTGAATGAAAAGAAAAGTTAAACTCTGAGAGTTGAACGCACACATCGCAGAGCAGTTTCTGAGAATGATTCTGTCTAGTTTTTATACGAAGATATTTCCTTTTCTGCCTTTGGCCCCAAAGCGCTTGAAATCTCCACTTGCAAATTCCACAAAAACAGTGTTTCAAAACTGCTCTCTCTAAATGAAAGTTCAACTCTGTCAGTTGAATACACACAACACAAGGAAGTTACTGAGAATTCTTCTGTCTAGCAAAATATGAAGAAATCCCGTTTCCAACGAAGGCCTCAAGGAGGTCTGAATACCCACTTGCAGACTTTACAAACAGAGTGTTTCCTAACAGCTCTATGAACAGAAAGGTTAAACTCTGTGAGTTGAACGCACACATCACAAAGGAGTTTCTGAGAATCATTCTGTCTAGTTTTTATACGAAGATATTTCCTTTTCTACCATGGACCTCAAAGCGGCTGAAATCTCCACTTGCAAATTCCACAAAAAGAGTGTTTCAAGTCTGCTCTGTGTGAAGGATCGTTCAACTCTGTGAGTTGAATACACACAACACAAGGAAGATTCTGAGAATTCTTCTGTCTAGCAGAATATGAAGAAATCCCGTTTCCAACGAAGGCCACAAGATGTCAGAATATCCACTTACAGAATTGACAAACAGACTGTTTCCTAACTGCTCTATGAAAAGAATGGTTAAACTCTGTGAGTTGAACGAACACATCACAACGCAGTTTGTGGGAATGATTCTGTCTAGTTTTGAAACGAAGATATTTTCTTTTCTGCCATTGACCTTAAAGCGCTTGAAATCTACACTTGCAAATTGCACAAATAGAGTGTTTCAAATCTGCTCTGTCTAAGGGAACGTTCAACTCTGTGAGTTGAATGCACACAACACAAGGAAGTTACTGGGAATTCTTCTGTCTAGCCTTACATGAAAAAAACCCGTTTCCAACGAAGGCCTCTAAGTGGTCAAAATATCCACGTGCAGACTTTACAAACAGAGTGTTTCCAAACCGCTGAATGAAAAGAAAAGTTAAACTCTGAGAGTTGAACGCACACGTCACGCAGCAGTTTCTGAGAATGATTCTGTCTAGTTTTTATACGAAGATATTTCCTTTTCTGCCTTTGGCCTCAAAGCGCTTGAAATCTCCACTTGCAAATTCCACAAAAAGAGTGTTTCAAATCTGCTCTTTGTAAATGAAAGTTCAACTCTGTGAGTTGAACACACACAACACAAGGAAGTTACTGGGAATCCTCTGTCTAGCAGAATACGAAGAAATCCCGTTTCCAACGAAGGCCTCAAAGAGGTCTGAATATCCACTTGCAGACTTTACAAACAGAGTGTTTCCTAACTGCTCCATGAAAAGAAAAGTTAAACTCTGTGAGATGAACGCACACATCACAAAGGAGTTTCTGAGAATCATTCTGTCTAGTTTCTATAGGAAGATATTTCCTATTCTACCATTGACCTCAAAGCGGCTGAAATCTCCACTTGCAAATTCCACAAAAAGAGTGTTTCAAGTCTGCTCTCTGTAAAGGATCGTTCAACTCTGTGAGTTGAATACACACAACACAAGGAAGTTTCTGAGAATTCTTCTGTCTAGCAGAATATGAAGAAATCCCGTTTCCAACGAAGGCCACAAGATGTCAGAATATCCACTTACAGAATTCACAAACAGACTGTTTCCTAACTGCTCTATGAAAAGAAAGGTTAAACTCTGTGAGTTGAACGAACACATCACAACGCAGTTTGTGGGAATGATTCTGTCTAGTTTTGAAACGAAGATATTTCCTTTTCTGCCATTGACCTCAAAGCGCTTGAAATCTCCACTTGCCAATTGCACAAAAAGAGTGTTTCAAATCTGCTCTGTCTAAGGGAACGTTCAACTCTGTGAGTTGAATGTACACAACACAAGGAAGTTACTGGGAATTCTTCTGTCTAGTAGAATATGAAGAAATCCCGTTTCCAACGAAGGCCACAAGATGTCAGAATATCCACTTACAGAATTTACAAACAGAGTGTTTCCTAACTGCTCTATGAAAAGAAAGCTTAAACTCTGTGAGATGAACGAACACATCACAACGCAGTTTGTGGGAATGATTTCCGTCTATTTTTTCTACGAAGATATTTCCTTTTCTGCCGTTGGCCTCAAAGCGCTTGAAATCTACACTTGCAAATTGCACAAATAGAGTGTTTCAAATCTGCTCTGTCTAAGGGAACGTTCAACTCTGTGAGTTGAATGCACACAACACAAGGAAGTTACTGAGAATTCTTCTCTCAGGCATAATATGAAGAAATCCCGTTTCCAACGAAGGCCTCAAAGAGGTCTGAATATCCACTTGCAGAGTTTACAAACAGAGTGTTTCCTAACTGCTCTATGAAAAGAAAAGTTAAACTCTGTGAGTTGAGCGCACACATCACAAAGAAGTTTCTGAGAATCATTCTGTCTAGTTTTTATACGAAGATATTTCCTTTTCTACCATTGACCTCAACGCGGCTGAAATCTCCACTTGCAAATTCCACAAAAAGAGCGTTTCAAGTCTGCTCTGTGTAAAGGATCATTCAACTCTGTGAGTTGAATACACACAACACAAGGAAGTTACTGAGAATTCTTCTGTCTAGCAGAATATGAAGAAATCCCGTTTCCAACGAAGGCCACAAGATGTCAGAATATCCACTTACAGACTTTACAAACAGTGTGTTTCCTAACTGCTCTATGAACGGAAACGTTAAACTCTGTGAGTTGAAGGAACACATCACAACGCAGTTTGTGGGAATGATTCTGTCTAGTTTTTATAGGAAGATATTTCCTTTTCTACCTTTGACCTGAAAGTGGTTGAAATCACCACTTGCCAATTGCACAAAAAGAGTGTTTCAAATCTGCTCTGTCTAAGGAAACGTTCAACTCTGTGGGTTGAATGTACAAAACACAAGGAAGTTACTGGGAATTCTTCTGTCTAGCAGAATATGAAGAAATCCCGTTTCCAACGAAGGCCGCAAGATGTCAGAATATCCACTTACAGAATTTACAAACAGACTGTTTCCTAACTGCTCTATGAAAAGAAAGGTTAAACTCTGTGAGTTGAACGAACACATCACAACGCAGTTTGTGGGAATGATTCTGTCTAGTTTTTATACGAAGATATTTCCTTTTCTGCCTTTGGCCTCAAAGCGCTTGAAATCTCCACTTGCAAATTACACAAAAAGAGTGTTTCAAATCTGCTCTATCTGAAGGAAGGTTCAACTCTGTCAGTTGAATACACACAACACAAGGAAGTTATTGAGAATTCTTCTTTCTAGCAGAACATGAAGAAATCCCGTTTCCAACGAAAGCCTCAAGGATGTCTGAATATCCACTTGCAGACTTTACAAACAGAGTGTTTCCTAACTGCTCTATGAAAAGAAAGGTTAAACTCTGTGAGTTGAACGCACACATCACAAAGGAGTTTCTGAGAATCATTCTGTCTAGTTTTTATAGGAAGATATTTCCTTTTGTACCTTCGACTTCAAAGCGGCTGAAATCTCCACTTGCAAATTCCACAAAAAGAGTGTTACAAGTCTGCTCTGTGTAAAGGATCGTTCAACTCTGTGAGTTGAATACACACAACACAAGGAAGTTACTGAGAATTCTTCTGTCTAGCCTTACATGAAAAAAACCCGTTTCCAACGAAGAACTCTAAGTGGTCAAATTATCCACGTGCAGACTTTACAAACAGAGTGTTTCCAAACTGCTGAATGAAAACAAAAGTTAAACTCTGAGAGTTGAACGCACACATCGCAGAGCAGTTTCTGAGAATGATTCTGTCTAGTTTTTATACGAAGATATTTCCTTTTCTGCCTTTGGCCTCAAAGCGCTTGAAATCTCCAATTGCAAATTCCACAAAAAGAGTGTTTCAAATCTGCTCTTTGTAAATGAAAGTTCAACTCTGTGAGTTGAACACACACAACACAAGGAAGTTACTGGGAATCCTTCTGTCTAGCAGAATATGAAGAAATCCCGTTTCCAACGAAGGCCTCAAAGAGGTCTGAATATCCACTTGCAGACTTTACAAACAGAGTGTTTCCTAACTGCTCTATGAAAAGAAAGGTTAAACTCTGTGAGTTGAACGCACACATCACAAAAGTGTTTCTGAGAATCATTCTGTCTAGTTTCTATAGGAAGATATTTCCTATTCTACAATTGACCTCAAAGCGGCTGAAATCTCCACTTGCAAATTCCAGAAAAAGAGTGTTTCAAGTCTGCTCTGTGTAAAGGATCGTTCAACTCTGTGAGTTGAATACACACAACACAAGGAAGTTACTGAGAATTCTTCTGTCTAGCAGAATATGAAGAAATCCCGTTTCCAACGAAGGCCTCAAGGAGGTCTGAATATCCACTTGAAGACTTTACAAACAGAGTGTTTCCTAACTGCTCTATGAAAAGAAAGGTTAAACTCTTTGAGTTGAACGCACACATCACAACGCAGTTTGTGGGAATGATTCTGTCTAGCTTTGAAACGAAGATATTTCCTTTTCTGCCATTGACCTTAAAGCGCTTGAAATCTACACTTGCAAATTGCACAAATAGAGTGTTTCAAATCTGCTCTGTCTAAGGGAACTTTCAACTCTGTGAGTTGAATGCACACAACACAAGGAAGTTACTGGGAATTCTTCTGTCAAGCCTTACAGGAAAAAAACCCGTTTCCAACGAAGACCTCTAAGTGGTCAAAATATCCACGTGCAGACTTTACAAACAGAGTGTTTCCAAACTGCTGAATGAAAAGAAAAGTTAAACTCTGAGAGTTGAACGCACACATCGCAGAGCAGTTTCTGAGAATGATTCTGTCTAGTTTTTATACGAAGATATTTCCTTTTTTGCCTTTGGCCCCAAAGCGCTTGAAATCTCCACTTGCAAATTCCACAAAAACAGTGTTTCAAATCTGCTCTCTCTAAATGAAAGTTCAACTCTGTCAGTTGAATACACACAACACAAGGAAGTTACTGAGAATTCTTCTGTCTAGCAGAATATGAAGAAATCCCGTTTCCAAAGAAGGCCTCAAAGAGGTCTGAATATCCACTTGCAGACTTTACAAACAGAGTGTTTCCTAACTGCTCTATGAAAAGAAAGGTTAAACTCTGTGAGTTGAACGCTCACATCACAAAGGAGTTTCTGAGAATCGTTCTGTCTAGTTTCTATAGGAAGATATTTCCTATTCTACCATTGACCTCAAAGCGGCAGAAATCCCCCCTTGCAAATTCCACAAAAAGAGTGTTTCAAGTCTGCTCTGTGTAAAGGATCGTTCAACTCTGTGAGTTGAATACACACAACACAAGGAAGTTACTGAGAATTCTTCTGTCTAGCATAGTATGAAGAAATCCCGTTTCCAACGAAGGCCTCAAAGAGGTCTGAATATCCACTTGCAGACTTTACAAACAGAGTGTTTCCTAACTGCTCTATGAAAAGAAAGGTTAAACTCTGTGAGTTGAAGGCACACATCACAAAGGAGTTTCTGAGAATCATTCTGTCTAGTTTCTATAGGAAGATATTTCCTATTCTACCATTGAACTCAAAGCGGCTGAAATCTCCCCTTGCAAATTCCACAAAAAGAGTGTTTCAAGTCTGCTCTGTGTAAAGGATCGTTCAACTCTGTGAGTTGAATACACACAACACAAGGAAGTTACTGAGAATTCTTCTGTCTAGCAGAATATGAAGAAATCCCGTTTCCAACGAAGGCCTCAAGGAGTTCTGAATATCCACTTGCAGACTTTACAAACAGAGTGTTTCCTAACTGCTCTATGAACAGAAAGGTTAAACTCTGTGAGTTGAACGCACACATCACAAAGGAGTTTATGAGAATCATTCTGTCTAGTTTCTATAGGAAGATATTTCCTATTCTACCATTGACCTCAAAGCGGCTGAAATCTCCACTTGCAAGTTCCACAAAAAGAGTGTTTCAAGTCTGCTCTGTGTTAAGGATCGTTCAACTCTGTGAGTTGAATACACACAACACAAGGCAGTTACTGAGAATTCTTCTGTCTAGCAGAATATGAAGAAATCCCGTTTCCAACGAAGGCCACAAAATGTCAGAATATCCAGTTACAGACTTTACAAACAGAGTGTTTCCTAACTGCTCTATGAACAGAAAGGTTAAACTCTGTGAGTTGAACGAACACATCACAACGCAGTTTGTGGGAATGATTCTGTCTATTTTTGAAACGAAGATATTTCCTTTTCTGCCATTGACCTTAAAGCGCTTGAAATCTCCATTTGCCAATTGCACAAAAAGAGTGTTTCAAATCTGCTCTGTCTAAGGGAACGTTCAACTCTGTGAGTTGAATGTACACAACACAAGGAAGTTACTGGGAATTCTTCTGTCTAGCCTTACAGGAAGAAAACCCGTTTCCAACGAAGGCCTCTAAGTGGTCAAAATATCCACGTGCAGACTTTACAAACAGAGTGTTTCCTAACTGCTCTATGAAAAGAAAGGTTAAACTCTGTGAGTTGAACGCACACATCACAAAGGAGTTTCTGAGAATCATTCTGTCTAGTTTTTATACGAAGATATTTCCTTTTCTGCCTTTGGCCCCAAAGCGCTTGAAATCTCCACTTGCAAATTCCACAAAAACAGTGTTTCAAATCTGCTGTCTCTAAATGATAGTTCAACTCTCTCAGTTGAATACACACAACACAAGGAAGTTACTGAGAATTCTTCTGTCTAGCAGAATATGAAGAAATCCCGTTTCCAACGAAGGCCTCAAGGAGGTCTGAATATCCACTTGCAGACTTTACAAACAGAGTGTTTCCTAACTGCTCTATGAACAGAAAGGTTAAACTCTGTGAGTTGAACGCACACTTCACAAAGGAGTTTCTGAGAATCATTCTGTCTAGTTTCTATAGGAAGATATTTCCTATTCTACCATTGACCTCAAAGCGGCTGAAATCTCCACTTGCAAATTCCACAAAAAGAGTGTTTCAAGTATGTTCTGTGTAAAGGATCGTTCAACTCTGTGAGTTGAATACACACAACACAAGGAAGTTACTGAGAATTCTTCTGTGTAGCATAATATGAAGAAGTCCCGTTTCCAACGAAGGCCTCAAGGAGGTCTGAATATCCACTTGCAGTCTTTACAAACAGAGTGTTTCCTAACTGCTCTATGAAAAGAATGGTTAAACTCTGTGAGTTGAATGCACACATCACAAAGGAGTTTCTGAGAATCATTCTGTCTAGTTTATATACGAAGATATTTCCTTTTCTGCCTTTGGCCCCAAAGCGCTTGAAATCTCCACTTGCAAATTCCACAAAAACAGTGTTTCAAATCTGCTCTCTCTAAATGAAAGTTCAACTCTGTCACTTGAATACACACAACACAAGGAAGTTACTGAGAATTCTTCTGTCTAGCATAATATGAAGAAATCCCGTTTCCAACGAAGGCCTCAAAGGGGTCGGAATATCCACTTGCAGACTTTATAAACAGAGTGTTTACTAACTGCTCTATGAAAAGAAAGGTTAAACTCTGTGAGTTGAACACACACATCACAAAGTAGTTTCTGAGAATCATTCTGTCTAGTTTCTATAAGAAGATATTTCCTATTCTACCATTGACCTCAAAGCGGCTGAAATCTCCACTTGCAAATTCCACAAAAAGAGTGTTTCAAGACTGTTCTTTGTAAAGGATCATTCAACTCTGTGAGTTGAATACACACAACACAAGGAAGTTACTGAGAATTCTTCTTTCTAGCAGAATATGAAGAAATCCCGTTTCCAAGGAAAGCCTCAAGGATGTCTGAATATCCACTTGCAGACTTTACAAAAAGAGTGTTTCCCAACTGCTCTATGAAAAGAAAGGTTAAACTCTGTGAGTTGAACGCACACATCACAAAGGAGTTTCTGAGAATCATTCTGTCTAGTTTTTATACGAAGATATTTCCTTTTCTACCATTGACCTCATAGCGGCTGAAATCTCCACTTGCCAATTCCACAAAAACAGTGTTTCAAGTCTACTCTGTGTAAAGGATCGTTGAACTCTGTGAGTTGAAAACACACAACACAAGGAAGTTTCTGAGAATTCTTCTGTATAGCAGAATATGAAGAAATCCCGTTTCCAAAGAAAGCCTCAAAGATGTCTGAATATCCACTTGCAGACTTTACAAACAGAGTGTTTCCTAACTGCTCTATGAAAAGAAAGGTTAAACTCTGTGAGTTGAACGTACACATCACAAAGGAGTTTCTGAGAATCATTCTGTCTAGTTTCTATAGGAAGATATTTCCTATTCTACCATTGACCTCAAAGCGGCTGAAATCTCCACTTGCAAATTCCACAAAAAGAGTATTTCAAGTCTGCTCTGTGTAAAGGATCGTTCAACTCTGTGAGTTGAATACACACAACACAAGGCAGTTACTGAGAATTCTTCTTTCTAGCAGAATATGAAGAAATCCCGTTTCCAACGAAAGCCTCAAGGAGGTCTGAATATCCACTTGCAGACTTTACAAACAGAGTGTTTCCTAACTGCTCTATGAAAAGAAAGGTTAAACTGTGTGAGTTGAACGCACACATCACAAAGGAGTTTCTCAGAATCATTCTGTCTAGTCTTTATACGAAGATATTTCCTTTTCTACCATTGACCACAAAGCGGCTGAAATCTCCACTTGCAAATTCCACAAAAAGAGTGTTTCAAGTCTGCTCTGTGTAAAGGATCATTCAACTCTGTGAGTTGAATACACACAACACAAGGAAGTTTCTGAGAATTCTTCTGTCTAGCAGAATATGAAGAAATCCCGTTTCCAACGAAGGCCACAAGATGTCAGAATATCCACTTACAAACTTTACAAACAGAGTGTTTCCGAACTGCTCTATGAACAGAAAGGTTAAACTCTGTGTGTTGAACGCACACATCAAAAAGGAGTTTATGAGAATCATTCTGTCTAGTTTTGAAACGAAGATATTTCCTTTTCTGCCATTGACCTCAAAGCGCTTGAAATCTCCACTTGCCAATTGCACAAAAAGAGTGTTTCAAATCTGCTCTGTCTAAGGGAACGTTCAACTCTGTGAGTTGAATGTACACAACACAAGGAAGTTACTGGGAATTCTTCTGTCTAGCCTTACATGAAAAAAACCCGTTTCCAACGAAGGCCACTAAGTGGTCAAAATATCCACGTGCAGACTTTACAAACAGAGTGTTTCCAAACCGCTGAATGAAAAGCAAAGTTAAACTCTGAGAGTTGAACGCACACATCACGCAGCAGTTTCTGAGAATGATTCTGTCTAGTTTTTATACGAAGATATTTCCTTTTCTGCCTTTGGCCTCAAAGCGCTTGAAATCTCCACTTGCAAATTCCACAAAAAGAGTGTTTCAAATCTGCGCTGTGTAAATGAAAGTTCAACTCTGTGAGTTGAACACACACAACACAAGGAAGTTACTGGGAATTCTTCTGTCTAGCAGAATATGAAGAAATCCCGTTTCCAACGAAGGCCTCAAGGAGGTCTGAATATCCACTTGCAGACTTTACAAACAGAGTGTTTCCTAACTGCTCTATGAACAGAAAGGTTAAAGTCTGTGAGTTGAACGAACACATCACAACGCAGTTTGTGGGAATGATTCTGTCTAGTTTTTATATGAAGATATTTCCATTTCTACCATTGACCTCAAAGCGGCTGAAATCTCCACTTACAAATTCCACAAAAAGAGTGTCTCAAGTCTGCTCTGTGTAAACGATCGTTCAACTCTGTGAGTTGAATACACACAACACAAGGAAGTTTCTGAGAATTCTTCTGTCTAGCCTTAGAGGAAAAAAACCCGATTCCAACGAAGGCCTCTAAGTGGTCAAAATATCCACGTGCAGACTTTACAAACAGAGTGTTTCCAAACTGCTGAATGAAAAGAAAAGTTAAACTCTGAGAGTTGAAGGCACACATCGCAGAGCAGTTTCTGAGAATGATTCTGTCTAGTTTTGAAACGAAGATATTTCCTTTTCTGCCTTTGGCCTCAAAGCGCTTGAAATCTCCATTTGCAAATTCCACAAAAAGAGTGTTTCAAATCTGCTCTGTGTAAATGAAAGTTCAACTCTGTGAGTTGAACACACACAGCACAAGGAAGTTACTGGGAATTCCTCTGTCTAGCAGAACATGAAGAAATCCCGCTTCCAACGAAGGCCTCAAAGAAGTCTGAATATCCACTTGCAGACTTAAAAACAGAGTGTTTCCCAACTGCTCTATGAAAAGAAAGGTTGAACTCTGTGAGTTGAACGCACACATCACAAAGCAGTTTCTGAGAATCATTCTGTCTAGTTTTTATACGAAGATATTTCCTTTTCTACCGTTGACCTCAACGCGGCTGAAATCTCCACTTGCAAATTACACAAAAAGAGTGTTTCAAGTCCGCTCTGTGTAAAGGATCGTTCAATTTTGTGAGTTAAATACACACAACACAAGGAAGTTACTGAGAATTCTTCTGTCTAGCACAGTATGAAGAAATCCCGTTTCCAACGAAGGCAGCAAAGAGGTCTGAATATCCACTTGCAGAGTTTACAAACAGAGTGTTTCCTAACTGCTCTATGAAAAGAAAGGTTAAACTCTGTGAGTTGAACGCACACATCACAATGAAGTTTCTGAGAATCATTCTGTCTAGTTTTGAAACGAAGACATTTCCTTTTCTGCCATTGACCTTAAAGCGCTTGAAATCTACACTTGCAAATTGCACAAATAGAGTGTTTCAAATCTGCTCTGTCTAAGGGAACGTTCAACTCTGTGAGTTGAATGCACACAACACAAGGAAGTTACTGGGAATTCTTCTGTCTAGCCTTACATGAAAAAAACCCGTTTCCAACGAAGGCCTCTAAGTGGTCAAAATATCCACTTGCAGACTTTACAAACAGAGTGTTTCCAAACCGCTGAATGAAAAGAAAAGTTAAACTCTGAGAGTTGAACGCACACATCACGCAGCAGTTTCTGAGAATGATTTCTGTCTAGTTTTTCTACGAAGATATTTCCTTTTCTACTATTGACCTCAAAGCGGCTGAAATCTCCACTTGCAAATTCCACAAAAAGAGTGTTTCAAGAATGCTCTGTGTAAAGGATCGTTCAACTCTGTGAGTTGAATACACACAACACAAGGAAGTTACTGAGAATTCTTCTGTCTAGCAGAATATGAAGAAATCCCGTTTCCAACGAAGGCCTCAAAGAGGTCTGAATATCCACTTGCAGACTTTACAAACAGAGTGTTTCCTAACTGCTCTATGAAAAGAAAGGTTAAACTCTGTGAGTTGAACGCACACATCACAAAGTAGTTTATGAGAATCATTCTGTCTAGTTTCTATAGGAAGATATTTCCTATTCTACCATTGACCTCAAAGCGGCTGAAATCTCCACTTGCAAATTCCAGAAAAAGAGTGTTTCAAGTCTGCTCTGTGTAAAGGATCGTTCAACTCTGTGGGTTGAATACACACAACACAAGGAAGTTACTGAGAATTCTTCTGTCTAGCAGAATATGAAGAAATCCCGTTTCCAACGAAGGCCACAAGATGTCAGAATATCCACTTACAGAATTTACAAACAGACTGTTTCCCAACTGCTCTATGAAAAGAAAGGTTAAACTCTGTGAGTTGAACACACACATCACAATGAAGTTTCTGAGAATCATTCTGTCTACTTTTGAAACGAAGATATTTCCTTTTCTGCCAACGACCTTAAAGCGCTTGAAATCTACACTTGCAAATTGCACAAATAGAGTGTTTCAAATCTGCTCTGTCTAACGGAACGTTCAATTCTGTGAGTTGAAGCACACAACACAAGGAAATTACTGGGAAATCTTCTGTCTAGCCTTACAGGAAAAAAACCCGTTTCCAACGAAGGCCTCTAAGTGGTCAAAATATCCACGTGCAGACTTTACAACCAGAGTGTTTCCAAACTGCTGAATGAAAAGAAAAGTTAAACTCTGACAGTTGAACGCACACATCGCAGAGCAGTTTCTGAGAATGATTCTGTCTAGTTTTTATACGAAGATATTTCCTTTTCTGCCTTTGGCCTCAAAGCGCTTGAAATCTCCATTTGCAAATTCCACAAAAAGAGTCTTTCAAATCTGATCTGTGTAAATGAAAGTTCAACTCTGTGAGTTGAACACACACAACACAAGGATGTTACTGGGAATTCTTCTGTCTAGCATAATATGAAGAAATCCCGTTTCCTACGAAGGCCTCAAAGAGGTCTGAATATCCACTTGCAGACTTTACAAACAGAGTGTTTCCTAAATGCTCTATGAAAAGAAAGGTTAAACTCTGTGAGTTGAGCGCACACATCACAAAGAAGTTTCTGAGAATCATTCTGTCTAGTTTCTATAGGAAGATATTTCCTATTCTACCATTGACCTCAAAGCGGCTGAAATCTCCACTTGCAAATTCAAAAAAAAGTGTGTTTCAATCTACTCTGTGTAAAGCATCGTTGAACTCTGTGAGTTGAATACACACAACACAAGGAAGTTACTGAGAATTCTTCTGTCTAGCAGAATATGAAGAAAACCCGTTTCCAACGAAGGCCACAAGATGTCAGAATATCCACTTACAGAATTGACAAACAGACTGTTTCCTAACTGCTCTATGAAAAGAAAGGTTAAACTCTGTGAGTTGAACGAACACATCACAACGCAGTTTGTGGGAATGATTCTGTCTAGTTTTGAAACGAAGATATTTCCTTTTCTGCCATTGACCTGAAAGCGCTTGAAATCTACACTTGCAAATTGCACAAATAGAGTGTTTCAAATCTGCTCTGTCTAAGGGAACGTTCAACTCTGTGAGTTGAATGCACACAACACAAGGAAGTTACTGGGAATTCTTCTGTCTAGCCTTATATGAAAAAAACCCGTTTCCAACGAAGGCCTCTAAGTGGTCAAATTATCAACGAGCAGACTTTACAAACAGAGTGTTTCCAAACTGCTGAATGAAAAGAAAAGTTAAACTCTGAGAGTTGAACGCACACATCGCAGAGCAGTTTCTGAGAATGATTCTGTCCAGTTTTTATACGAAGATATATCCTTTTCTGCCTTTGGCCCCAAAGCGCTTGAAATCTCCACTTGCAAATTCCACAAAAACAGTGTTTCAAATCTGCTCTCTCTAAATGAAAGTTCAACTCTGTCAGTTGAATACACACAACACAAGGAAGTGACTGAGAATTCTTCTGTCTAGCATAATATGAAGAAATCCCGTTTCCAACGAAGGCCTCAAAGAGGTCTGAATATCCACTTGCAGACTTTACAAACAGAGTGTGTCCTAACTGCTCTATGAAAAGAAAGGTTAAACTCTGTGAGTTGAACGCACACATCACAAAGGAGTTTCTGAGAATCATTCTGTCTAGTTTCTATAGGAAGATATTTCCTATTCTACCATTGACCTCAAAGCGGCTGAAATCTCCACTTGCAAATTCCACAAAAAGAGTGTTTCAAGTCTGCTCTCTGTAAAGGATCGTTCAACTCTGTGAGTTGAATACACACAACACAGGGAAGTTACTGAGAATTCTTCTGTCTAGCATAATATGAAGAAATCCCGTTTCCAACGAAGGCCTCAAAGGGGTCTGAATATCCACTTGCAGACTTTATAAACAGAGTGTTTACTAACTGCTCTATGAAAAGAAAGGTTAAATTCTGTGAGTTGAACACACACATCACAAAGGAGTTTCTGAGAATCATTCTGTCTAGTTTTTATACGAAGATATTTCCTTTTCTACCATTGACCTCAAAGCGGCTGAAATCTCCACTTGCAAATTCCACAAAAAGAGTGTTTCAAGTCTGCTCTGTGTAAGGGATCGTTCAACTCTGTGAGTTGAATACACACAACACAAGGAAGTTACTGAGAATTCTTCTGTCTAGCAGAATATGAAGAAATCCCGTTTCCAACGAAGGCCACAAGATGTCAGAATATCCACTTACAGAATTTACAAACAGACTGTTTCCTAACTGCTCTATGAAAAGAAAGGTTAAAGTCTGTGAGTTGAACGAACACATCACAACGCAGTTTGTGGGAATGATTCTGTCTAGTTTTGAAACGAAGATATTTCCTTTTCTGCCATTGACCTCAAAGCGCTTGAAATCTCCACTTGCCAGTTGCACAAAAAGAGTGTTTCAAATCTGCTCTGTCTAAGGGAACGTTCAACTCTGTGAGTTGAATGTACACAACACAAGGAAGTTACTGGGAATTCTTCTGTCTATCCTTACATGAAAAAAACCCGTTTCCAACGAAGGCCTCTAAGTGGTCAAATTATCCACGTGCAGACTTTACAAACAGAGTGTTTCGAAACTGCTGAATGAAAAGAAAAGTTAAACTCTGAGAGTTGAACGCACACATCGCAGAGCAGTTTCTGAGAATGATTCTGTCTAGTTTTTATACGAAGATATATCCTTTTCTGCCTTTGGCCTCAAAGCGCTTGAAATCTCCATTTGCAAATTCCACAAAAAGAGTGTTTCAAATCTGCTCTGTGGAAATGAAAGTTCAACTCTGTGAGTTGAACACACACAACACAAGGAAGTTACTGGGAATTCTTCTGTCTAACATAATATGAAGAAATCCCGTTTCCAACGAAGGCCTCAAAGGGGTCTGAATATCCAATTGCAGACTTTATAAATAGAGTGTTTACTAACTGCTCTATGAAAAGAAAGGTTAAACTCTGTGAGTTGAACACACACATCACAAAGGAGTTTCTGAGAATCATTCTGTCTAGTTTCTATAGGAAGATATTTCCTATTCTACCATTGACCTCAAAGCGGCTGAAATCTCCACTTGCAAATTCCACAAAAAGAGTGTTTCAAGTCTGCTCTGTGTAAAGGATCGTTGAACTCTGTGAGTTGAATACACACATCACAAGGAAGTTACTGAGAATTCTTCTCTCTAGCAGAATATGAAGAAATCCCGTTTCCAACGAAGGCCTCAAAGAGGTCTGAATATCCACTTGCACACTTTACAAACAGAGTGTTTCCTAACTGCTCTATGAAAAGAAAGGTTAAACTCTGTGAGTTGAACGCACACATCACAAAGGAGTTTCTGAGAATCATTCTGTCTAGTTTTTATACAAAGATATTTCCTTTTCTACCATTGACCTCAAAGCGGCTGAAATCTCCACTTGCAAATTCCACAAAAAGAGTGTTTCAAGTCTACTCTGTGTAAAGCATCGTTCAACTCTGTGAGTTGAAAACACACAACACAAGGAAGTTTCTGAGAATTCTTCTGTCTAGTCTTACATGAAAAAAAACCCGTTTCCAACGAAGGCCTCTAAGTGGTCAAAATATCCACTTGCAGACTTTACAACCAGAGTGTTTCCTAACTGCTCTATGAAAAGAAAGGTTAAACTCTGTGAGTTGAACGCACACATCACAAAGGAGTTTCTGAGAATCATTCTGTCTAGTTTTGAAACGAAGATATTTCCTTTTCTGCCTTTGGCCTCAAAGTGCTTGAAATCTCCACTTGCAAATTCCACAAAAAGAGTGTTTCAAATCTGCTCTGTGTAAATGGAAGTTCAACTCTGTGAGTTGAACACACACAACACAAGGAAGTTACTGGGAATTCTTCTGTCTAGCACAGTATGAAGAAATCCGGTTTCCAACGAAGGCCTCAAAGAGGTCTGAATATCCACTTGCAGACTTTACAAACAGAGTGTTTCCTAACTGCTCTATGAAAAGAAGGGTTAAACTCTGTGAGTTGAACACACACATCTCAAAGGAGTTTCTGAGAATCATTCTGTCTAGTTTTTATACGAAGATATTTCCTTTTCTACCATTGACCTCAAAGCGGCTGAAATCTCCACTTGCAAATTCCACAAAAAGAGTGTTTCAAGTCTGCTCTGTGTAAAGGATCGTTCAACTCTGTGAGTTGAATACACACAACACAAGGAAGTTTCTGAGAATTCTTCTTTCTAGCAGAATATGAAGAAATCCCGTTTCCAACGAAAGCCTCAAGGATGTCTGAATATCCACTTGCAGACTTTACAAACAGAGTGTTTCCTAACTGCTCTATGAATAGAAAGGTTAAACTCTGTGAGTTGAACGCACACATCACAAAGGAGTTTCTGAGAATCATTCTGTCTAGTTTTGAAACGAAGATATTTCCTTTTCTGCCATTGACCTCAAAGCGCTTGAAATCTCCACTTGCCAATTGCACAAAAAGAGTGTTTCAAATCTGCTCTGTCTAAGGGAACGTTCAACTCTGTGAGTTGAATGTATACAACACAAGGAAGTTACTGGGAATTCTTCTGTCTAACCTTACATGACAAAAACCCGCTTGCAACGAAGGCCTCTAAGTGGTCAAAATATCCACGTGCAGACTTTACAAACAGAGTGTTTCCAAACTGCTGAATGAAAAGAAAAGTTAAACTCTGAGCGCTGAAGGCACACATCGCAGAGCAGTTTCTGAGAATGATTCTGTCTAGTTTTTATACGAAGATATTTCCTTTTCTGCCTTTGGCCTCAAAGCGCTTGAAATCTCCACTTGCAAATTCCACAAAAAGAGTGTTTCCAATCTGCTCTGTGTAAATGAAAGTTCAACTCTGTGAGTTGAATACACACAACACAAGGAAGTTACTGGGAATTCTTCTGTTTAGCATAATATGAAGAAATCCCGTTTCCAACGAAGGCCTCAAGGAGGTCTGAATATCCACTTGCAGACTTTACAAACAGAGTGTTTCCTAACTGCTCTATGAGAAGAAAAGTTAAACTCTGTGAGTTGAACGCACACATCACAAAAGATTTTCTGAGAATCATTCTGTCTAGTTTTTATACGAAGGATATTTCATTTTCTACCATTGACCTCAAAGCGGCTGAAATCTCCACTTGCAAATTCCACAAAAAGAGTGTTTCAAATCTGCTCTGTGTAAACCATCGTTCAACTCTGTGAGTTGAATACACACAACACAAGGAAGATTCTGAGAATTCTTCTGTCTAGCATAATATGAAGAAATCCCGTTTCCAACGAAGGCCTCAAGGAGGTCTGAATATCCACTTACAGACTTAACAAACAGAGTGTTTCCTAACTGCTCTATGAAAAGAAAGGTTAAACTCTGTGAGTTGAACGCACACTTCACAAAGGAGTTTATGAGAATCATTCTGTCTAGTTTTTATACGAAGATATTTCCTTTTCTATCATTGACCTCAAAGCGGCTGAAATCTCCACTTGCAAATTCCACAAATAGAGTGTTTCAAGTCTGCTCTGTGTAAAGGATCGTTCAACTCTGTGAGTTGAATACACACAACACAAGGAAGTTACTGAGAATTCTTTCTGTCTAGCAGAATATGAAGAAATCCCGTTTCCAACGAAGGCCACAAGATGTCAGAATATCTACTTACAGACTTTACAAACAGAGTGTTTCCTAACTGCTCTATGAACAGAAAGGTTAAACTCTGTGAGTTGAACGAACACATCACAACGCAGTTTTTGGGAATGATTCTGTCTAGTTTTGAAACGAAGATATTTCCTTTTCTGCCATTGACCTTAAAGCGCTTGAAATCTACACTTGCAAATTGCACAAATAGAGTGTTTCAAATCTGCTCTGTCTAAGGAAACGTTCAACTCTGTGAGTTGAATGCACACAACACAAGGAAGTTACTGGGAATTCTTCTGTCTAGCCTTACATGAAAAAAACCCGTTTCCAACGAAGGCCTCTAAGTGGTCAAAATATCCACGTGCAGACTTTACAAACAGAGTGTTTCCAAACCGCTGAATGAAAAGAAAAGTTAAACTCTGAGAGTTGAACGCAAACATCACGCAGCAGTTTTTGAGAATGATTCTGTCTAGTTTCTATAGGAAGATATTTCCTATTCTACCATTGATCTCAAAGCGGCTGAAATCTCCACTTGCAAATTCCACAAAAAGAGTGTTTCAAGTCTGCTCTCTGTAAAGGATCGTTCAACTCTGTGAGTTGAATACACACAACACAAGGAAGTTACTGAGAATTCTTCTGTCTAGCAGGATATGAAGAAATCCCGTTTCCAACAAAGGCCTCAAGGAGGTCTGAATATCCACTTGCAGACTTTACAAACAGAGTGTTTCCTAACTCCTCTATGAAAAGAAAGGTTAAACTCTGTGAGTTGAACGCACACATCACAAAGGAGTTTCTGAGAATCATTCTGTCTAGTTTTTATAGGAAGATATTTCCTTTTCTACCTTTGACTTCAAAGCGGCTGAAATCTCCACTTGCAAATTCCACAAAAAGTGTGTTACAAGTCTGCTCTGTCTAAGGGAACGTTCAACTCTGTGAGTTGAATGTACACAACACAAGGAAGTTACTGGGAATTCTTCTGTCTAGCATAATATGAAGAAATCCCGTTTCCAACGAAGGCCTCAAGGAGGTCTGAATATCAACTTGCAGACTCTACAAACAGAGTGTTTCCTAACTGCTCTATGAAAAGAAAGGTTAAACTCTGTGAGTTGAACGCACACATCACAAAGGAGTTTCTGAGAATCATTCTGTCTAGTTTCTATAGGAAGATATTTCCTATTCTACCATTGACCTCAAAGCGGCTGAAATCTCCACTTGCAAATTCCAGAAAAAGAGTGTTTCAAGTCTGCTCTGTGTAAAGGATCGTTGAAATCTGTGAGTTGAATACACACAATACAATGAAGTTACTGAGAATTCTTCTGTCTAGCATTATATGAAGAAATCCTGTTTCCAACGAAGGCCTCTAAGAGGTCTGAATATCCACCTGAAGACTTTACAAACAGAGTGTTTCCTAACTGTTCTATGAAAAGAAAGGTTAAACTCTGTGAGTTGAATGCACACATCACAAAGGAGTTTCTGAGAATCATTCTGTCTAGTTTTTATAGGAAGATATTTCCTTTTCTACCTTTGACTTCAAAGCGGCTGAAATCTCCACTTGCAAATTCCACAAAAAGAATGTTACAAGTCCGCTCTGTGTAAAGGATCGTTCAACTCTGTGAGTTGAATACACACAACACAAGGAAGTTACTGAGAATTCTTCTGTCTAGCACAATACGAAGAAATCCCGTTTCCAACGAAGGCCACAAGATGTCAGAATATCCACTTACAGACTTTACAAACAGAGTGTTTCCTAACTGCTCTATGAACAGAAAGGTTAAACTCTGTGAGTTGAACGAACACATCACAACGCAGTTTGTGGGAATGATTCTGTCTAGTTTTGAAACGAAGATATTTCCTTTTCTACCATTGACCTTTAAGCGCTTGAAATCTACACTTGCAAATTGCACAAATAGAGTGTTTCAAATCTGCTCTGTCTAAGGGAACGTTCATCTCTGTGAGTTGAATGCACACAACACAAGGAAGTTACTGGTAATTCTTCTGTCTAGCCTTACATGACAAAAACCCGTTTCCAACGAAGACCTCTAAGTGGTCAAAATATCCACGTGCAGGCTTTACAAACAGAGTGTTTCCAAACTGCTGAATGAAAAGAAAAGTTAAACTCTGAGAGCTGAAGGCACACATCGCAGAGCAGTTTCTGAGCATGATTCTGTCTAGTTTTTATACGAAGATATTTCGTTGTCTGCCTTTGACCCCAAAGCGCTTGAAATCTCCACTTGCAAATTCCACAAAAACAGTGTTTCAAATCTGCTCTCTCTAAATGAAAGTTCAACTCTGTCAGTTGAATACACACAACACAAGGAAGTTACTGAGAATTCTTCTGTCTAGCATAATATGAAGAAATCCCGTTTCCAACGAAGGCCTCAAAGGGGTCTGAATATCCACTTGCAGACTTTATAAACAGAGTGTTTACTAACTGCTCTATGAAAAGAAAGGTTAAACTCTGTGAGTTGAACACACACATCACAAAGGATTTTGTGGGAATCATTCTGTCTAGTTTCTATAGGAAGATATTCCCTATTCTACCATTGACCTCAAAGCGGCTGAAATCTCCACTTCCAAATTCCACAAAAAGAATGTTTCAAGTCTGCTCTGTGTAAAGGATCGTTCAACTCTGTGAGTTGAATACACACAACACAAGGAAGTTACTGAGAATTCTTCTGTCTAGCAGAATATGAAGAAATCCCGTTTCCATCGAAGGCCACAAGATGTCAGAATATCCACTTACAGAATTTACAAACAGACTGTTTCCTAACTGCTCTATGAAAAGAAAGGTTAAACTCTGTGAGATGAACGAACACATCACAACGCAGTTTTTGGGAATGATTCTGTCTAGTTTTGAAACGAAGATATTTCCTTTTCTGCCGTTGACCTGAAAGCGCTTGAAATCTATACTTGCAAATTGCACAAATAGAGTGTTTCAAATCTGCTCTGTCTAAGGGAACGTTCAACTCTGTGAGTTGAATGCACACAACACAAGGAAGTTACTGGGAATTCTTCTGTCTAGCCTTACATGAAAAAAACCCGTTTCCAACGAAGGCCTCAAAGAGGTCTGAGTATCCACTTGCAGACTTTACAAACAGAGTGTTTCCTAATGGCTCTATGAAAAGAAAAGTTAAACTCTGTGAGTTGAACGCACACATCACAAAGGAGTTTCTGAGAATCGTTCTGTCTAGTTTTTATACGAAGATATTACCTTTTCTGCCTTTGGCCTCAAAGCGCTTGAAATCTCCACTTGCAAATTCCACAAAAAGAGTGTTTCAAATCTGCTCTGGGTAAATGAAAGTTCAACTCTGTGAGTTGAACACACACAACACAAGGAAGTTACTGGGAATTCTTCTGTCTAGCATAATATGAAGAAATCCCGTTTCCAACGAAGGCCTCAAAGGGGTCTGAATATCCACTTGCAGACTTTATAAACAGAGTGTTTACTAACTGCTCTATGAAAAGAAAGGTTAAACTGTGTGAGTTGAACACACACATCACAAAGGAGTTTCTGAGAATCATTCTGTCTAGTTTTTATATGAAGATATTTCCTTTTCTACCATTGACCTCAACGCGGCTGAAATCTCCACTTGCAAATTCCACAAAAAGAGTGTTTCAAGTCTGCTCTGTGTAAAGGATCGTTCAACTCTGTGAGTTGAATACACACAACACAAGGAAGTTACTGAGAATTCTTCTGTCTAGCAGAATATGAAGAAATCCCGTTTCCAACGAAGGCCACAAGATGTCAGAATATCCACTTACAGACTTTACAAACAGAGTGTTTCCTAACTGCTCTATGAACAGGAAGGTTAAACTCTGTGAGTTGAACGAACACATCACAACGAAGTTTGTGGGAATGATTCTGTCTAGTTTTGAAACGAAGATATTTCCTTTTCTGCCGTTGACCTTAAAGCGCTTGAAATCTACACTTGCAAATTGCACAAAGAGAGTGTTTCAAATCTGCTCTGTCTAAGGGAACGTTCAACTCTGTGAGTTGAATGCACACAACACAAGGAAGTTACTGGGAATTCTTCTGTCTAGCCTTACAGGAAAAAAACCCGTTTCCAACGAAGGCCTCTAAGTGGTGAAAATATCCACGTGCAGACTTTACAAACAGAGTGTTTCCAAACTGCTGAATGAAAAGAAAAGTTAAACTCTGAGAGTTCAACGCACACATCGCAGAGCAGTTTCTGAGAATGATTCTGTCTAGTTTTTATACGAAGATATTTCCTTTTCTGCCTTTGGCCTCACAGCGCTTGAAATCTCCACTTGCAAATTCCACAAAAAGAGTGTTTCAAATCTGCTCTGTGTAAATCAAAGTTCAACTCTGTGAGTTGAACACACACAACACAAGGAAGTTACTGGGAATTCTTCTGTCTAGCAGAATATGAAGAAATCCCGTTTCCAATGAAGGCCTCAAAGAGGTCTGAATATCCACTTGCAGACTTTACAAACAGAGTGTTTCCTAACTGCTCTATGAAAAGAAAGGTTAAACTCTGTGAGTTGAACGCACACATCACAAAGGAGTTTCTGAGAATCGTTCTGTCTAGTTTTTCTACGAAGATATTTCCTTTTCGACTATTGACCTCAAAGCGGCTGAAATCTCCACTTGCAAATTCCACAAAAAGAGTGTTTCAAGTCTGCTCTGTGTAAAGGGATCGTTCAACTCTGTGAGTTGAATACACACAACACAAGGAAGTTACTGAGAATTCTTCTATCTAGCAGAATATGAAGAAATCCCGTTTCCAACGAAGGCCACAAGATGTCAGAATATGCACTTTCAGACTTTACAAACAGAGTGTTTCCTAACTGCTCTATGAACAGAAAGGTTAAACTCTGTGAGTTGAACGAACACATCACAACGCAGTTTGTGGGAATGATTCTGTCTAGTTTTGAAACGAAGATATTTCCTTTTCTGCCATTGACCTTAAAGCGCTTGAAATCTACACTTGCAAATTGCACAAATAGAGTGTTTCAAATCTGCTCTGTCTAAGGGAACGTTCAACTCTGTGAGTTGAATGCACACAACACAAGGAAGTTACTTGGAATTCTTCTGTCTAGCCTTACATGAAAAAAACCCGTTTCCAACGAAGGCCTCTGAGTGGTCAAAATTTCCACGTGCAGACTTTACAAACAGAGTGTTTCCAAACCGCTGAATGAAAAGAAAAGTTAAACTCTGAGAGTTGAACGCACACATCACGCAGCAGTTTCTGAGAATGATTCTGTCTAGTTTTGAAACGAAGATATTTCCTTTTCTGCCTTTGGCCCCAAAGCGCTTGAAATCTCCACTTGCAAATTCCACAAAAAGAGTGTTTCAAATCTGCTCTGTGTAAATGAAAGTTCAACTCTGTGATTTGAACACACACAACACAAGGAAGTTACTGGGAATTCTTCTGTCTAGACTTATATGAAAAAAACCCGTTTCCAACGAAGGCCTCAAAGAGGTCTGAATATCCACTTGCAGACTTTACAAACAGAGTGTTTCCTAACTGCTCTATGAAAAGAAAGGTTAAACTCTGTGAGTTGAACGCACACATCACAAAGGAGTTTCTGAGAATCATTCTGTCTAGTTTTTATACGAAGATATTTCCTTTTCTACCATTGACCTCAAAGCGGCTGAAATCTCCAATTGCTAATTCCACAAAAAGAGTGTTTCAAATCTGCTCTGTGTAAACCATCGTTCAACTCTGTGAGTTGAATACACACAACACAAGGAAGTTACTGAGTATTCTTCTGTCTAGCACAGTATGAAGAAATACCGTTTCCAACGAAGGCCTCAAAGAGGTCTGAATATCCACTTGCAGAGTTTACAAACAGAGTGTTTCCTAACTGCTCTATGAAAAGAACGGTTAAACTCTGTGAGTTGAACGCACACATCACAATGAAGTTTCTGAGAATCATTCTGTCTAGTCTTTATACGAAGATATTTCCTTTTCTGCCTTTGGCCCCAAAGCGCTTGAAATCTCCACTTGCAAATTCCACAAAAACAGTGTTTCAAATCTGCTCTCTCTAAATGAAAGTTCAACTCTGTCAGTTGAATACACACAACACAAGGAAGTTACTGAGAATTCTTCTTTCTAGCAGAATATGAAGAAATCCCGTTTCCAACGAAAGCCTCAAGGATGTCTGAATATCCACTTGCAGACTGTACAAACAGAGTGTTTCCTAACTGCTCTATGAAAAGAAAGGTTAAACTCTGTGAGTTGAACGCACACATCACAAAGGAGTTTCTGAGAATCATTCTGTCTAGTTTTTATACGAAGATAATTCCTTTTCTACCATTGACCTCAAAGCGGCTGAAATCTCCACTTACAAATTCCGCAAAAAGAGTGTTTCAAGTCTGCTCTGTGTAAAGGATCGTTCAACTCTGTGAGTTGAATACACACAACACAAGGGAAGTTACTGAGAATTCTTCTCTCTAGCAGAATATGAAGAAATCCCGTTTCGAACGAAGGCCTCAAAGAGGTCTAAATATCCACTTGCAGACTTTACAAACAGAGTGTTTCCTAACTGCTCTATGAAAAGAAAGGTTAAACTCTGTGAGCTGAACGAACACATCACATAGGAGTTTCTGAGAATCATTCTGTCTAGTTTTTATAGGAAGATATTTCCTTTTCTACCATTGACCTCAAAGCGGCTGAAATCTCCACTTGCAAATTCCACAAAAAGAGTGTTTCAAGTCTGCTCTGTGTAAAGGATCGTTGAACTCTGTGAGTTGAATACACACAACACAATGAAGTTACTGAGAATTCTTCTTTCTAGCAGAATATGAAGAAATCCCGTTTCCAACGAAAGCCTCAAGGATGTCTGAATATCCACCTGCAGACTTTACAAACAGAGTGTTTCCTAACTGCTCTATGAAAAGAAAGGTTAAACTCTGTGAGTTGAACGCACACATCACAAAGGAGTTTCTGAGAATCATCTGTCTAGTTTCTATAGGAAGATATTTCCTATTCTACCATTGACCTCAAAGCGGCTGAAATCTCCACTTGCAAATTCCACAAAAAGAGTGTTTCAAGTCTGCTCTGTGTAAAGGATCGTTCAACTCTGTGAGTTGAATACACACAACACAAGGAAGTTACTGAGAATTCTTTCTGTCTAGCAGAATATGAAGAAATCCCGTTTCCAACGAAGGCCACAAGATGTCAGAATATCCACTTACAGACTTTACAAACAGTGTGTTTCCTAACTGCTCTATGAACAGAAAGGTTAAACTCTGTGAGTTGAACGAACACATCACAACGCAGTTTGTGGGAATGATTCTGTCTAGTTTTGAAACGAAGAATATTTCCTTTTCTGCCATTGACCTTAAAGCGCTTGAAATCTCCATTTGCCAATTGCACAAAAAGAGTGTTTCAAATCTGCTCTGTCTAAGGGAACGTTCAACTCTGTGAGTTGAATGTACACAACACAAGGAAGTTACTGGGAATTCTTCTGTCTAGCCTTACAGGAAAAAAACCCGTTTCCAACGAAGTCCTCTAAGTGGTCAAGTTATCCACGTGCAGACTTTACAAACAGATTGTTTCCAAACTGCTGAATGAAAAGAAAAGTTAAACTCTGAGAGTTGAACGCACACATCGCAGAGCAGTTTCTGAGAATGATTCTGTCTAGTTTTTATATGAAGATATTTCCTTTTCTGCCTTTGGCCTCAAAGCGCTTGAAATCTCCACCTGCAAATTCCACAAAAAGAGTGTTTCAAATCTGCTCTGTGTAAATGAAAGTTCAACTCTGTGAGTTGAACACACACAACACAAGGAAGTTACTGGGAATTCTTCTGTCTAGCCTTATATGAAAAAACCCGTTTCCAACGAAGGCCTCAAAGAGGTCTGAATATCCACTTGCAGACTTTACAAACAGAGTGTTTCCTAACTGCTCTATGAAAAGAAAGGTTAAACTCTGTGAGTTGAACACACACATCACAAAGGAGTTTCTGAGAATCATTCTGTCTAGTTTCTATAGGAAGATGTTTCCTATTCTACCATTGACCTCAAAGCGGCTGAAATCTCCAGTTGCAAATTCCACAAAAAGAATGTTTCAAGTCTGCTCTGTGTAAAGCATCGTTCAACTCTGTGAGTTGAATACACACAACACAAGGAAGTTACTGAGAATTATTCTGTCTAGCAGAATATGAAGAAATCCCGTTTCCAACGAAGGCCACAAGATGTCAGAATATCCACTTACAGAATTTACAAACAGACTGTTTCCTAACTGCTCTATGAAAAGAAAGGTTAAACTCTGTGAGTTGAACGAACACATAACAACGCAGTTTGTGGGAATGATTCTGTCTAGTTTTTATACGAAGATATTTCCTTTTCTACCATTGACCTCAAAGAGGCTGAAATCACCACTTGCCAATTGCACAAAAAGAGTGTTTCAAATCTGCTCTGTCTAAGGGAACGTTCAACTCTGTGAGTTGAATGTACACAACACAAGGAAGTTACTGGGAATTCTTCTGTCTAGCCTTACATGAAAAAAACCCGTTTCCAACGAAGGCCTCTAAGTGGTCAAAATATCCACGTGCAGACTTTACAAACAGAGTGTTTCCAAACCGCTGAATGAAAAGAAAAGTTAAACTTTGAGAGTTGAACGCACGCATCACGCAGCAGTTTCTGAGAATGATTCTGTCTAGTTTTTATACGAAGATATTTCCTTTTCTGCCTTTGGCCTCAATGCGCTTGAAATCTCCATTTGCAAATTCCACAAAAAGAGTGTTTCAAATCTGCTCTGTGTAAATGAAAGTTCAACTCTGTGAGTTGAACACACACAACACAAGGAAGTTACTGGGAATTCTTCTGTCTAGCCTTATATGAAAAAATCCCGTTTCCAACGAAGGTCTCAAAGAGGTCTGAATATCCACTTGCAGACTTTACAAACAGAGTGTTTCCTAACTGCTCTATGAAAAGAAAGGTTAAACTCTGTGAGTTGAACACACACATCACAAAGGAGTTTCTGAGAATCATTCTGTCTAGTTTTTATAGGAAGATATTTCCTTTTCTACCTTTGACTTCAAAGCGGCTGAAATCTCCACTTGCAAATTCCAGAAAAAGAGTGTTACAAGTCTGCTCTGTGTAAAGGATCGTTCAACTCTGTGAGTTGAATACACACAACACAAGGAAGTTACTGGGAATTCTTCTGTCTAGCAGAATATGAAGAAATCCCGTTTCCAACGAAGGCCACAAGATGTCAGAATATCCACTTACAGACTTTACAGAGTGTTTCCTAACTGCTCTATGAAGAGAAAGGTTAAACTCTGTGAGTTGAACGAACACATCACAACGCAGTTTGTGGGAATGATTCTGTCTAGTTTTGAAACGACGATATTCCCTTTTCTGCCATTGACCTTAAAGCGCTTGAAATCTCCACTTGCCAATTGCACAAAAAGAGTGTTTCAAATCTGCTGTGTCTAAGGGAACCTTCAAATCTGTGAATTGAATGTACACAACACAAGGAAGTTACTGGGAATTCTTCTGTCTAGCCTTATATGAAAAAAACCCGTTTCCAACGAAGGCCTCTAAGTGGTCAAAATATCCACGTGCAGACGTTACAAACAGAGTGTTTCCAAACTGCTGAATGAAAAGAAAAGTTAAACTCTGAGAGTTGAACGCACACATCGCAGAGCAGTTTCTGAGAATGATTCTGTCTAGTTTTTATACGAAGATATTTCCTTTTCTGCATTTGGCCTCAAAGCGCTTGAAATCTCCACTTGCAAATTCCACAAAAAGAGTGTTTCCAATCTGCTCTGTGTAAATGAAAGTTCAACTCTGTGAGTTGAATACACACAACACAAGGAAAGTTACTGGGAATTCTTCTGTCTAACATAGTATGAAGAAATCCCGTTTCCAACGAAGGCCTCAAAGAGGTCTGAATATCCAATTGCAGAGTTTACAAACAGAGTGTTTCCTAACTGCTCTATGTAAAGAAAGGTTAAACTCTGTGAGTTGAACGCACACATCACAAAGAAGTTTCTGAGAATCATTCTGTCTAGTTTCTATAGGAAGATATTTCCTATTCTACCATTGACCTCAAAGCGGCTGAAATCTCCACTTGCAAATTCCAAAAAAAGAGTGTTTCAAGTCTGCTCTGTGTAAAGGATCGTTCAACTCTGTGAGTTTAATACACACAACACAAGGAAGTTACTGAGAATTCTTCTGTCTAGCATAGTATGAAGAAATCCTGTTTCCAACGAAGGCCTCAAAGAGGTCTGAATATCCACTTGCAGAGTTTACAAACAGAGTGTTTCCTAACTGCTCTATGAAAAGAAAGGTTAAACTCTGTGAGTTGAACGCACACATCACAAAGAAGTTTCTGAGAATCATTCTGTCTAGTTTTTCTACGAAGATATTTCCTTTTCTACTATTGACCTCAAAGCGGCTGAAATCTCCACTTGCAAATTCCACAAAAACAGTGTTTCAAATCTGCTCTCTCTAAATGAAAGTTCAACTCTGTCAGTTGAATACACACAACACAAGGAAAGTTACTGAGAATTCTTCTGTCTAGCCTTATATGAAAAAAACCCGTTTCCAACGAAGGCCTCAAAGAGGTCTGAATATCCACTTGCAGACTTTACCAACAGAGTGTTTCCTAACTGCTCTATGAAAAGAAAGGTTAAACTCTGTGAGTTGAACACACACATCACAAAGGCGTTTCTGAGAATCATTGTGTCTAGTTTTTATACGAAGATATTTCCTTTTCTACCATTGACCTCAACGCGGCTGAAATCTCCACTTGCAAATTCCACAAAAAGAGTGTTTCAAGTCCTCTCTGTGTAAAGGATCGTTCAACTCTGTGAGTTGAGTACACACAACACAAGGAAGTTACTGAGAATTCTTCTGTCTAGCCTTACATGAAAAAACCCCGTTTCCAACGAAGGCCTCTAAGTGGTCAAATTATCCACGTGCAGACTTTACAAACAGAGTGTTTCCAAACTGCTGAATGAAAAGAAAAGTTAAACTCTGAGAGTTGAACGCACACATCGCAGAGCAGTTTCTGAGAATGATTCTGTCTAGTTTTGAAACGAAGATATTTCCTTTTCTGCCTTTGGCCTCAAAGCGCTTGAAATCTCCATTTGCAAATTCCACAAAAAGAGTGTTTCAAATCTGCTCTGTGTAAATGAAAGTTCAACTCTGTGAGTTGAACACACACAACAGAAGGAAGTTACTGGGAATTCTTCTGTCTAGCACAGTATGGAGAAATCCCGTTTCCAACGAAGGCCTCAAAGGAGGTCTGAATATCCACTTGCAGAGTTTACAAACAGAGTGTTTCCTAACTGCTCTATGAACAGAAAGGTTAAACTCTGTGAGTTGAACGCACACATCACAAAGAAGTTTCTGAGAATCATTCTGTCTAGTTTTTATACGAAGATATTTCCTTTTCTAACATTGACCTCAAAGCGGCTGAAATCTCCACTTGCAAATTCCACAAAAAGAGTGTTTCAAGTCTGCTCTGTGTAAACTATCGTTCAACTCTGTGAGTTGAATACACACAACACAAGGAAGTTTCTGAGAATTCTTCTGTCTAGCAGAATATGAAGAAATCCCGTTTCCAACGAAGGCCACAAGATGTCAGGATATCCACTTACAGAATTTACAAACAGACTGTTTCCTAACTGCTCTATGAAAAGAAAGGTTAAACTCTGTGAGATGAACGAACACATCACAACGCAGTTTGTGGGAATGATTCTGTGTAGTTTTGAAACGAAGATATTTCCTTTTCTGCCATTGACCTTAAAGCGCTTGAAATCTCCACTTCCCAATTGCACAAAAAGAGTGTTTCAAATCTGCTCTGTCTAAGGGAACGTTCAACTCTGTGAGTTGAATGTACACAACACAAGGAATTTACTGGGAAATCTTCTGTCTAGCCTTACGTGAATAAAACCCGTTTCCAACGAAGGCCTCTAAGTGGTCAAGTTATCCACGTGCAGACTTTACAAACAGAGTGTTTCCAAACTGCTGAATGAAAAGAAAAGTTAAACTCTGAGAGTTGAACGCACACATCGCAGAGCAGTTTCTGAGAATGATTCTGTCTAGTTTTGAAACGAAGATATTTCCTTTTCTGTCTTTGGCCTCAAAGCGCTTGAAATCTCCATTTGCAAATTCCACAAAAAGAGTCTTTCAAATCTGCTCTGTGTAAATGAAAGTTCAACTCTGTGAGTTGAACACACACAACACAAGGATGTTAGTGGTAATTCTTTTGTCTACCCTTATATGAAAAAAACCCGTTTCCAACGAAGGCCTCAAAGAGGTCTGAATATCCACTTGCAGACTTTACAAACAGAGTGTTTCCTAACTGCTCTATGAAAAGAAAGGTTAAACTCTGTGAGTTGAACGCACACATCACAAAGGAGTTTCTGAGAATCATTCTGTCTAATTTTTATACGAAGATATTTCCTTTTCTACCATTGACCTCAAAGCGGCTGAAATCTCCACTTGCAAATTCCACAAAAAGAGTGTTTCAAGTCTGCTCTGTGTAAAGGATCGTTCAACTCTGTGAGTTGAATACACACAATAAAAGGAAGTTACTGAGAATTCTTCTGTCTAGCAGAACATGAAGAAATCCCGTTTCCAACGAAGGCCACAAGATGTCAGAATATCCACTTACAGAATTTACAAACAGAGTGTTTCCTAACTGCTCTATGAAAAGAACGGTTAAACTCTGTGAGTTGAACGAACACATCACAACGCAGTTTGTGGGAATGATTCTGTCTAGTTTTGAAACGAAGATATTTCCTTTTCTGCCATTGACCTTAAAGCGCTTGAAATCTCCACTTGCCAATTTCTCAAAAAGAGTGTTTCAAATCTGCTCTGTCTAAGGGAACGTTCAACTCTGTGAGTTGAATGTACACAACACAAGGAAGTTACTGGGAATTCTTCTGTCTAGCCTTACATGAAAAAAAACCCGTTTCCAACGAAGGCCACTAAGTGGTCAAAATATCCACGTGCAGACTTTACAAACAGAGTGTTTCCAAACCGCTGAATGAAAAGAAAAGTTAAACTCTGAGAGTTGAACGCACACATCACGCAGCAGTTTCTGAGAATGATTCTGTCTAGTTTTTATACGAAGATATTTCCTTTTCTGTCCTTGGCCCCAAAGCGCTTGAAATCTCCACTTGCAAATTCCACAAAAACAGTGTTTCAAATCTGCTCTCTCTAAATGAAAGTTCAACTCTGTCAGTTGAATACACACAACACAAGGAAGTTACTGAGAATTCTTCTGTCTAGCAGAATATGAAGAAATCCTGTTTCCAACGAAGGCCTCAAGGAGGTCTGAATATCCACTTGCAGACTTTACAAACAGAGTGTTTCCTAACTGCTCTATGAAAAGAAAAGTTAAACTCTGTGAGTTGAACGCACACATCACAAAGGAGTTTCTGAGAATCATTCTGTCTAGTTTTTATACGAAGTTATTTCCTTTTCTACCATTGACCTCAACGCGGCTGAAATCTCCACTTGCAAATTCCACAAAAAGAGTGTTTCAAGTCTGCTCTGTGTAAAGGATCGTTCAACTCTGTGAGTTGAATACACACAACACAAGGAAGTTACTGAGAATTCTTCTGTCTAGCAGAATATGAAGAAATCCCGTTTCCAACGAAGGCCACAAGATGTCAGAATATCCACTTACAGACTTTACAAACAGAGTGTTTCCTAACTGCTCTATGAACAGAAAGGTTAAACTCTGTGAGTTGAACGAACACATCCCAACGCAGTTTGTGGGAATGATTCTGTCTAGTTTTTATACGAAGATATTTCCTTTTATACCATTGACCACAAAGCGGCTGAAATCACCACTTGCCAATTGCACAAAAAGACTGTTTCAAATCTGCTCTGTCTAAGGGAACGTTCAACTCTGTGAGTTGAATGTACACAACACAAGGAAGTTACTGGGAATTCTTCTGTCTAGCCTTACATGAAAAAAACCCGTTTCCAACGAAGGCCTCTAAGTGGTCAAAATATCCACGTGCAGACTTTACAAACAGAGTGTTTCCAAACCGCTGAATGAAAAGAAAAGTTAAACTCTGAGAGTTGAACGCACACATCACTCAGCAGTTTCTGAGAATGATTCTGTCTAGTTTTTATACGATGATATTTCCTTTTCTGCCTTTGGCCCCAAAGCGCTTGAAATCTCCACTTGCAAATTCCACAAAAACAGTGTTTCAAATCTGCTCTCTCTAAATGAAAGTTCAACTCTGTCAGTTGAATACACACAACACAAGGAAGTTACTGAGAATTCTTCTGTCTAGCATAATATGAAGAAATCCCGTTTCCAACGAATGCCTCAAGGAGGTCTGTATATCCACTTGCAGACTTTACAAACAGAGTGTTTCCTAACTGCTCTATGAAAAGAAAGGTTAAACTGTGTGAGTTGAACGCACACATCACAAAGGAGTTTCTGAGAATCATTCTGTCTAGTTTCTATAGGAAGATATGTCCTATTCTACCATTGACCTCACAGCGGCTGAAATCTCCACTTGCAAATTCCACAAAAAGAGTGTTTCAAGTCTGCTCTGTGTAAAGGATCGTTCAACTCTGTGAGTTGAATACACACAACACAAGGAAGTTACTTATAATTCTTCTGTATAGCCTTACATGAAAAAAACCCGTTTCCAACGAAGGCCTCTAAGTGGTCAAATTATCCACGTGCAGACTTTACAAACAGAGTGTTTCCAAACTGCTGAATGAAAAGAAAAGTTAAACTCTGAGAGTTGAACGCACACATCGCAGAGCAGTTTCTGAGAATGATTCTGTCTAGTTTTTATACGAAGATATTTCCTTTTCTGCCTTTGGCCCCAAAGCGCTTGAAATCTCCACTTGCAAATTCCACAAAAACAGAGTTTCAAATCTGCTCTCTCTAAATGAAAGTTCAACTCTGTCAGTTGAATACACACAACACAAGGGAAGTTACTGAGAATTCTTCTGTCTAGCCTTATATGAAAAAAACCCGTTTCCAACGAAGGCCTCAAAGAGGTCTGAATATCCACTTGCAGACTTTACAAACAGAGTGTTTCCTAACTCCTCTATGAAAAGAAAGGTTAAACTCTGTGAGTTGAACGAACACATCACAAAGGAGTTTCTGAGAATCATTCTGTCTAGTCTTTATAGGAAGATATTTCCTTTTCTACCATTGACCACAAAGCGGCTGAAATCTCCACTTGCAAATTCCACAAAAAGAGTGTTTCAAGTCTGCTCTGTGTAAAGGATCATTCAACTCTGTGAGTTGAATAAACACAACACAAGGAAGTTACTGAGAATTCTTCTGTCTAGCAGAATATGAAGAAATCCCGTTTCCAAAGAAGGCCAAAAGATGTCGGAATATCCACTTACAGACTTTACAAACAGAGTGTTTCCTAACTGCTCTATGAACAGAAAGTTTAAACTCTGTGAGTTGAACGAACACATCACAACGCAGTTTGTGGGAATGATTCTGTCTAGTTTTGAAACGAAGATATTTCCTTTTCTGCCATTGACCTTAAAGCGCTTGAAATCTACACTTGCAAATTGCACAAATAGAGTGTTTCAAATCTGCTCTGTCTAAGGGAACGTTCATCTCTGTGAGTTGAATGCACACAACACAAGGGAAGTTACTGGGAATTCTTCTGTCTAGCCTTACATGAAAAAAACCCGTTTCCAACGAAGACCTCTAAGTGGTCAAAATATCCACGTGCAGACTTTACAAACAGAGTGTTTCCAAACTGCTGAATGGAAAGAAAAGTTAAACTCTGAGAGTTGAACGCACACATCACAGAGCGGTTTCTGAGAATGATTCTGTCTAGTTTTTATACGAAGATATTTCCTTTTCTGCCTTTGGCCCCAAAGCGCTTGAAATCTCCACTTGCAAATTCCACAAAAACAGTGTTTCAAATCTACTCTCTCTAAATGAAAGTTCAACTCTGTCAGTTGAATACACACAACACAAGGAAGTTACTGAGAATTCTTCCGTCTAGCCTTACATGAAAAAATCCCGTTTCCAACGAAGGCCTCAAAGAAATCCAAATATCCACGTGTAGACATTACAAACAGAGTGTTTCCTAACTGCTCTATGAAAAGGAAGGTTAAACTCTGTGAGTTGAACGCCCACATCACAAAGGAGTTTCTGAGAATCATTCTGTCTAGTCTTTATACGAAGATAGTTTCCTTTTCTCCCGTTGACCTCAAAGCGGGTGAAATCTCCACTTGCAAATTCCACAAAAAGAGTGTTTCAAGTCTGCTCTGTGTAAAGGATCATTCAACTCTGTGAGTTGAATACACACAACACAAGGAAGTTACTGAGAATTCTTCTGTCTAGCAGAATATGAAGAAATCCCGTTTCCAACGAAGGCCTCAAGGAAGTCTGAATATCCACTTGCAGACATTACAAACAGAGTGTTTCCCAACTGCTCTATGGAAAGAAAGGTTAAACTCTGTGAGTTGAACGCACACATCACAAAGGAGTTTATGAGAATCATTCTGTCTAGTTTTGAAACGAAGATATTTCCTTTTCTGCCATTGACCTTAAAGCCCTTGAAATCTCCACTTGCTAATTTCACAAAAAGAGAGTTTCAAATCTGCTCTCTCTAAGGGAACGTTCAACTCTGTGAGTTGAATGTACACAACACAAGGAAGTTACTGGGAATTATTCTGTCTAGCCTTACATGAAAAAAACCCGTTTCCAACGAAGGCCTCTAAGTGGTCAAATTATCCACGTGCAGACTTTACAAACAGAGTGTTTCCAAACTGCTGAATGAAAAGAAAAGTTAAACTCTGAGAGTTGAACGCACACATCGCAGAGCAGTTTCTGAGAACGATTCTGTCTAGTTTTTATACGAAGATATTTCCTTTTCTGCCTTTGGCCCCAAAGCGCTTGAAATCTCCAGTTGCAAATTCCACAAAAACAGTGTTTCAAATCTGCTCTCTCTAAAAGAAAGTTCAACTCTGTCAGTTGAATACACACAACACAAGGAAGTTACTGAGAATTCTTCTGTCTAGCATAATATGAAGAAATTCCGTTTCCAACGAAGGCCTCAAAGAGGTCTGAATATCCACTTGCAGACTTTACAAACAGAGTATTTCCTAACTGCTCTATGAAAAGAAAAGTTAAACTCTGTGTGTTGAACGCACACATCACAAAGGAGTTTCTGAGAATCATTCTGTCTAGTCTTTATACGAAGATATTTCCTTTTCTACCGTTGACCTCAAAGCGGCTGAAATCTCCACTTGCAAATTCCACAAAAAGAGTGTTTCAAGTCTGCTCTCTGTAAAGGATCGTTCAACTCTGTGAGTTGAATACACACAACACAAGGAAGTTACTGAGAATTCTTCTTTCTAGCAGAATATGAAGAAATCCCGTTTCCAACGAAAGCCTCAAGGATGTCTGAATATCCACTTGCAGACTTTACAAACAGTGTTTCCCAACTGCTCTATGAAAAGAAAGGTTAAACTCTGTGAGTTGAACGCACACATCACAAAGGAGTTTCTGAGAATCATTCTGTCTAGTTTTTATACGAAGATATTTCCTTTTCTACCATTGACCTCAACGCGGCTGAAATCTCCACTTGCAAATTCCACAAAAAGAGTGTTTCAAGTCTGCTCTGTGTAAAGGATCGTTCAACTCTGTGAGTTGAATACACACAAAACAAGGAAGTTACTGAGAATTCTTCTGTCAAGCAGAATATGAAGAAATCCCGTTTCCAACCAAGGCCTCAAGGAGGTCTGAATATCCACTTGCAGACTTTACAAACAGAGTGTTTCCTAACTGCTCTATGAAAAGAAAGGTTAAACTCTGTGAGTTGAACGCACACATCACAAAGGAGTTTATGAGAATCATTCTGTCTAGTCTTTATACGAAGATATTTCCTTTTCTACCATTGACCTCAAAGCGGCTGAAATCTCCACTTGCAAATTCCACAAAAAGAGTGTTTAAAGTCTGCTCTCTGTAAAGGATCGTTCAACTCTGTGAGTTGAATACACACAACACAAGGAAGTTACTGAGAATTCTTCTGTCTAGCAGAATATGAAGAAATCCCGTTTCCAACGAAGGCCTCAAAGAGGTCTGAATATCCACTTGCAGACTTTACAAACAGAGTGTTTCCTAACTGCTCTATGAAAAGAAAAGTTAAACTCTGTGTGTTGAACGCACACATCACAAAGGAGTTTATGAGAATCATTCTGTCTAGTTTTGAAACGAAGATATTTCCTTTTCTGCCATTGACCTTAAAGCGCTTGAAATCTACACTTGTAAATTGCACAAATAGAGTGTTTCAAATCTGCTCTGTCTAAGGGAACGTTCAACTCTGTGAGTTGAATGCACACAACACAAGGAAGTTACTGGGAATTCTTCTGTCTAGCCTTACATGAAAAAAACCCGTTTCCAACGAAGACCTCTAAGTGGTCAAATTATCCACGTGCAGACTTTACAAACAGAGTGTTTCCAAACTGCTGAATGAAAAGAAAAGTTAAACTCTGAGAGTTGAACGCACACATCGCAGAGCAGTTTCTGAGAATGATTCTGTCTAGTTTTTATACGAAGATATTTCCTTTTCTGCCTCTGGCCTCAAAGCGCTTGAAATCTCCATTTGCAAATTCCACAAAAAGAGTGTTTCAAATCTGCTCTGTGTAAATGAAATTTCAACTCTGTGAGTTGAACACACACAACACATGGAAGTTACTGGGAATTCTTCTGTCTAGCAGAATATGAAGAAATCCCGTTTCCAACGAAGGCCTCAAGGAGGTCTGAATATCCACTTACAGACTTTACAAACAGAGTGTTTCCTAACTGCTCTATGAACAGAAAGGTTAAACTCTGTGAGTTGAACGCACACATCACAAAGGAGTTTCTGAGAATCATTCTGTCTAGTTTTTATAGGAAGATATTTCCTTTTCTACCATTGACCTCAAAGCGGCTGAAATCTCCACTTGCAAATTCCCCAACAAGAGTGTTTCAAGTCTGCTCTGTGTAAAGGATCGTTCAACTCTGTGAGTTGAATACACACAACACAAGGAAGTTACTGAGAATTCTTCTGTCTAGCATAATATGAAAAAATCCCGTTTCCAACGAAGTCCTCAAAGAGGTCTGAATATCCACTTGCAGACTTTACAAACAGAATGTTTCCTAACTGCTCTATGAAAAGAAAGGTTAAACTCTGTGAGTTGAATGCACACATCACAAAGGAGTTTCTGAGAATCATTCTGTCTAGTTTCTATAGGAAGATATTTCCTATTCTACCATTGACCTCAAAGCGGCTGAAATCTCCACTTGCAAATTCCACAACAAGAGTGTTTCAAGTCTACTCTGTGTAAAGCATCGTTCAACTCTGTGAGTTGAAAACACTCAACACAAGGAACTTACTGAGAATTCTTCTGTCTAGCCTTACATGAAAAAAACCCGTTTCCAACGAAGGCCTCTAAGGGGTCAAAATATCCACGTGCAGACTTTACAAACAGAGTGTTTCCAAACCGCTGAATGAAAAGAAAAGTTAAACTCTGAGAGTTGAACGCACACATCACGCAGCAGTTTCTGAGAATGATTCTGTCTAGTTTTGAAACGAAGACATTTCCTTTTCTGCCTTTGGCCTCAAAGCGCTTGAAATCTCCACTTGCAAATTCCACAAAAAGAGTGTTTCAAATCTGCTCTGTGTAAATGAAAGTTCAACTCTGTGAGTTGAACACACACAACACAAGGAACTTACTGGGAATTCTTCTGTCTAGCAGAATATGAAGAAATCCCGTTTCCAACGAAGGCCTCAAAGAGGTCTGAATATCCACTTGCAGACTTTACAAACAGAGTGTTTCCTAACTGCTCTATGAAAAGGAAAGTTAAACTCTGTGAGTTGAACGCACACATCACAAAGGAGTTTCTGAGAATCATTCTGTCTAGTTTTTCTACGAAGATGTTTCCTTTTCTACTATTGACCTCAAAGCGGCTGAAATCTCCTCTTGCAAATTCCACAAAAAGAGTGTTTCAAGTCTGCTCTGTGTAAAGGATCGTTCAACTCTGTGAGTTGAATACACACAACACAAGGGAAGTTACTGAGAATTCTTCTGTCTAGCATAATATGAAGAAATCCCGTTTCCAACGAAGGCCTCAAAGAGGTCTGAATATCCACTTGCACACTTTACAAACAGAGTGTTTCCTAACTGCTCTATGAAAAGAAAAGTTAAACTCTGTGATTTGAACGCACACATCACAAAGGAGTTTCTGAGAATCATTCTGTCTAGTCTTTATACGAAGATATTTACTTTTCTACCATTGACCTCAAAGCCTCTGAAATCTCCACTTGCAAATTCCACAAAAAGAGTGTTTCAAGTCTGCTCTGTGTAAAGGAGCATTCAACTCTGTGAGTTGAATAAACACAACACAAGGAAGTTACTGAGAATTCTTCTGTCTAGCAAAATATGAAGAAACCCCGTTTCCAACGAAGGCCACAAGATGTCAGAATATCCACTTACAGAATTTACAAACAGACTGGTTCCTACCTGCTCTATGAAAAGAAAGGTTAAACACTGTGAGTTGAACGAACACATCACAACGCAGTTTGTGGGAATGATTTCTGTCTAGTTTTGAAACGAAGATATTTCCTTTTCTGCCGTTGACCTTAAAGCGCTTGAAATCTACACTTGCAAATTACACAAATAGAGTGTTTCAAATCTGCTCTGTCTAAGGGAACGTTCAACTCTGTGAGTTGAATGCACACAACACAAGGAAGTTACTGGGAATTCTTCTGTCTAGCCTTACAAGAAAAAAACCCGTTTCCAACGAAGGCCTCTAAGTGGTCAAAATATCCACGTGCAGACTTTACAAACAGAGTGTTTCCAAACTGCTGAATGAAAAGAAAAGTTAAACTCTGAGAGTTGAACGCACACATCGCAGAGCACTTTCTGAGAATGATTCTCTCTAGTTTTTATACGAAGATATTTCCTTTTCTGCCTTTGGCCTCAAAGCGCTTGAAATCTCCACTTGCAAACTCCACAAAAAGAGTGTTTCAAATCTGCTCTGTGTAAATCAAAGTTCAACTCTGTGAGTTGAACACACACAACACAAGGAAGTTACTGGGAATTCTTCTGTCTAGCAGAATATGAAGAAATCCCGCTTCCAACGAAGGCCTCAAAGAAGTCTGAATATCCACTTGCAGACTTTACAAACAGAGTGTTTCCCAACTGCTCTATGAAAAGAAAGGTTGAACTCTGTGAGTTGAACGCACACATCACAAAACAGTTTCTGAGAATCATTCTGTCTAGTCTTTATACGAAGATAGTTTCCTTTTCTACCATTGACCTCAAAGCGGCTGAAATCTCCACTTGCAAATTCCACAAAAAGAGTGTTTCAAGTCTGCTCTCTGTAAAGGGTCGTTCAACTCTGTGAGTTGAATACACACAACACAAGGAAGTTACTGAGAATTCTTCTGTCTAGCAGAATATGAAGAAATCCCGTTTCCAACGAAGGCCACAAGATGTCAGAATATCCAGTTACAGACTTTACAAACAGAGTGTTTCCTAACTGCTCTATGAACAGAAAGGTTAAACTCTGTGAGTTGAACGAACACATCACAACGCAGTTTGTGGGAATGATTCTGTCTAATTTTGAAACGAAGATATTTCCTTTTCTGCCGTTGACCTTAAAGCGCTTGAAATCTACACTTGCAAATTGCACAAATAGAGTGTTTCAAATCTGCTCTGTCTAAGGGAACGTTCAACTCTGTGAGTTGAATGCACACAACACAAGGTAGTTACTGGGAATTCTTCTGTCTAGCCTTACAGGAATAAAACCCGTTTCCAACGAAGGCCTCTAAGTGGTCAAAATATCCACGTGCAGACTTTACAAACAGAGTGTTTCCAAACTGCTGAATGAAAAGAAAAGTTAAACTCTGAGAGTTGAACGCACACATCGCAGAGCAGTTTCTGAGAATGATTCTGTCTAGTTTTGAAACGAAGATATTTCCTTTTCTGCCTTTGGCCTCAAAGCGCTTGAAATCTCCACTTGCGAATTCCACAAAAAGAGTGTTTCTAATCTGCTCTGTGTAAATGAAAGTTCAACTCTGTGAGTTGAACACACACAACACAAGGAAGTTACTGGGAATTCTTCTGTCTAGCAGAATATGAAGAAATCCCGTTTCCAACGAAGGCCTCAAAGACGTCTGAATATCCACTTGCAGACTTTACAAACAGAGTGTTTCCTAACTGCTCTATGAAAAGAAAGGTTAAACTCTGTGACTTGAAAGCACACATCACAAAGGAGTTTCTGAGAATCATTCTGTCTAGTTTTTCTACGAAGATATTTCCTTTTCTTCTCTTGACCTGAAAGCGGCTGAAATCTCCACTTGCAAATTCCACAAAAAGAGTGTTTCAAGTCTGCTCTGTGTAAAGGATCGTTCAACTCTGTGAGTTGAATACACACAACACAAGGAAGTTACTGAGAATTCTTCTGTCTAGCAGAATAGGAAGAAATCCCGTTTCTAACGAAGGCCTCAAAGACGTCTGAATATCCACGTGCAGACTTTACAAACAGAGTGTTTCCTAACTGCTCTATGAAAAGAAAGGTTAAACTCTGTGAGTTGAACGCACACATCACAAAGGAGTTTCTGAGAATCGTTCTGTCTAGTTTCTATAGGAAGATATTTCCTATTCTACCATTGACCTCAAAGAGGCTGAAATCTCCACTTGCAAATTCCACAAAAAGAGTGTTTCAAGTCTGCTCTCTATAAAGGATCGTTCAACTCTGTGAGTTGAATACACACAACACAAGGAAGTTACTGAGAATTATTGTGTCTAGCAGAATATGAACAAATCCCGTTTCCAAAGAAGGCCTCAAAGAGGTCTGAATATCCATTTGCAGACTTTACAAACAGAGTGGTTCCTAACTGCTCTATGAAAAGAAAGGTTAAACTCTGTGAGTTCAACGCCCACATCACAAAGGAGTTTATGAGAATCATTCTGTCTAGTTTTTATACGAAGATATTTCCTTTTCTACCATTGACCTCAAAGCGGCTGAAATCTCCACTTGCAAATTCCACAAAAAGAGTGTTTCAAATCTGCTCTGTGTAAACCACTGTTCAACTCTGTGAGTTGAATACACACAACACAAGGAAGTTACTGAGAATTCTTCTGTCTAGCAGAACATGAAGAAATCCCGTTTCCAACGAAGGCCACAAGATGTCAGAATATCCACTTACAGAATTTACAAACAGAGTGTTTCCTAACTGCTCTATGAAAAGAACGGTTAAACTCTGTGAGTTGAACGAACACATCACAACGCAGTTTGTGGGAATGATTATCTGTCTAGTTTTTATACGAAGATATTTCCTTTTCTACCATTGACTTCAAAGCGGCTGAAATCTCCACTTGCAAATTCCACAAAAAGAGTGTTTCAAGTCTGCTCTGTGTAAAGGATCGTTGAACTCTGTGAGTTGAATACACACAACACAAGGAAGTTACTGAGAATTCTTCTGTCTAGCAGAATATGAAGAAATCCCGTTTCCAACGAAGGCCTCAAAGAGGAATGAATATCCACATGAAGACTTTACAAACAGAGTGTTTCCTAACTGCTCTATGAAAAGGAAAGTTAAACTCTGTGAGTTGAACGCACACATCACAAAGGAGTTTCTGAGAATCATTCTGTCTAGTTTCTATAGGAAGATATTTCCTTTTCTACCATTGACCTCAAATCGGCTGAAATCTCCACTTGTAAATTCCACAAAAAGAGTGTTTCAAGTCTGCTCTGTGTAAAGGATCGTTCAACTCTGTGAGTTGAATACACACAACACAGGGAAGTTACTGAGAATTCTTCTGTCTAGCATAATATGAAGAAATCCCGTTTCCAACGAAGGCCTCAAAGAGGTCTGAATATCCACTTGCAGACTTTACAAACAGAGTGTTTCCTAACTGCTGTATGAAAAGAAAAGTTAAACTCTGTGAGTTGAACGCACACATCACAAAGGAGTTTCTGAGAATCATTCTGTCTAGTTTTCATACGAAGATATTTCCTTTTCTACCATTGACCTCAAAGCGGCTGAAATCTCCACCCTGCCACTTCCACAAAAAGAGTGTTTCAAGTCTACTCTGTGTAAAGGATCGTTGAACTCTGTGAGTTGAAAACACACAACACAACGAAGTTTCTGAGAATTCTTCTGTCTAGCAGAATATGAAGAAATCCCGTTTCCAACGAAAGCCTCTAGGATGTCTGAATATCCACTTGCAGACTTTACAAACAGAGTGTTTCCTAACTGCTCTATGAAAAGAAAGGTTAAACTATGTGAGTTGAACGCACACATCACAAAGGAGTTTCTGAGAATCATTCTGTCTAGTTTTTATAGGAAGATATTTCCTTTTCTACCTTTGACTTCAAAGCGGCAGAAATCTCCACTTGCAAATTCCACAAAAAGAGTGTTACAAGTCTGCTCTGTGTAAAGGATCGTTCAACTCTGTGAGTTGAATACACACAACACAAGGAAGATTCTGAGAATTCTTCTGTCTAGCAGAATATGAAGAAATCCCGTTTCCAACGAAGGCCACAAGATGTCAGAATATCCACTTACAGAATTTACAAACAGACTGTTTCCTAACTGCTCTACGAAAAGAAAGGTTAAACTCTGTGAGTTGAACGAACACATCACAACGCAGTTTGTGGGAATGATCTGTCTAGTTTTGAAACGAAGATATTTCCTTTTCTGCCATTGAACTTAAAGCGCTTGAAATCTCCATTTGCCAATTGCACAAAAAGAGTGTTTCAAATCTGCTCTGTCTAAGGGAACGTTCAACTCTGTGAGTTGAATGTACACAACACAAGGAAGTTACTGGGAATTCTTTCTGTCTAGCCTTACATGAAAAAAACCAGTTTCCAACGAAGGCCTCTAAGTGGTCAAATTATCCACGTGCAGACTTTACAAACAGAGTGTTTCCAAACTGCTGAATGAAAAGAAAAGTTAAACTCTGAGAGTTGAACGCACACATCACAGAGCAGTTTCTGAGAATGATTCTGTCTAGTTTTTATACGAAGATATTTCCTTTTCTGCCTTTGGCCCCAAAGCGCTTGATATCTCCACTTGCAAATTCCACAAAAACAGTGTTTCAAATCTGCTCTCTCTAAATGAAAGTTCAACTCTGTCAGTTGAATACACACAACACAAGGAAGTTACTGAGAATTCTTCTGTCTAGCATAATATGAAGAAATCCCATTTCAAACGAAGGCCTCAAAGAGGTCTGAATATCCACTTGCAGACTTTACAAACAGAGTGTTTCCTAACTGCTCTATGAAAAGAAAAGTTAAACTCTGTGAGTTGAACGCACACATCACAAAGGAGTTTCTGAGAATCATTCTGTCTAGTTTTTATAGGAAGATATTCCCTTTTCTACCTTTGACTTCAAAGCGGCTGAAATCTCCACTTGCAAATTCCACAAAAAGAGTGTTACAAGTCTGCTCTGTGTAAAGGATCGTTCAACTCTGTGAGTTGAATACACACAACACAAGGAAGTTACTGAGAATTCTTCTGTCTAGCATAGTATGAAGAAATCCCGTTTCCAACGAAGGCCTCAAAGAGGTCTGAATATCCACTTGCAGAGTTTACAAACAGAGTGTTTCCTAACTGCTCTATGAAAAGAAAGGTTAAACTCTGTGAGTTGAACGCACACATCACAAAGAAGGTTCTGAGAATCATTCTGTCTAGTTTTGAAACGAAGATATTTCCTTTCCTGCCATTGACCTTAAAGCGCTTGAAATCTCCATTTGCCAATTGCACAAAAAGAGTGTTTCAAATCTGCTCTGTCTAAGGGAACGTTCAACTCTGTGAGTTGAATGTACACAACACAAGGAAGTTACTGGGAATTCTTCTGTCTAGCCTTACATGAAAAAATCCCGTTTCCAACGAAGGCCTCTAAGTGGTCAAAATATCCACGTGCAGACTTTACAAACAGGGTGTTTCCAAACCGCTGAATGAAAAGAAAAGTTAAACTCTGAGAGTTGAACGCACACATCACGCAGCAGTTTCTGAGAATGATTCTAGTCTAGTTTTTATACAGAAGATATTTCCTTTTCTGCCTTTGGCCTCAAAGCGCTTGAAATCTCCACTTGCAAATTCCACAAAAAGAGTGTTTCAAATCTGCTCTGTGTAAATCAAAGTTCAACTCTGTGAGTTGAACACACACAACACAAGGAAGTTACTGGGAATTCTTCTGTCTAGCATAATAGGAAGAAATCCCGTTTCCAACGAAGGCCTCAAGGAGGTCTGAGTATCCACTTGCAGACTTTACAAGCAGAGTGTTTCCTAACTGCTCTATGAAAAGAAAGGTTAAACTCTGTGAGTTGAATGCACACATCACAAAGGAGTTTCTCAGAATCATTCTGTCTAGTTTCTATAGGAAGATATTTCCTATTCTACCATTGACCTCAAAGAGGCTGAAATCTCCACTTGCAAATTTCACAAAAAGAGTGTTTCAAGTCTGCTCTGTGTAAAGGATCGTTCAACTCTGTGAGTTGAATACACACAACACAAGGAAGTTACTGAGAATTCTTCTGTCTAGCATAATATGTAGAAATCCCGTTTCCAACGAAGGCCTCAAGGAGGTCTGAATATCCACTTGCAGACTTTACAAACAGAGTGTTTCCTAACTGCTCTATGAAAAGAAAGGTTAAACTCTGTGAGTGGAACGCACACATCACAAAGGAGTTTCTGAGAATCATTCTGTCTAGTTTTTGTACGAAGATATTTCCTTTTCTACCATTGACCTCAAAGAGGCTGAAATCACCACTTGCCAATTGCACAAAAAGAGTGTTTCAAATCTGCTCTGTCTAAGGGAACGTTCAACTCTGTGAGTTGAATGTACACAACACAAGGAAGTTACTGGGAATTCTTCTGTCTAGCCTTACATGAAGAAAACCCGTTTCCAACGAAGGCCTCTAAGTGGTCAAAATAACCACGTGCAGACTTTACAAACAGAGTGTTTCCAAACCGCTGAATGAAAAGAAAAGTTAAACTCTGAGAGTTGAACGCACACATCACGCAGCAGTTTCTGAGAATTATTCTGTCTAGTTTTTATATGAAGATATTTCCTTTTCTACCATTGACCTCAAAGTGGCTGAAATCTCCACTTACAAATTCCACAAAAAGAGTGTCTCAAGTCTGTTCTGTGTAAACGATCGTTAAACTCTGTGAGTTGAATACACACAACACAAGGAAGTTTCTGAGAATTCTTCTGTCTAGCAGAATATGAAGCAATCCCGTTTCCAACGAAGGCTTCAAAGAGGTCTGAATATCCACTTGCAGACTTTACAAACAGAGTGTTTCCTAACTGCTCTATGAAAAGAAAGGTTAAACTCTGTGAGTTGAACGCACACATCACAAAGCAGTTTCTGAGAATCGTTCTGTCTAGTTTCTATAAGAAGATATTTCCTATTCTACCATTGACCTCAAAGCGGCTGAAATCTCCACTTGCAAATTCGACAAAAAGAGTGTTTCAAGTCTGCTCTGTGTAAAGGATCGTTCAACTCTGTGAGTTGAATACACACAACACAAGGAAGTTACTGAGAATTTTTCTGTCTAGCAGAATATGAAGAAATCCCTGCTTCCAACGAAGGCCTCAAAGAAGTCTGAATATCCACTTGCAGACTTTACAAACAGAGTGTTTCCCAACTGCTCTATGAAAAGAAAGGTTGAACTTTGTGAGTTGAACGCACACATCACAAAGGAGTTTCTGAGAATCATTCTTGTCTAGTTTTTCTACGAAGATATTTCCTTTTCTACTATTGACCTCAAAGCGGCTGAAATCTCCACTTGCAAATTCCACAAAAAGAGTGTTTCAAGTCTGCTCTGTGTAAAGGATCGTTCAACTCTGTGAGTTGAATACACACAACACAAGGAAGTTACTGAGAATTCTTCTGTCTAGCAGAATATGAAGAAATCCCGTTTCCAACGAAGGCCACAAGATGTCAGAATATCCACTTACAGAATTTTCAAACAGACTGTTTCCCAACTGCTCTATGAAAAGAAAGGTTAAACTCTGTGAGTTGAACGAACACATCACAACGCAGTTTGTGGGAATGATTCTCTCTAGTTTTGAAACGAAGATATTTCCTTTTCTGCCATTGACCTTAAAGCGCTTGAAATCTCCACTTGCCAATTGCACAAAAAGAGTGTTTCAAATCTGCTCTGTCTAAGGGAACGTTCAACTCTGTGAGTTGAATGTACACAACACAAGGAAGTTACTGGGAATTCTTCTGTCTAGCCTTACAAGAAAAAAACCCGTTTCCAACGAAGGCCTCTAAATGGTCAAAATATCCACGTGCAGACTTTACAAACAGAGTGTTTCCAAACTGCTGAATGAAAAGAAAGGTTAAACTCTGAGAGTTGAACGCACACATCGCAGAGCAGTTTCTGAGAATGATTCTGTCTAGTTTTGAAACGAAGATATTTCCTTTTCTGCCTTTGGCCTCAAAGCGCTTGAAATCTCCACTTGCAAATTCCACAAAAAGAGTGTTTCAAATCTGCTCTGTGTAAATGGAAGTTCAACTCTGTGAGTTGAACACACACAACACAAGGAAAGTTACTGGGAATTCTTCTGTCTAGCAGAATATGAAGAAATCCCGTTTCCAACGAAGGCCTCAAAGAGGTCTGAATATCCACTTGCACACTATACAAACAGAGTGTTTCCCAACTGCTCTATGAAAAGAAAGGTTAAACTCTGTGAGTTGAACGCACACATCACAAAGGAGTTTCTGAGAATCATTCTGTCTAGTTTCTATAGGAAGATATTTCCTATTCTACCATTGACCTCAAAGCGGCTGAAATCTCCACTTGCAAATTACACAAAAAGAGTGTTTCAAGTCTGCTCTGTGTAAAGGATCGTTCAACTCTGTGAGTTGAATACACACACTACAAGGAACTTACTGAGAATTCTTCTGTCTAGCATAATATGAAGAAATCCCGTTTCCAACGAATGCCTCAAGCAGGTCTGAATCTCCACTTGCAGACTTTACAAACAGAGTGTTTCCTAACTGCTCTATGAAAAGAAAGGTTAACCTCTGTGAGTTGAACGCACACATCACAAAGGAGTTTCTGAGAATCATTCTGTCTAGTTTTTATAGGAAGATATTTCTTTTCTACCATTGACCTCAAAGCGGCTGAAATCTCCACTTGCAAATTCCAGAAAAAGAGTGTTTCAAGTCTGCTCTGTGTAAAGGATCGTTGAACTCTGTGAGTTGAATACACACAACACAATGAAGTTACTGAGAATTCTTCTGTCTAGCCTTACAAGAAAAAAACCCGTTTCCAACGAAAGCCTCTAAATGGTCAAAATATCCACGTGCAGACTTTACAAACAGAGTGTTTCCAAACTTCTGAATGAAAAGAAAAGTTAAACTCTGAGAGTTGAACGCACACATCGCAGAGCAGTTTCTGAGAATGATTCTGTCTAGTTTTTATACGAAGATATTTCCTTTTCTGCCTTTGGCCCCAAAGCGCTTGAAATCTAAACTTGCAAATTCCACAAAAACAGTGTTTCAAATCTCCTCTCTCTAAATGAAAGTTCAACTCTGTCAGTTGAATACACACAACACAAGGAAGTTACTGAGAATTCCTCCGTCTAGCCTTACATGAAAAAAACCCGTTTCCAACGAAGGCCTCAAAGAAGTCCAAATATCCACGTGCAGACTTTACAAACAGAGTGTTTCCTAACTGCTCTATGAAAAGAAAGGTTAAACTCTGTGAGTTGAACGCACACATCACAAAGGAGTTTCTGAGAATCATTCTGTCTAGTTTCTATAAGAAGATATTTCCTATTCTACCATTCACCTCAAAGCGGCTGAAATCTCCACTTGCAAATTCGACAAAAAGAGTGTTTCAAGCCTGCTCTCTGTAAAGGATCCTTCAACTCTGTCAGTTGAATACACACAACACAAGGAAGTTACTGAGAATTCTTCTGTCTAGCAGAATATGAAGAAATCCCGTTTCCAAAGAAGGCCACAAGATGTCAGAATATCCACTTACAGACTTTACAAACAGAGTGTTTCCTAACTGCTCTATGAAAAGAAAGGTTAAACCCTGTGAGTTGAACGAACACATCACAACGCAGTTTGTGGGAATGATTCTGTCTAGTTTTGAAACGAAGATATTTCCTTTTCTGCCTTTGGTCTCAAAGCGCTTCAAATCTCCACTTGCCAATTCCACATAAAGAGTGTTTCAAATCTGCTCTGTCTAAATGAAAGTTCAACTCTGTCAGTTGAATACACACAACACAAGGGAGTTTCTGAGAATTCTTCTGTCTAGAATAGTATGAAGAAATCCCGTTTCCAACGAAGGCCTCAAACAGGTCTGAATATCCACTTGCAGAGTTCACAAACAGAGTGTTTCCTAACTGCTCTATGAAAAGAAAGGTTAAACTCTGTGAGTTGAACGCACACATCACAAAGAAGTTTCTGAGAATCATTCTGTCTAGTTTTTATACGAAGATATTTCCTTTTCTGCCTTTGGCCTCAAAGCGCTTGAAATCTCCACTTGCAAATTCCACAAAAAGAGTGTTTCCAATCTGCTCTGTGTAAATGAAAGTTCAACACTGTGAGTTGAACACACACAACACAAGGAAGTTACTGGGAATTCTTCTGTCTAGCATAATATGAAGAAATCCCGTTTCCAACGAAGGCCTCAAGGAGGTCTGAATATCCACTTGCACACTTTAGAAACAGAGTGTTTCCTAACTGCTCTATGAAAAGAAAGGTTAAACTCTGTGAGTTGAACGCACACATCACAAAGGAGTTTCTCAGAATCATTCTGTCTAGTTTCTATAAGAAGATATTTCCTATTCTACCATTGACCACAAAGCGGCTGAAATCTCCACTTGCAAATTCGACAAAAAGAGTGTTTCAAGCCTGCTCTCTGTAAAGGATCCTTCAACTCTGTGAGTTGAATACACACAACCCAAGGGAAGTTACTGAGAATTATTCTGTCTAGCCTTACTGGAAAAAAACCAGTTTCCAACGAAGGCGTCTAAGTGGTCAAAATATCCACGTGCAGACTTTAAAAACAGAGTGTTTCCAAACTGCTGAATGAAAAGAAAAGTTAAACTCTGAGAGTTGAACGCACACATCGCAGAGCAGTTTCTGAGAATGATTCTGTCTAGTTTTGAAACGAAGATATTTCCTTTTCTGCCTTTGGCCTCAAAGCCATTGAAATCTCCACTTGCAAATTCCACAAAAAGAGTGTTTCAAATCTGCTCTGTGTAAATGAAAGTTCAAATCTGTGAGTTGAACACACACAACACAAGGAAGTTACTGGGAATTCTTCTGTCTAGCATAGTATGAAGAAATCCCGTTTCCAACGAAGGCCTCAAAGAGGTCTGAATATCCACTTGCAGAGTTTACAAACAGAGTGTTTCCTAACTGCTCTATGAAAAGAAAGGTTAAACTCTGTGAGTTGAACGCACACATCCCAAAGAAGTTTCTGAGAATCATTCTGTCTAGTCTTTATACGAAGATATTTACTTTTCTACCATTGACCTCAAAGCGGCTGAAATCTCCACTTGCAAATTCCACAAAAAGAGTGTTTCAAGTCTGCTCTGTGTAAAGGATCATTCAACTCTGTGAGTTGAATAAACACAACACAATGAAGTTACTGAGAATTCTTCTGTCTAGCCTTATATGAAAAAAACCCGTTTCCAACGAAGGCCTCAAAGAGGTCTGAATATCCACTTGCAGACTTTAGAAACAGAGTGTTTCCTAACTGCTCTATGAAAAGAAAGGTTAAACTCTGTGAGTTGAACACACAGATCACAAAGGAGTTTCTGAGAATCATTCTGTCTAGTTTTTATACGAAGATATTTCCTATTCTACCATTGACCTCAAATCGGCTGAAATCTCCACTTGCAAATTCCACAAGAAGAGTGTTTCAAGTATGCTCTGTGTAAAGGATCGTTCAACACTGTGAATTGAATACACACAACACAAGGAAGTTACTGAGAATTCTTCTGTCTAGCAGAATATGAAGAAATCCCGTTTCCAACGAAGGCCACAAGATGTCAGAATATCCACTTACAGACTTTACAAACAGAGTGTTCCTAACTGCTCTATGAACAGAAATGTTAAACTCTGTGAGTTGAACGAACACATCACAACGCAGTTTGTGGGAATGATTCTGTCTAGTTTTGAAACCAAGATATTTCCTTTTCTGCCGTTGACCTTAAAGAGCTTGAAAACTACACTTGCAAATTGCACAAATAGAGTGTTTCAAATCTGCTCTGTCTAAGGGAACGTTCAACTCTGTGAGTTGAATGCACACAACACAAGGAAGTTACTGGGAATTCTTCTGTCTAGGCTTACATGAAAAAAACCGGTTTCCAACGAAGGCCTCTAAGTGGTCAAAATATCCACGTGCAGACTTTACAAACAGAGTGTTTCCAAACCGCTGAATGAAAAGAAAAGTTAAACTCTGAGAGTTCAACGCACACATCACGCAGCAGTTTCTGAGAATGATTCTGTCTAGTTTTTATAGGAAGATATTTCCTTTTCTACCTTTGACTTCAAAGCGGCTGAAATCTCCACTTGCAAATTCCACAAAAAGAGTGTTTCAAGTCTGCTCTGTGTAAAGGATCGTTCAACTCTGTGAGTTGAATACACACAACACGCGGAAATTACTGAGAATTCTTCTGTCTAGCATAGTATGAAGAAATCCCGTTTCCAACGAAGGCCTCAAAGAGGTCTGAATATCCACTTGCAGACTTTACAAACAGAGTGTTTCCTAACTGCTCTATGAAAAGAAAGGTTAAACTCTGTGAGTTGAACGCACACATCACAAAGGAGTTTCTGAGAATCATTTCTGTCTAGTTTTTATAGGAAGATATTTCCTTTTCTACCTTTGACTTCAAAGCGGCTGAAATCTCCACTTGCAAATTCCACAAAAAGAGTGTTACAAGTCTGCTCTGTGTAAAGGATCGTTCAACTGTGTGAGTTGAATACACACAACACAAGGAAAGTTACTGAGAATTCTTCTGTCTAACCTTACATGAAAAAAACCCGTTTCCAACGAAGGCCTCTAAGTGGTCAAATTATCCACGTGCAGACTTTACAAACAGAGTGTTTCCAAACTGCTGAATGAAAAGAAAAGTTAAACTCTGAGAGTTGAACGCACACATCGCAGAGCAGTTTCTGAGAATGATTCTGTCTAGTTTTTATACGAAGATATTTCCTTTTCTGCCTTTGGCCCCAAAGCGCTTGAAATCTCCAATTGCAAATTCCACAAAAACAGTGTTTCAAATCTGCTCTCTCTAAATGAAAGTTCAACTCTGTCAGTTGAATACACACAACACAAGGAAGTTACTCAGAATTCTTCTGTCTAGCCTTACATGAAAAAATCCCGTTTCCAACGAAGGCCTCTAAGTGGTCAAAATTTCCACGTGCAGACTTTACAAACAGAGTGTTTCCAAACCGCTGAATGAAAAGAAAAGTTAAACTCTCAGAGTTGAACGCACACATCACGCAGCAGTTTCTGAGAATGATTCTGTCTAGTTTTTATACGAAGATATTTCCTTTTCTGCCTTTGGCCCCAAAGCGCTTGAAATCTCCACTTGCAAATTCCACAAAAACAGTGTTTCAAATCTGCTCTCTCTAAATGAAAGTTCAACTCTGTCAGTTGAATACACACAACACAAGGAAGTTACTGAGAACTCTTCTGTCTAGCCTTATATGAAAAAAACCCGTTTCCAACGAAGGCCTCAAAGAGGTCTGAATATCCACTTGCAGAGTTTACAAACAGAGTGTTTCCTAACTGCTCTATGAAAAGAAAGGTTAAACTCTGTGAGTTGAACGCACACATCACAAAGAAGTTTCTGAGAATCATTCTGTCTAGTTTTTATACGAAGATATTTCCTTTTCTACCATTGACCTCAAAGTGCTTGAAATCTCCACTTGCAAATTCCACAAAAAGAGGGTTTCTAATCTGCTCTGTGTAAAGGATCGTTCAACTCTGTGAGTTGAATGCACACAACACAAGGAAGTTACTGAGAATTCTTCTGTCTAGCACAGTATGAAGAAATCCCGTTTCCAACGAAGGCCTCAAAGAGGTCTGAATATCCACTTGCAGAGTTTACAAACAGAGTGTTTCCTAACTGCTCTATGAAAAGAAAGGTTAAACTCTGTGAGTTGAACGCACACATCCCAATGAAGTTTCTGAGAATCATTCTGTCTAGTTTTAATACGAAGATATTTCCTTTTATACCATTGACCTCAAAGCGGCTGAAATCACCACTTGCCAATTGCACAAAAAGAGTGTTTCAAATCTGCTCTGTCTAAGGGAACGTTCAACTCTGTGAGTTGAATGTACACAACACAAGGAAGTTACTGGGAATTCTTCTGTCTAGCCTTACAGGAAAAAAACACGTTTCCAACGAAGGCCTTTAGGTGGTCAAAATATCCACGTGCAGACTTTACAAACAGAGTGTTTCCAAACTGCTGAATGAAAAGAAAAGTTAAACTCTGAGAGTTGAACGCACACATCACAGAGCAGTTTCCGAGAATGATTCTAGTCTAGTTTTGAAACGAAGATATTTCCTTTTCTGCCTTTGGCCTCAAAGCGCTTGAAATCTCCACTTGCAAATTCCACAAAAAGAGTGTTTCAAATCTGCTCTGTGTAAATGAAAGTTCAACTCTGTGAGTTGAACACACACAACACAAGGAAGTTACTGGGAATTCTTCTGTCTAGCAGAATATGAAGAAATCCCGTTTCCAACGAAGGTCTCAAGGAGGTGTGAATATCCACTTGCAGACTTTACAAACAGAGTGTTTCCTAACGGCTCTATGAACAGAAAGGTTAAACTCTGTGAGTTGAACGCACACATCACAAAAGAGTTTCTGAGAATCATTCTGTCTAGTCTTTATACGAAGATATTTCATTTTTCTACCATTGACATCAAAGCGGCTGAAATCTCCACTTGCAAATTCCACAAACAGAGTGTTTCAAGTCTGCTCTGTGTAAAGGATCGTTCAACTCTGTGAGTTGAATACACACAACACAAGGAAGTTACTGAGAATTCTTCTGTCTAGCAGAATATGAAGAAATCCCGTTTCCAACGAAGGCCACAAGATGTCAGAATATCCACTTACAGACTTTACAGAGTGTTTCCTAACTGCTCTATGAACAGAAAGGTAAAACTCTGTGAGTTGAACGAACACATCACAACGCAGTTTGTGGGAATGATTCTGTCTAGTTTTGAAACGAAGATATTTCCTTTTCTGCCATTGACCTTAAAGCGCTTGAAATCTACACATGCAAATTGCACAAATAGAGTGTTTCAAATCTGCTCTGTCTAAGGGAACGTTCAACTCTGTGAGTTGAATGCACACAACACAAGGAAGTTACTGGGAATTCTTCTGTCTAGCCTTACATTAAAAAAAACCGTTTCCAACGAAGGCCTCTAAGTGGTCAAATTATCCACGTGCAGACTTTACAAACAGAGTGTTTCCAAACTGCTGAATGAAAAGAAAAGTTAAACTCTGAGAGTTGAACGCACACATCACAGAGCAGTTTCTGAGAATGATTCTGTCTAGTTTTCAAACGAAGATATTTCCTTTTCTGCCTTTGGCCTCAAAGCGCTTGAAATCTCCACTTGCAAATTCCACAAAAAGAGTGTTTCAAATCTGCTCTGTGTAAATGAAAGTTCAACTCCGTGAGTTGAACACACACAACACAAGGAAGTTACTGGGAATTCTTCTGTCTAGCATAGTATGAAGAAATCCCGTTTCCAACGAAGGCCTCAAAGAGGTCTGAATATCCACTTGCAGATTTTACAAACAGAGTGTTTCCTAACTGCTCTATGAAAAGAAAGGTTAAACTCTGTGAGTTGAACGCACACATCACAAAGAAGTTTCTGAGAATCATTCTGTCTAGTTTTTATAGGAAGATATTTCCTTTTCTACCTTTGACTTCAAAGCGGCTGAAATCTCCACTGGCAAATTCCACAAAAAGAGTGTTACAAGTCTGCTCTGTGTAAAGGATCGTTCAACTCTGTGAGTTGAATACACACAACACAAGGAAGTTACTGAGAATTCTTCTGTCTAGCCTTACATGAAAAAAACCCGTTTCCAACGAAGGCCTCTAAGTGGTCAAATTATCCACGTGCAGACTTTACAAACAGAGTGTTTCCAAACTGCTGAATGAAAAGAAAAGTTAAACTCTGAGAGTTGAACGCACACATCGCAGTGCAGTTTCTGAGAATGATTCTGTCTAGTTTTTATACGAAGATATTTCCTTTTCTACCATTGACCTCAAAGCGGCTGAAATCACCACTTGCCAATTGCACAAAAAGAGTGTTTCAAATCTGCTCTGTCTAAGGGAACGTTCAACTCTGTGAGTTGAATGTACACAACACAAGGAAGTTACTGGGAATTCTTCTGTCTAGCCTTACATGAAAAAAACCCGTTTCCAACGAAGGCCTATAAGTGGTCAAGTTATCCACGTGCAGACTTTACAAACAGAGTGTTTCCAAACTGCTGAATGAAAAGAAAAGTTAAACTCTGAGAGTTGAACGCACACATCGCAGAGCAGTTTCTGAGAATGATTCTGTCTAGTTTCTATAGGAAGATATTTCCTATTCTATCATTGACCTCAAAACGGCAGAAATCTCCACTTGCAAATTCCACAAAAAGAGTGTTTCAAGACTGCTCTGTGTAAAGGATCGTTCAACTCTGTGAGTTGAATACACACAACACAAGGAAGTTACTGAGAATTCTTCTGTCTAGCAGAATATGAAGAAATCCCGTTTCCAACGAAGGCCTCAAAGAGGTCTTAATATCCAATTGCAGACTTTACAAACAGAGTGTTTCCTAACTGCTCTATGAAACGAAAGGTTAAACTCTGTGAGTTGAACGCACACATCACAAAGGAGTTTCTGAGAATCATTCTGTCTAGTTTCTATAAGAAGATATTTCCTATTCTACCATTGACCTCAAAGCGGCTGAAATCTCCACTTTCAAATTCCACAAAAAGTGTGTTTCAAGTCTGCTCTGTGTAAAGGATCGTTCAACTCTGTGAGTTGAATACACACAACACAAGGAAGTTCCTGAGAATTCTTCTGTCTAGCAGAATATGAAGAAATCCCGTTTCCAACGAAGGCCACAAGATGTCAGAATATCCACTTACAGAATTTACAAACAGACTGTTTCCTAACTGCTCTATGAAAAGAAAGGTTAAACTCTGTGAGATGAACGAACACATCATAACGCAGTTTGTGGGAATGATTCTGTCTAGTTTTGAAACGAAGATATTTCCTTTTCTGCCTTTGAACTTAAAGCGCTTGAAATCTCCATTTGCCAATTGCACAAAAAGAGTGTTTCAAATCTGCTCTGTCTAAGGGAACGTTCAACTCTGTGAGTTGAATGTACACAACACAAGGAAGTTACTGGGAATTCTTCCGTCTAGCCTTACATGAAAAAAACCCGTTTCCAACGAAGGCCTCAAAGAAGTCCAAATATCCACGTGCAGACTTTACAAACAGAGTGTTTCCTAACGGCTCTATGAAAAGAAAGGTTAAACTCTGTGAGTTGAACGCCCACATCACAAAGGAGTTTCTGAGAATCATTCTGTCTAGTTTTTCTACGAAGATATTTCCTTTTCTACTATTGACCTCAAAGCGGCTGAAATCTCCACTTGCAAATTACACAAAAAGAGTGTTTCAAGTCTGCTCTGTGTAAAGGATCGTTCAACTCTGTGAGTTGAATACACACAACACAAGGAAGTTACTGAGAATTCTTCTGTCTAGCGGAATATGAAGAAATCCCGTTTCCAACGAAGGCCTCAAAGAGGTCTGAATATCCAATTGCAGACTTTACAAACAGAGTGTTTCCTAACTGCTCTATGAAAAGAAAGGTTAAACTCTGTGAGTTGAACGCACACATCACAAAGGAGTTTCTGAGAATCATTCTGTCTAGTTTCTATAGGAAGATATATCCTATTCTACCATTGACCTCAAAGCGGCTGAAATCTCCACTTGCAAATTCCACAAAAAGAGTGTTTCAAGTCTGCTCTGTGTAAAGGCTCGTTCAACTCTGTGAGTTGAATACACACAACACAAGGAAGTTACTGAGAATTCTTCTGTCTAGCAGAATATGAAGAAATCCCGTTTCCAACGAAGGCCACAAGATGTCAGAATATCCACTTACAGACTTTACAAACAGAGTGTTTCCTAACTGCTGTATGAACGGAAAGGTTAAACTCTGTGAGTTGAACGAACACATCACAACGCAGTTTGTGGGAATGATTCTGTCTAGTTTTGAAACGAAGATATTTCCTTTTCTGCCGTTGACCTTAAAGCGCTTGAAATCTACACTTGCAAATTGCACAAATAGAGTGTTTCAAATCTGCTCTGTCTAAGGGAACGTTTAACTCTGTGAGTTGAATGCACACAACACAAGGAAGTTACTGGGAATTCTTCTGTCTAGCCTTACATGAAAAAAACCCGTTTCCAACGAAGGCCTCTAAGTGGTCAAACTGTCCACGTGCAGACTTTACAAACAGAGTGTTTCCAAACCGCTGAATGAAAAGAAAAGTTAAACTCTGAGAGTTGAACGCACACATCACGCAGCAGTTTCTGAGAACGATTCTGTCTAGTTTTTATACGAAGATATTTCCTTTTCTGCCTTTGGCCCCAAAGCGCTTGAAATCTCCACTTGCAAATTCCACAAAAACAGTGTTTCAAAACTACTCTCTCTAAATGAAAGTTCAACTCTGTCAGTTGAATACACTCAACACAAGGAAGTTACTGAGAATTCTTCTGTCTAGCATAGTATGAAGAAATCCCGTTTCCAACGAAGGCCTCAAAGAGGTCTGAATATCCACTTGCAGAGTTTACAAACAGAGTGTTTCCAAACTGCTGAATGAAAAGAAAAGTTAAACTCTGAGAGTTGAACGCACACATCGCAGAGCAGTTTCTGAGAATGATTCTGTCTAGTTTTGAAACGAAGATATTTCCTTTTCTGCCT